>NC_000011.10:74085999-74389029 GCF_000001405.40 Homo sapiens
TATATGCTTTCTATCTAGGCTTTTGGCAGTGCCACAATGGGCTTTCTTAGTAATCTAGATATCATGGCATATGTATATGGGAGTGGAGGGGATAACATCTGCCCATCAGAGTGACTCTGAGGATGACCCACTGTCCTGTCAATGCTCTTAAGTCAAGGACCACAGGAACCAACTCTAGTTGAACAAGCTGGGTTTACTGCTCATTGCAATTAAGGAAAATATACACCATGGGGAACCATAGTACATCTCAGTGAGAAGTATCAGAAAGGGCTTATCAGCATTGGACTTGTGTTAGCTGACTTGAGTGAGGGCTTAAAGGAGCAGGGCTTTGCTCTGGATTGATTTTCTTAAAGAATCTTATCTAGACGGAGGGAATACTAGAGTAAAGCTAAAGCTATAACTGGTGAAGCAGCAGCTGTCACTCATTTTAGCCAGACAGGAGGATGTTGGCTGTTTCTATGGTTTGCATAAGTGACCTCGTTTTGGTCTGTGCTTAGACATGATGATGGAGCTGTCTTGTTTTTGTCTCACTTCATCATAGTCATACAGTGATCTTGTCTGATGCTGATGTTCTGTAAGATTACTTATGGTCAACAAGAAAACACCAAAGCCTACCTATGAATTTTGGCCCAATTCCCAGAAGTCTGGGGCTGCTTTTATCTTTCTCAGCACAGATGTTCCATGATGTATAAATGGAATCTACACGCCTTTAACGACACTCATAAAGAGTAGTCAAGTCATTTGGGTGTAGCTACAGTATGGGACAAACCCCCTTTCCCTAAACTCCCCAAGGCGATAGAGTTGACATCTAGGCAAAGAAATCACCTATTTTTGAAGCATTTCTTGATATCCCTAAAGTAGACTTCTGGGTTCCTTCCTGTTAAAACCTTACTGTACTTCATAGAGAGTAGTAATTTGGAGTTATACAGATCTGGGTTTGAATGCTGGCTCCACCATTTACTTACCATGTGACTCTGGATAAGTTATTCAACCTCCTTTAAGTCTCAGTTTCCTCTTCACTAAGATGAGGTTAACATAAGATAGTATATAAATACTAAAGATGTATATTATATATTTGGATGCTTACTGCAATTTCATTTCTAAGAAAAAAAGAAAAACTTTTTCCTTTTCATTATCGTTAATGATCATTAATAGATGATTTATCATTAACAGAAGATTAATGTGCATCCATACAATAGTATACCATGAAGTATATATTATGCCTAGGAAAAATGGGGTGAAAATAAATTGAATGCTAGCAGTAGCTTAAAAAATGAGGATAGGCTGGGTGCGGTGGCTCGCGCCTGTAATCCCAGCACTTTGGGAGGCTGAGGTGGACGGATCACCTGAGGTCAAGAGTTTGAGACCAGCCTGCCCAACATGACGAAACCCCATCTCTACTAAAAATACAAAAACTTAGCCGGGCGTGGTGGCGGGCACCTGTAATCCCAGCTACTCAGAGGCTGAGTCAGGAGAATCGCTTGAACCCAGGAGGCGGAGGTTGCAGTGAGCTGAGATCGCACCAGTGCACTCTAGCCAGGGCGACAAGAGTGAAACTCCATCTCGAAAAAAAAAAAATGAGGATAAAATACTCATAGGGTGTTGTAAAGATAACATTAGATAATATATACAAAAGAAAGAACTTGCATATGGACAGTGAAGGACTCTTAATAGGGAACTTTCAGAGATGGCAGTGAGATGGCAGAAAGGCTTGGGCCCCAAGCTGGTTTGAATTCACTCATTCAGTCGTTATTTGCTGGGTATCTGCTCTGTGTGTCATGCCTTGGGCTCAGCTGGATATATAGTAGTGAAGTAGCCTCAATTCCTTAGCTTCACGGCATTTAAAGACTACTGGCTATGTCCAAGAAAGGTTCTATTCACTCTGAGTTAAAGATCAGGTGAGTTAGAAGAAGCAAGTCAGTAAGAAGTGCCTACTTTACATAGGCACCAACAATGTATTTTCAGGAAGACCACTGGCAGGTAAGATGGAGGCTGGTGTTTCTTGATGAGAGAAGACTAATTTACAGCACCTGCTATCTAGATGCCAGCGTAAGGATTCAAGAGGGGTAAGTTTAGAACATCAAGAATTCTTTTCAGTAAGAGGCAATGCAAAATTTACTTCTCTGATTTTACTGGCAAATAGAGGTCACAATTATCTATACAAGTGGAAGTAATCATAAAAATCTGTATATTTGTACAA
This sequence comes from Homo sapiens, assembly GCF_000001405.40. Classification (NCBI taxonomy): domain Eukaryota; kingdom Metazoa; phylum Chordata; class Mammalia; order Primates; family Hominidae; genus Homo; species Homo sapiens. The sequence goes on from NC_000011.10 coordinate 74,088,200, forward strand.
TAGTTTGTAGTTTATAAAATGACTTCATATTTGTTAATTTTTACACTGATCCCTACAAAATCAGGGTAGGTATTTAAAATTTCCATTTCAGATGAAGAAACCGAAGCTCATGGAAGTAAAGAAATCAGCCCCAAATCATACACAGCTAGTAGGAGATGGGGGTGAGACTAGAAGCTATAGTGTCTGATTTCTAGAACAGTTCTGTGTCCATTATACCATGCATTGTCTCACATCCTGTGAACCTCTCCCAACCTACCAGAAGAGTGTTGTGTCAGAACTGGCCTGGCTTCTTGTTCTCCCTCCTTGAATATATGACACAGACCAAATGGGAGATTTAGAACAAACTGCCTGTCATCCAATCTGACTTTCCTCATGAGTCCTCAGACAGAGCAACTACTGAGTTTCCGACTTGTTATCTGCCCTCTCTGAGATCTACTGAGTATCTAAATTCTGAGTCCTTCTCTGCCAATTAAATGCTAGTTAATTTAATGCCATATTGAAGAATTCTGATGTTGGCTGGATCTGAGACTGAGGAGGTACTCCAAAAACACAAGTTTCATGCCTCCCTGCCTTTGCACATGTTCTTCTCTTTCACCAAAATAATTTTCACCCCTTTTGGGTATCTTGATAACTACTATTCTTCTTTTAAGACTCAGATTTATTTTGAAGGGGCTTGAATGCCAAGCTAAGGAAGTTGGACCTTATTATATGGACCAATGATCCCTAAAGAAGGCTGTATACAACTTAGGAGGTTCATAGGATAAACTATATTGGTTATCTCATATATTAAAGTTTTTCTATTCCATGGTATATCTTAGAATATATTTTGTATATGAGTATAGCAGTACATGAAGATGATTTATACATGAGTAAATATGTACATATTTAAAGGGTATGCTACCTTTTTTATTAATAGGAATGCATAATTAAAATTATGAGATCACTGCTATCAACAATGGGAAATCATCAAGTTTTAATGTAAGGAAGTGGTATGATTATAAAACTGCTTTACTGTCTCAGTGATGGGATCTGTACCCTAAACCTTAGCATCATGCGACATACCCATATAACAAATCTGCACATGTACCCCTGTATCTAAAATAAAAAGTTGAAATTAAACAAACAAACAAACGAAACACACCAAAAACCAAAACAAACATAAAAACAAAACCCAAAACCAACCTGTCTTGACATCACCTTCACTAACACTAAGATGTTCTTGGGCAGTAACTGAAAGAGTCTACGTGGAGAATTTAGTGAGGAACAATATTAACTACACTGAGTATCTTAGCTCTTCAGCATCAGATCTCACACAATAATGCAATTTCTTATTTGGAGACCATAAAGTTATAGGTGAACAGTTTGACCCTCAGCTACAACAGGGAAAAAGTTAGGGAGCACTTGTCTGTTTCTTTGTTCAAAGGGTGTCAGTCTGAAGCAGGAGCCTGATCTAGTTCTCTTTCTTACTGGGTGCCTGTTATATGCTAGAACTATGCTAGGAGGTTAGAAGGATGGAGAGGAGCTCAGGCAGTATCTCTGACTAGAGGAACTCACAGCCTAGTGGGAGAAAAATGCATGTATGCCAATAATTGAAACAGAATATGTGCTACAACCAAGGTGTTAACAAAGGAAAAACCACCAACTCTGCCTACACGTACAAAGAAATAAAGAGAGACTGTAAAGATGTTGCAAAGTCTTGAAGGAAAATAGGAGTTTGTTAAGTAGACAAAAGGAAGAAGAATATTCAAGGCAGAGAGAAGTATGAGTGAAGACCTGAAGGAGGTAAGGGAAAGGGCTGTGCTGTTTTTCTAGAGAAATAGTGTTCCAGGCAGAGAAAACAGCAAGACAAAGGCCTTGAGAGGAAAATATGCTTGGTGTGTTCAGAAGCAACATGGGGGTTGTGGCTGGAGTGGAGTAAGCAGAGGGCAGACTAGCAGGAGATGAGATCACAAAGATAGATGGGGGGTGGGGCACGTGGTTTAGATCATATGGGGTCTCATAGCCATTTTAAGGGCTCTGGTTTTTACTCTGAATAAGATCAAACATAGGCCAGGTGCACTGGCTCACGCCTGTAATCCCAGCACTTTGGGAGGCTGAGGCGGGTGGATCACTTGAGGTCAGGAGTTCGAGATCAGCCTGACCAACACAGTAATGAGGATCCCGCCACTGCACTCTAGCCTGGGCGACAAAGCTAGACTTAAGTGTTCATAGGTTCACTGGCTACTATGTTGAGAACAGACTAAAGGGGTGCAAGCTGGAAAAATAGGAGGTAGTACTCAGAGACTGAAAGGAATGAAGTGAGATTACACAGGAGTTGCAGTGATTGGGTATGGCATGGTTTGATGGTGTAGGGTATGGCCATAAGACTAAGTTGTTAAGAAAGGCACAGGATAAAATTGTTGGGCAAGGTCAAGGAGGTAAGTTGCTAACAGTTAAAATAGCAACGTTTGCAAGTGATTTACTCATATTCTGAAATGCTTTATTAACAGAAAAAGAGGAGTTGTGGTTAGTGAACTGGAAATTATACCTAAGAAAGTTTTGCATATCTGAGCATTATTTTACAATGATTGCAGTGTAAAAGGCTTGAGAATTGCTTGTCTCAGGTGGACTTACTTGGCTGCTGCTTGCAGACCACAGGCTCTGATAATCTGGACTGAGATGGAAACAGTTCGGGCAGCAAGAACTCCCTCTGCTGTTCTTGGACTACGCCTGTACCTTAGGCCCACATCCAGTAAACCTGAAGAATGAGGACACAAGGAAAGAAGGTTGGTCAGAAGAATCTCTGTTCCACCAAACCACAAAGTTTTGGTCAGGAAGGATGGAAGAGGATTAACACTACAACGAACAATAAGGGCAATGAGAGAATCTGTCCTTGTCATAATCACATTGTTATTCTTTAAGGTTAATAAAGGTTTAACAGGTTACTAATTTACTTTACATTCAAGAAATTATGGTTCAGAGATTTAATTCCTTGCCAAGATTACACAACTACTGAAGGCAGAACTTAACTCCAGATTTCTTTTTACCCCCAATTATGTTTATAGAATTGAGATGGGCTCTAGCCATTTTCTTTTTAAACTTTCAAACGGTTTCCACACCTCACATACTTCTATCACCCTCCTACCATCACCACCTGAAATATCCTTCTCATGCTACCTTTTTATAAAACCTCTATCATCCTACTGTCACATTTCAGGGACAGCTTTATGGAATAACAGAATAAGCTGATCAGGGAGGGTCAGGAGAAACAACTCAATCTTAATTATGGTGACATAAAACCTATTGTTTTGGCAGATACTCTTTAGCAAGCATGTACAGCAACTTGATATAGGAGGCTAAACTTCGTTATCTGATGATAAATTTAGAGGGTACACCATCCTGCTGGAAGCATTAGGATGTAATATCATTCAAATCTCCAAATTCGAATTAATCCTCTCCTAACTTTAAACCCTAGCCTTCTCCTCCCTTACAGTGAATTCCTGGTTCATGCTATCTTCTACCAATCCCCTATCTGCTCATGTTGGCTTGGAATAACAATTCTCTGAGTGTACCATATAATGCTTAGAATTTATGGCATGAGGGCTTATAAAATGCTTGCTGAAGTTAAAGGTGAAATGAGACAAGCAACATTTACATAGACTCCATGGAGCTATGAGTTTTCTAGAATTGTATACAAAATTGGCAGTGTATATTCTATACTCATTTTTTCCAAGACAAGGTGTCTTACAGTTTTCATCAGATCCTCAAAAGGGCAAATCCCTCAAAATGTGGAGAATCACTAATTTAGAGAGAAAAGGGATGTTTATGTATACTGTATATTTTATATATATATATGTGTGTGTGTGTGTATATATATATATATTTTTTTTTTGAGACGAGTTTCGCTTTTGTTGCCCAGGCTGGAGTACAATGGCTTGATCTTGGCTCACTGCAACCTCTGCCTCCTGGGTTCAAGCAATTCTTCTGCCTCAGCCTCCCAAGTAGCTGGGATTACAAGCATGGGCCACCATGCCTGGCTAATTTTTTTGTATTTTTGGTAGAGACGGGGTTTCTCCATGTTGGTCAGGCTGGTCTCGAACTCCTGACCTCAGGTGATCCACCCGCCTTGGCTTCCCAAAGTGCTGGGATTAGAGGTGTGAACCACCGCACCCGGCTATTTTATATATTTTTATGTATACTGATTTTGAAAGAAAAAGACAAACTTGTTTTCAATTACCTGATGACTGGTTCCTCAATTCTTTCCTGTTCTCAATCCTGGGGGTTAAAGGGAGATTAAAGGTCTGTATTCCCACATCCTCACGATGCTGGGTGGTTACCATAGCACAGATCCTTGATAATGGCAAGGTTCCTTTGGCGACCTTCTGGTCTCTCACATTAGGATAATAGTATCTGTAAACCACAAAAGCACACGTTGTCAGAAGAATTAGGTGATAAATGATTCAGTCTGCCCCACAGATCAGCCTTCACTACCTGGTTATCTTTGGTGCCTGATTGTTCTGTGTTGGTAGTACGCAGCTATGGTGTCTGGCTAAATTTACCACTCATTATGTGGAGGAGGAACTCCATAAATTATACCGAGTTCAGGACAAAGCCTAGCTTCCCTCAAGTTTTCTGTGCGGTAACTGTACATGCCTTGAACCTGTCGGGGGTGGCCACTCCTGAAAGCTTCCATCTTGCAGCAGCAAAAGTGGTTCAAAGTGGAGTAGGCCCAATATCTTTCATGGCTTACTCTCATCTTCATGCTGAAGCCCCTCTAATTTACCAGGGTAATGAGGATCTGTCAGTACCTACTCTATTTCCTTCTTATGTCAAAACAATCCATTCTTAGATTGCAAAGTTGTAACTCAAACCTAGGTGGTTTTAAAAATCTTTTTTGTACTTGACTGACAATTAATTGTATTTAGGAAAGTGTTCTCGCATGTGGATGGTACTCATCCCTAGTTCTGTTCCTGATGCTGTTTCCTTTCCTCTTATATTTATACTCTCTTAAGCACTTTAGTTGGTTTGTCGGTGGTGCAGATGTAAAGGGGTGGGTTGAACATCCGTATTTATGCCAGTATTTTCCTGGAAATCTTCCAATGTCTGTAACATTGAGTGGATTTATATTTTATAATATAAATCAAATATAATAATTTATATATTTGTTATATATAAATTATATTATTAAATTATATTTATAAAATAAATATAAATGTTCCTCTGGTGGTGGGAAGAACAGGTTACAAGAAATGAGTTTATAAGTAGGAGGCCAGTTAGGAGGCTACCACAGTCATTTAGGCAAGATATGAAAAGGGCCTGAACTAAATAAGGCAGTAAGGGACGCACAAAAAAGGTGATTGATATGTTTAATACATAATAGGAGGTAAAATAAATAAAACTTTCACTTTCAATGTAAGTAGTGATTAGAAATATGAGATACAATGGGTCATAAGATCCTAATAACAGACTTCAGTAAAAACTGGACAAGAGTCACTGTCAAATCCAAATAACATAAAACAGGGCTGAAGAGGCTGCTTAGCTTCCTTACAATAATTCAACCTAGGCTGGTTAGGAGTAGGATGCTTTATGATTGTGCACTTCCTTCCTAGGCATAGGACTGGGGTCTCCACACTGTACCTGCACCAGATTTCAAACTGGACTCCACCTCCAGGCACGAGGCCCTGTGCAGAGAAAGCACTTAGTAGGAGCCTTTGCACTGGAACCTCAGCTGGCAACAGGAGAGAGTGATGGTGTTCACTATTAAAGATGGGATCTGGAACACAGAGTGTGGTTGCAGTTCTGAAGGGCTTCAGAGTAATTCCTTTGGAAAAGAAAAGCATTTCAGAATAATCCAACATATGACTTAGTGTTTTCTTCTTCTTTCATGTTCTTCCAGTGAATATTACTTAGTAATTCCCTAGTAGTTATGGTTCCCTAAGGTCCCATGATAATACAGAAGAAAAAGATACCTTGCTGGTGGACAATTCATATATTGCCATACAAGTGCCAACACTTGTTAGGTTTTTTTTTTTTTTTTTTAATTATAGCCACCTTAGCTAGTATGAAATGGTATCTTGGTAGTTTTGATTTGCATTTCCCAAATAAGTAATGATGCTCAGTATTTTTCCATGTGCTTATTAGCCATTTGTATATCTTTGGAGAAATGTCTATTCAGATCCTTTGCCCACTTTTTAATTGGTTTTTAAGAAATGATTGATTTGTAAGAGTTCTTTATATATTCTGTATATACAAATCTCTTATTTGAACCTCAAAATCAACACTGGCAGCACTCTGGCAATCATTCTGGAACATACACCGAATGGCAAAAAGTTCGAGTCACCTGGTCTGTTTGTTCCCAGGTGAGAAAAAGGTGAGCGAGTTTGACTTCTTGTTTCAGCTCTCCGAGACTACCAGAAGATGGAGACAGTAGGAGGCAGTGAGAAGCTTCCAATCTGGGTACAGTAGGATGGGGTTTGAATCCCAACCTTGGCACTTGTTAGTGGGGCAGCCCCAAGCAAGTCACTTAATGCTTGTGAATCTCATTTTTTCTTTCATAAAATAAAGAAAACAGAGTCTACCAGGGTAAGTTGTTTTAGGAGTTAAGATAATGATCTATGTGAGATATGTATATGTACATATTTCCCTTAGGAACAGTGGTTCAGTATTCCTTAATTCAGCGTTCATGGTGGCTTTACAGAACAGAACTACTGCGAGGAATAAGAATCAACTTATACTATGTGTATAGATAAGAGTGGGCATGTAAAGGATATAAAATAGGGCAAATGCAAATAATTGGTAGAACTAGGTAAAGAGTATACCAAAGTTCTTTGTACTATTTTTACAGGTTTTTGTAAATTTGAAATTGTATCAAAATAAAAAGCTACAAAAATAGTTAAAAAATAAAAAAAACTTGGCCTATCTCCTGTTTTACTGCCCAGTAAGACTAGAAATATTCAACAACACAAAATTCACTCAGAAAAAAAAAACTCTTAAGTATAATCTAATAAAAGAACCATATAAGAATAAGAAAGCCTAATATCTAAACCTACCATTTTCAAGGAACTCAGGTCCTTTCAGCACACTGGATTGAGAGTGTTGAACTGGAAAGTAGTACTGGACATAACAATCTGCTTCTCCCCAGACTGTTGCCTGAAGAGGGGCTAGCCCTTTAACCATCTCTATATGGATCTCAAAGCAGTGCTCCATCAGTCCATTTCCTCGGTCCTCTGCCTATTAAATGAAACAGAAACACTGGTGAGCTTTAAAGAGTAACTTGCTTAGAATATTTCTGCTTCTCTATGAAGTCTGAGTATAGATAAAGAGATAAGTATAATTAGTTGATACTAAAATAGACACTTAATTTTCATTGTAACTCTCACAACTACTCACTGTAAGTAGGCTAAACAGGATGTACTCTTGACTATGAGACTGGGTTAATATTAGGAAATCCATAAATGTAATTCAGTGCATTAATGGAACAATAAAAATGATTAACACAAATGCTGAAAAGGCATTTGATAAAATTCAACATTTGTTCCTGATAAAAGCTCTTAATATACTAAGAATAGAAGGCTGTTCCCTTCATAGGAAAAATAATAAATCGTAAATTTAGAATAAATTCTACATTTAGAACAGCAAAGGAATGAGAAGTGAAGTGGAAGAAGGGTAACACCAGACCAAACTAATATCATAATTTAAGAAAAAAAGGAAAACTAATAGCCTACAGCAGACAGTGGCATCCACGATTCCAGCAGGACTCCTCAGTCTGGCCATTCAGAATAGCAAACAGGTACTAATTACTATTTCAAATCAGTTGGGTATAACACCAGGACTGTCCAATAATGGTAAGGACTACTTTGGGAGGTAGTGAAGACACTGTTACTAAAGGTAATAACAACAAATAATCGTGTATTTATTGAGGATTTACTATGAACCAGGCACTATACCAAACAGCTCACCTTCATTAAGTGATTTAACATGCAGAGCTAGTAACAGTGGAACCAGGTTTAGACTCAACGTAGTCTGACTCCAGAGTCAGTGTTCTTTATCCCTATTCTATACAGCAGATCTTAGAGAATGAATTATTCAGGAAAATTCAAAGGGGGAATTCAGCATTCAGAAAAGAGTTGAGACTATATGATATACATGTGTTTAACATTTTAACTACTAATCCAAAAAATCTAGAACAGAGACTGTATTAGGTCTCTGCTTTGAAATCTGAAAGCATATTTTAGCAATACCTGCTCAAAAATTTTCCTTAGAAAAACAGGAAACTTGCAATTTGATTCCCTCGGGCAAAAAAAATTGAAAAAAAAAATCTCTCAGAGTCACAACAGCTACTTAATTTGGCCTTATAGTATCACAGCAATTTGATATTCAGTTCTGCAAATGGTGAATTGGATGAGAGGCATGAGTAGAGGAGGAAAAACAATTGTTTTTATAGATATCTAATCCCACAGGTAAATCTTTCAAGGATTTCCTCTGTGCATGTAGTGAGAAACATTTTCTAACCTTTACTATGGAATTTAACAAAATCTGAGTCTACACTGCAAGATGACAGCCATACAACGCCTAAACAGACTTGGGGATATTAATGTGGCTTTTCTTTATTTGTGCTTTTATGTAATTTTCAACTTGAAAAATACGATTATCTATTGACAAACAATAATATCTAAGAAATAACTGGCCAGGTGTGGTGGTTCATGCTTGTAATCCCAGCACTCTAGGAGGTGGAGGTGGGTGGATCACTTGAGGTTAGGAGTTCGAGACCAGCCTGGCCTGGGCAATATGGTGAAATCCCATCTCTACTAAAAATATGTAAGTTACCAGGCCCAGTGGTGGGTGCCTGTAATCCCAGCTACCCGGGAGGCCAAGGCAGGAGAATCCCTTGAACCCAGTTGGTGGAGGTTGTAGTGAGCTGAGATGGCACCATTGCACTCCAGCCTGGGCAACAGAGCAAGACCTCACCTCGAAAAAAAAAAAAAAATCTAACAAATAACTAAGAAAAATGTGGAGTTCATAATATACAAATAAACCATAACTTGCTAAAAGTTATTTTCCTAATAGTTCTTTCCCTGCTAGAGACATTTAAATTTGTCATTTGGGTTCAGACTTAAGAATATAACATACTTAAATGGTATGGATACTGAGATTTGGCTGTACTAGTAAAGACAACAAATAGAAGATACAGTAGTACATGATACAGTGGAATAAAGACTGAACTTGAAGTTAGAAGACCTGTGTCTGAATCCCAATTCTCTCATTCCTAGTTATGTGACCCCGGACAAGTAACCTAACCTCTTTGATTCTGTCTCATTATCTATAAAACAGAATAACAATAACCCACCTCAGGTAGTTGTTAGGGAAATAAACATGAGAATGTATGTCAATGTGCTTTCTCAACTGGACAGCACCATACAAAAACAAATTACTTTTAAATTACTAGTAGATAAGCAAGCACTTCACAATGACTTTCCAGCATGGGCTCAGCCAATAAGCAGAGTAAGATTTTGCTGGCTTACATTTGGGATCACTCTCCACTCCCAATCTTTTTTAAAGGCAATTAAGCCAGTAAATTAGATAATTAAGATTTGGTTGTTCGATTGGATTTTCTTTATAAATTCAGGGAGCTAAGAGGGACATAGAGATCCATTTAAATCATAACAGAAAATTACCAATGATTCCTTTGATTTATAGGAAGCACTGGAGTGCACATTATGTTCTTTTGTTGAGCCTTTCATTACAGAAATAAAGGATTTGGGCAATAAATTCACTAAAATATGCAAGAGAAAATGAAATAATGACTTTTTGTAAACCATAGCGTTTATTACCATAGCAACAGATGCTGCAGTTGGCTGGTCCAGGAAATGGGCTGGCCTAGGGCTGAAGGGAGGGAGTGTTCCTTCTTCATTCTTTAATCTTTGTAGTGCCATTATTTGATTTGAAGAACCCATAGCTAAAAAGACTCGAAGACTCCCATTTTGGTGGCCTGAAAACACATCAATCACAGGCATGTAGCTGTCGACAGCAACAACTGGGTACTGGGCATCCAGCAGCAGGCGAGAAATCTTAGCATCTCTAGAGGGGGAGAAATTGTGAATAAGCAAATAACAAGCATCAATCATGTCATAGAGTTATTTCTTTCTTGACTCATTTTTTCAGTTTGTTAAAAATAGATTTGCAACTGGAAAAGTAATAGTGGTTTTAAAAAATGTGTGCATCTGTCAGTAACCTACCAAATAAAAATTACCAGGCAGAGAAGTTCAAAATGTAGCAATTTGAAGGCAAGGAATGTGTCTGATATGTCTCTGTAGCATTATGGACCCAAGTCCAGTGTCTGTGATTTGAACAGTATCTCATGGAGCTTTGCTAAACTGCATTATTTTAAAGGGAGGAAGTGTGGTCTACTAGGAAGAATGTGGACTTTGGTGTCTGACAGATAAGATTTGGAAAATATTGCCAATATCTGCCATCTACTAAGTGCTTAGTATGTGCTAGGCATTTTATAGTATTTCTAATCCTTTTAACGCTGCAAAGGTTGGTATTATCCACTATTAATGGATGAGAAAAGCCAAATTTAAAGAGGTTAAGTAACTTAGCTAAGGATACACAACTAGTAGGAGGTTAAGTTGGGATTCAAGCTCTGATAAATGATTTATAATGCCATGCTGAATCTTAGCTCTGCCACTTATTTGCTGTGTGACTCAAGCAATTCATTTAACATTTTTGAGTCTGTTTTGTCATTTTTAAAACGTACGCAATGAAAAAACTTCCATCAAAGAGTGGTTGTTAGGACTAAACTGAGATAACATACAAAATACCAACTATGATGCTTGGTACATGGAAGATGCCCAGTAACTGGTAGTTACTATTATTTTACACACTCTGAGCAAAGAATGAGATCTAATGGAATGAGAAGTGAAGTGGAAGAAGGGTAACACTAGACCAAACTAACATCATAATTTAAGAAAAAAAGGAAAACTAACAGCCTACAGCAGACAGTGGCATCCACGATTCCAGCAGGACTACCCAGCCTGGCCATGATTTCCAATGTTACTGTTGTAAGTATTAATACTCAGCTGTTCACAGAAGGCATATCCATGTATTTTCTCTCTAGATCTTCACGATTGTTCCACAAGAGAGATAGGTAATCTACTATCACCCTCATTTTACAGATGAGGAAAAGAAAGTCAGAGAGGTTAAGTGACTTCTGCAAGTTAAAGGACAAATTTCTTCATCTGTAATATAGGGATAATAACAATACTTTATAGGGTTATAGTAAGGTTCAAATGAGCTAATGCCCACAAAGGTGCTCTTTGTAAAATGTAAAACACAACATTTAAAACACAGAACTATGAGAAGGCTGCTAGGAAAGAGGTCAGTGCTAAAATAATTAAAAATCAGAATCTTGAGTCAAAATTAAAAAGGAACAGTTTAGGCTGGGCGCGGTGGCTCATGCCTGTAACACCATAACTTTGGGAGGCTGAGGCGGGCGGATCATGAGGTCAGGAGATCGAGACTGTCCTGGTTAAGACGGTGAAACCCCGTCTCTACTAAAAATACAAAAAATTAGCCAGGTGTGGTGGCAGGTGCCTGTAGTCCCAGCTACTTGGGAGACTGAGGCAGAAGAATGGCGTGAACCCAGGAGATGGAGCTTGCAGTGAGCCGAGATCGTGCCACTGCACTCCAGCCTGGGCAACAGAGTGAGACTCCGTCTCAAAAAAAAAAAAAAAGAAAAACAACAAAAAAGAAACAGTTTGTATTGAGGAATGAAATAACCTTCAGGTTAATCAATACCCCACCTACGTGTTAAAAGTGAGGTGGAGCAATCAAATCTGAAGGTCTAAAAGATAATATTCACTATATAAAACTTGCAAATAGTTGATGTGAACAATACTGAAGTTCCGTGACAGAATGGTAAACCACCTTTTGAGAGGTGGTAACTTTTGACAATAGAGTTTTTTGGTGAAGTGTGGACTCCAGAGCCATGCTATCTTGGGTCCTAACCCTTCACTTTATAATGTATGTGACAAGTAATTTAACTTCTCTGAATCTCTGTTAACTCATCTGTACAAAAAAGCAAATAGAAGTACCTGCCTCAGAGGGTTTGTCAAGAAGATTAAATGACTTGATGTTGCAAGGTTTTTAGCATAGTGCCTGAAACATGGTAAGCAATATCTCTAAGACTGCTTTAGAATAGGAGAAAGAGCAGCAACTCTGTTGAAACTGGAAAAAGTCCTTCAAGGGATTACTGGGCTATTCATGTTTGCAAATCAAAAGAATTCCTTTTCAGTCCATGCAAAGTTAAAGATGCACAATAAAGAATACTCCAAAAGGTCCTATTTACTTGAATGACATGTAAAACTGGTGGAGGGGAAGTTTCACCAGCCCGAGCAGCTTGTCCTGTCCTGGGCTCCGCACCTTATTCCAAGTTTCAATTACCATCACATTGTTCTTAAGCCTTTCCAGGTATTTGGAAGACAGAGAGACAGGAATCACCTAAGAGAGAGGAACAACCAAAACAAACAAAAAACTCATACCTGAGACAAATATTAATTTATACTTTCATTCAATAAGCATTTACAGAAAGCCTATTGTTAACACACAGTGTTATGAGCTAAAGACATTCAAATAAAACTTACTCTGTATCCTCAAGAGAAGTAGCAGTCTGCTGTTAGAGACTAACACATAAAGGCCAGATACAAAACAGTGAGTTCTCTGATGACAAAGCTCATACAGGTGGAGCTTTGAGGACACAGAGAAGGTTGTTAAATATGTCAAACATGGTGCCTGCCAAACTCGTCCAACCCTTTCTAAGGCAAAGTGATCCACTAGTAAACCCCACTGAAAGAAAGATGTTTTTGAAACAAGTATGCTACTGACTTGACAAGAGTTGAGTATTTTATCAAAGGGCAGCCAATTCACTGGCTGGATAGCATTTAATAAAATGGCCAAGTGCCAAAAGCTCTGCCCAACAGGTGTCACAGTAAAGAGCAAAGCCAACTGCTCCTCTGGATTTTCAACATAAAATTACTCCAGAATTGGCCAGTTGATAGTTGAAAAAGACAGGTCACAAAGAGAATCAGAGATCTAAGCCAAAAGCACCTTTGTCAAATTAGTGGTAGAATCAAGGGCCCACCAATTTGAAGAAACCCAAGCTGTAGGGACAACTGTAACAGTAGAAGGTCAATAAGCCCCAATGTTGAAACCAATAGAAAACATGAGAGGCAAAAAGTGTGAAATTAGAAAAGGGATGATGAGAGGAAGACACCAGAAAACAGAGCAGAGCTACTTTTGTATCCACCTAAGAAACACAAGGTGGATACAAACCTAGTGTTTATATCCTGAACACATTTCTGTTCCTTGAAACCAAAAAAAGTAAAACTAGAACAGCAACCTAACCTCCAAATAAGGAAGTTGCAGGCAACTACTTCTGGGACAAAGTAACCTTAAATCTCAAGGCTGAGCAGGAGTTAACTGATACAAAAAGCTCTGCTTAAGTGGTGTCAAGAAGGCTTAAAGGAAATTCAAGGCAGAAGAAAGAGCACATATGAAGATACAGAAGTAGGAGAAGAGAATATTCAGGAAAGTCTAAGTAGCTGAGCACAGCTGGGCTATCTAGTATAAGGGGAAGAGTGGCAGGAGCTGAGGCTGGAGAAGTACATACAGTCAGTTTTCAAAGGGTCTTGGATGCCAAGGATTTACATTCCATCTTGAAGGATATAGGGAATCACGGAAAGGCTTTAAGCAGGAAAGTAAAATGTTCAGGTTAGTGTTTTAGAAAGGTCATTCTCATTGGTGCATAAAGGAGGCAATGGACATAAAGAGAGCTGGGAAACAGCTATACCAGTCTGAAGGCTATTTGGAAGGAGGGTGAAGGTTTGAATGGAAGCAGTGGCAGTGCAGTGAAGGTAAAGGGATGTCTTCCAGATAATTAAGTTAGTAGTATCTATTAGACTTGGTAAGTAATTACATAAGAAAGAGTCAAGGACAAATAACAGGTTCTACTTAGGTGCCTGAGTAAATTATAATTTGAATTAGGGCAGACAAAAAGAGGAAGAACAGATTTGGAAGAAGTGATAAATTCAGATTTGAACATGTTTGAATTCATTCTTTCATTTACACATCTTTATTGAATACCCAGTATGTGCCAGGCAATGTGTTAGGTGCCAAGTGTAAACTGCTTCTGAGATATCCAGGTGATAATGACCAGCAGGCAGTTAGATACAGAAATCTCAAACTAAAAGGAAATGTCTGGCTTATATAGAAATGTAGACATGGAAGTTATCTTCATAAAAATGAGTGCTGAAGCTGTGTTGATAGATGTGATGACCATGGGGAGAAGTGGGTTGATTTGGAAGAGTGCCAGCAATAGAGTAAGAGTGGAAGCACCAACAGTTAAAGGAAGAAGTACTGGGGTTACCACCCTTTTCCTAGTTTTCCTTCTGGCCCAATGACTGAAAAAGAACAGCTTTGAGTGAGGAAGAAATTAAGACAGTAAAGTTACAAAAACCAAGAAAGAAAACAATTTAAGCACCACATTACACAGAAAAATCAAGTTAAGATGAATACTGAAGTAGGCAGAAGAATAAATGTGAGGAGAAATATATAAAATAAAGTAATAAAGAAGGAGAGATTGGAGAAAGATGGGGAGGTTTAACTAATCAAAGTCTTAGAGGAAGCAGAAAGGAATAGAATCCCAAAACTCAGGCAAAAGAAACAGTGAGAAACCATGTGAACTCAGACAGAATAGAAATAAAGACAAACAGTTTTAAAATGTTGACAATGCCTTTCCCTCTTCCCATCCAATAGTGGGACTGAATCTGTACACCAGATAATTACGAAGGTTCCTTCTAGTCTGAACATTCTAGATTTAAGACGAAATAATAATTTGGGAGGCATTTGTCTCTCACCCCTATATTCCTCTAATGGATATGGAATGTACAAAGTTACCTGAGAAAAGTTAAAGACCGGTTGTGTTGTGCCCCATGCGATGACAGATCTGGTGACTTCCTCTGTGCTGAAGAGTTTACAATTTAAATAAACATTGCATGGTGATTGTTTCTCAGATTCTCCACTAATAAAATCTTTCCCATCTGGCACCATCAACAGCACATGCAACAGCAAAGCACTCTCTTTTGTTGTCCCATTTGTCTGATTGACTAAATTATGGGAGGCTGGCGTAGCTACGAAGGTTGAAGGATGTGGTGCTACAGGGCTTGGTGACTTTCGGTTGGGGAGCACCAAGTTCTGTGCTTTCTTTGCAGTTTCCTCATGAATTTGGTTTAAGTTTTGTGGATTTTTGGTACAGGTCATATCTTGGTTAAGTTCTGGTAGTGCCTTATTTGGACTTGTAGGAGCACAAAGTGGGGTATAATGGGTGTTGCCACTTAACTTAGTATTGATACCAGTGAAATCTTTGTTATCTGTAATAAGCTCCATGGTTACCTGTAAAACACAAAAGGAGAAGAGTCAATAAGAATGTCCTTTAGAATTGGAATTAGAATTTTGAGGCTGGAAACAACATCAGATTATTAGGAAATGAATTAACTCATCCTCAAACACTCTAATAGTAAGAATATTAACAGAATGCATATACATTAACTTGCTAGACTAAGAAAAACTAGACAGATGATTTATCAATAACAAAAGATGAGCCTGGAAGATCAAGTTATGCCAGAATATAAGATAGTTCCCAGAAAAGAATGGAGCCATGTTTAAAGGACCCAGAATCCAGCTGAAGAGGCTCCCACTGGCTAAATCTAGGACAACTTAAGCATCAGAATGAATAACAGTAATGGATTATAAACTATTGAATAAGAATCCATGAATCCATCCTGATATAAAATAAATATGAGAGAAGAAACAGCTTCTCTATATAGAATGCCAATTAATAAATGCAAAAGAGACGGTAGAGTTAGAAATCACCATTTGACAATCATCACAGTAATAAGTGATTCAGGTTAACCCCAGTGGAGGAACATTCTTTAAAATAACTGGCATTACTTAAAAATATCAGCATATTGAAAAATAAAGAAAGGCTGCAGAACTGTTCCTGACTAAAGGAGATTAGGAAGATCTGACAAAATGCAATAGATAATCCTGGACTAGAAAAAAATATTTGCTATAAAGGCACTGGTATAATTGGTGAAATCTCAGTATAGCCTGCAGATATAGTATCAATGCTATGCTGACTTTTGTAACTCTAGAGTATTATGCATGATGATGTCCTTGTTCTAAGGAAATACATAAAATATAAACTAAAGAATTTAGGGGGAAAGAGGCATGATGTACAACTTACTCTCAAATAGTTCACAAAAAAATGTGTATGTACATGTATGGGGGGAGGAGATAAAGGGACAGAGAGAGAGAGGCAGAGAAGAGGCAGACAGACAATTATAAAGAAAATGTGACAAATAGTAAGAATTGGGGAGTCTCAGTAAAGGGTATAAAAAAGTCTAAATAATTAAAAAGTAAAAAAGAAAAGGGAAGCAGGATAAATGATGAATTTAAAGAACAGAAGTGGTCACTAACTGTTAGGAGACTCAATTACTAGGGGTAAAAGGTTCTTGCTGTTTCTTCGATCTGAAATCCTAAGTGTTACATAGCAAGGTTCTTTTACTCTGTTGAATATAGACAGCAATCTATCCAGAATAGTATTTCTCTCAAAAGAGCCAGAACAGAAAAAATTTCTAGTTGATCAATCCTATTTATAACCCCTTTCTGATTTTAAACTTTGTAGTTCAGAATGAACCAGGCAGACAAAAACTATAACTTGGATAGCAAGAGTAGGTGATGTTAATTTTTTGCAATAATAATTGTGTAAGTCTTTAAAGCAAAGTGGTATTTACTAAGACCAAGAAGAGAGACAAGGCTTTCAAGAAGAAAAGGCAGTATGATAATCAATAACAAAAACACAGAGGCATGAACCAGCATGATACCTTACTGACTCTTTACGTAGAGTGACATAGTTATTGGTAGAGAAGCTGTAAGA
Source organism: Homo sapiens (assembly GCF_000001405.40). NCBI lineage: Eukaryota > Metazoa > Chordata > Mammalia > Primates > Hominidae > Homo > Homo sapiens. Next base: position 74,105,172 of record NC_000011.10, read on the forward strand.
GAGAAGGTTGAAATGGTAGGCCAGGGTCATATATTAAGCCTTGTACTTTATCCTTTGGGTGATTGGGAGCCATCAGGATGTTTTAGGCATGGCTGTGATGATTTTTTTTTTTCTTTTGAGACAGAGTCTTGCTCTGTCGCCCAGGCTGGAGTGCAATGGTGCAACCTTGGCTCATTGCAACCTCTGCCTCCTGGGTTCAAACGATTTTTGTGTCTCAGCCTCCCGAGTAGCTGGGATTACAGGCGTGTGCCACCACTCCTGGCTAATTTTTGTATTTTTAGTAGACATGTGGTTTAGCCATGTTGCCCAGGCTGGTCTAGAACTCCTGAGCTCCGGCAATCTGCCCGCCTTGGCTTCCCAAAGTGCTGGGATTACAGGCTTGAGCCACTGCACCCGGCTGATTTTTAAAACTCACCAGGACAAAGCTATACTGAAGCCACACGCTCAGATTCTGTCATCTAAGAAATCCTAACTCACCTGAATACAAGGAAATAACCCTCTCTCCAATGAATTATATACCAGAATTCATTCTACCAGGCACACTTAGTTACTGCTCTCCTTCTTTATTTCAATTACTCTAGTCTAAGCCACCATCAATCATCTCTTTTCTGGACTAATGCCACAGCCCATTTCCCTCTTTCCTCTTGCCGTCTATTCTCCACACAGTAATCTTGTAAAATGGAAATCAGATGATGTCAGTCCCATGCTTCAACATTCTTTCCTTGGATCTTAGGCTAAAATCTAAACTCTTTACCTTTACCTACAAAGCTCTGATGATATGGCTTCTACCTGACTGTTCAACCCTACTTTCTACCACTCTCTCTCTTGCTCACTATCCTCTGGCAACTTTCTATCCCTTGATGACTCCAAGCCCACTCCTGCTTTAGGGCTGTTGCACCTGTTATTCTCTCTGGAATGGTCTCTGTGTTTTTTACTTACTCCTCTTATTCTTCAAATCTCACCTTCTATTTCACCTCCATAGAAAGATCCTCCCTGATCACCATCTCCTACTTTCTCACAGGTACTCACTATCACATCATACCATTTATTTCCTTCATAGTACTTCCACTGCTCTATTTCAAGAGATGCTACACAAGATCAAAGACCTTGCTTTTCTTGTTCACTGCTATATCCTCAGTGCCAGCCAATAATGCATACTCAGCAAATACTTCTGACTTCCTGAATGTATATCTACATACCTTGAGGGGGCCAAATGGAGACTGACCATTTTCTTGTTGCACTGGAAGCTGATCACTGAAAGAAAGCAGCTCTGATTGAATGACAGCTCGCAAAGAAAGTGACACAGATCCAATGACTTCTGGCTGAGAAAGAAGGAAAGAGAACATTTAGATTAATTAAAGAGAAGCCACAGGTGATCTTAATTAAAGTGACAACATATGATGGCTTATAAAGGAAACCATTCAGGAAGAAAAAAGCTTAATTATCTAAGACAACTCTGAGATCCCACTTTGTCATATTTTGGTCTCTCTTCTGGCTTTTGCTACTTCCCTCTATAAGATTACAGAGGGTTTTATAAGCCACAAAGTGGTGGGAAGATTATCTTTTTCTATCACTAAGAGTTAATTCTTACTCAAAATGTTCAACTTCACTATTAAAAATAAAAAATAAAATTTAGATGTCACAAATTTTTGCTATTAAAACTAGGGAAATTGTAAAATTTAATATATCTAATGCTATCAAGGCTATGGAGAAACAAGAGGCTGTCATATGCGTAAAGCTGGAAATATAAACTGGCAATATGCTTTTGGATGGCAAATTTGGTAACAGATATTAAAAGCTTTAAATATTTATGCTCTTTGGCCCAGTAATTCCATTTCTGGGAATTTGTACTAAAGAAATAATAAATAGGCTGGGCGCGGTGGCCCATGCCTGTAATCCCAGCACTTTGGGAGGCTGAGGCAGGCAGATCACCTCAGGTCAGGAGTTCAAGACCAGCCTGGCCAACATGGTGAAACCCCCGTCTCTACTAAAAATACAAAAAAATTAGCTGGGCATGGTGGCGGGTGCCTGTAATCCCAGCTACTCAGGAGGCTGAGGCAGGAGAATCGCTCGAACCCAGGAGGCTGAGGTTGCAGTAAGCTGAGACCATGCCATTGCACTCCAGCCTGGGCAACAAGAATGAAACTGTGTCACACACACACACACACACACACACACACAGAAATAAGAAACAATGCATAAAAAGCTTATACACAAATATGTATATGTTAAAAGTAGTTAACAATGAGATATACCTAGTTGTCCAATAATCAGGAATTATTAAGCTAATTATATAGCACATCCATATGATGGCATAACATGTAGCCATTAAAATGACATTTACTAAAAGTTTCTAATAATATTAACTGTTATAATGTTTGATAAAAGGGTATTAACTCATATATATCATAAACCTTCAAATACAAAATTATGTGAAAAACATTAAATAGATATTTTTGAAGAAAAATGAATAAAAACCCTCAAGATGCTAAATGATAAAAAGGAAGAATAAAACCTACATACAAAATTATACAACATACTGTATTCATTGGAAAAAGACAATGCAGATAGTCATAAATGTTAACAATAGTTATTTCTTGGTGACAGAATTACAGGCAATTTTTGCCTTTTAAAAATTATTTTTCAAGTTTTCTACAAAAATACGTAAAACTCTTTTATAATTAGAAAAAAAATGCCGGCCGGGCATGGTGGCTCACGCCTGTAATCCCAGCACTTTGGGAGGCCGAGGTGGGCAGATCACAAGGTCAGGAGATCGAGACCATCCTGGCTAACATGGTGAAACCCCGTCTCTACTCAAAATACAAAAAAATTAGCCAGGTGTGGTGGTGGGAGCCTGTAATCCCAGCTACTCGGGAGGCTGAGGCAGGAGAATGGCGTGAACCCGGGAGGCAGAGCTTGCAGTGAGCTGAGATCGCGCCACTACACTCCAGCCTGGGCGACAAAGCGAGACTCTGTGTCAAAAAAAAAAAAAAAAGAAAAGAAAAAAAATGCCATTAATTAGGTATAGGAAAATGATTCAATGTAAATACATTGAAATGTTAATAGAGTTTATCTTGAGGTTATGAAATGATGTGCCTTTCCCACCATTCCTATTTTGCTATAATTTTTCAAAAAGGACCTGTATTGTATATGTCTTCTGAAAAAAATAAAAGAAAACAAGATGTTCTTCATGCTATCCATACCAAATAAGAGGTCAAAAGATTATAAAGACTACTCTTTTATTGAAGGAAGTAAAAACTGCTTGTTATAGTTTATTGATTTACATTATGCCAGCTGCAAGCAATTTTATAAACTTGGAATTAGTTGATCAAAACTGCTACTCACAACTATATTATTTTGGGCTTGGATACCTTATGTATTCTGCCTGCAAACAGGAAGTAGAACCTCAAATTAAGGCTAATAGCCTGTATCAATATAGCTACCTTTCTTTAGAAGGGAACAGCACAATAAAGAGGTTAAGAACTTGAGATCTAAAGACAGCAGATTTGGGATGGTGTCCTGGCTCTTTCATTAGATTGAGTGATCTTAGACATGTTAACTAAATCTCAGTTTCTTCATCTGTAAAACAAATATAATAATGTACCTAATTCACAGAGTTGTGGTGATTAAAATTGATAGTGTGCTCGTGTAGAGCCTTTAGTATTATATCTGGCCCATGACAAACAGCAGAGATTAGTAGTAGTAATAATAATAATGATAATAATAATAATAATAATAATAACAATGGATTATTAGTACTGCCTGCACCTGAAGATTCCTAGTTTAGGTAAGAATATAATTTTAGGTATCCTCCAAATCCCTAGTGTGAAGGTAAGGCAAAGGCCAAAATCACTCAAAGTACCTTTTTCTGTGGAGTTTTCTTTACATAAATTTGGAAAGTGAGGTTGGAATTCCACCAGTGCTCTATCATTGGGCCACCAAACTGTACTGGAAACACAAATCGCTGCTGGAACTTCACCTCTGTAAGGAGAACCAGACACACAGACATGTCACACCACCCAACTGAAGTCATCATCAATTCATGCCTTGATACCACCTGCCTCCCTTTCAAATTTAATTAAAATCTCCTGCAGAAATCGAGTCAGTGTGCTTTCACAGAAAGTGCTAGGGTTGTAGGATTGAATGAGCAGGGACAAAGAGAAAACTCTGGAGATAGTACACAGAAGACAGGCAGTGCTATGTTGCTCCGCTTTGCCATGAGAAATGAATGTCAATCATATGAGTACTGGATGTGTAAGGAGACATATCTATATACTTCACTGGGTTTTAGGTAATAGCACTGTTTTTAAAAGACTAGTTTGTAGGTAGTATACTAAAAGAAGGGGGCTGGTTGGAGGTGGAACAATGAGGGATAAATAGAAGAATGGAATAAAAAACTATAATACAAAAATAAGCCTACCTTCTGGACACTCTTACTGTCACAAACAAGTTATCAGGTACTGATGTTAGCTAGTAGTGTCAGGCAAAGGAGTCTATCTCTTGGGTGGAAAGGAAGGGGTTTCTGCTATAACTATAAGTGTAAGTGGATAAAGTGATGGTGGTATTTGAGTTTGTGCTCATGGCCATGGAGTTTTAACTGGTAAATAAAAAGAATTTGAGGCCGGGTGCGGTGGCTCACGCCTGTAATCCCAGCACTTTGGGAGGCCGAGATGGGCAGATCACGAGGTCAGGAGATCAAGACCATCCTGGCTAACATGGTGAAACCCCGTCTCTACTAAAAATACAACAACAAAAAAAAATTAGCTGGGCGCAGTGGCAGACGCCTGTAGTCCCAGCTACTTGGGAGGCTAAGGCAGGAGAGTGGCGTGAACCGGGGAAGCAGAGCTTGCAGTGAGCCTAGAGCACACCACTGCACTCCAGCCTAGGCAACAGAGTGAGACTCTGTCTCAAAAATAAATAAATAAATAAATAAAATAAAATAAAATAAAAAGAATTTGAGACCAGAATCAAAGGATATAAGTTTAAGCTCCAGTTCTAATACTTACTATTACTTACCACCGCAGAAACAATTTATCACCTATAAAATGATCTTCCTGTCCATTCACTGCTAAGGCTGTTAAAATGGATCATGAATCTGAAGAATCTTCACAAGAGGCCCAGTTATGTATGAAGAGAATCTGCTATTTCTAGCATTCATTCAAATGACCCATTTTAACCTACTGATCTCTCTATTCATCTCTGGCCATATTAACTGGCGACTCTATACTTTTCTTGGCACTGTTGGACAGGATCTGGACCTTGCTATGTGGATCAATGCACAGGAACTATGAACAAAAGGTCTGGGGCCAGGAAGCCCACATCCACTAGATCAGTTTATCTGGTTACTCTACCTGGGAAAGGGAAGTAAGATAACACCTGCACCTCATTGGTGTGCTGGGAGGATGAACTGAGGTAATAAAGGAAAAAGCACTTTGAACACTGTAAAATTCTTTATGTACAAACAATCCTATTTCAATTTCTCCTTACTACTTGGGTATGTTCTTGCACTGTTACTATATTTCTTATATAATTCTGTTTCTTAGGCTCATTATTTTTTACCACTGAAAAGTGAGTTAAGGCAGTAAGTGAAGAAGAAATTCAGGTAAATAACTTGCTAACAGTGTCCCAGAGAAGATTTTTTTCAAGAGTTGAAAGGGATCCAGATTAATACCTAGTCTAATCCATATTATTGTTAAGAGAGGCCCACAGGTAAGAAAGTGATTTTGCCTAAGGCATATGATTAGTGTGTGGTATAATCAGAACTAGAACCCAGTCTTGCAATTCTTTGCTCAATGCTTATTCCACATTTCCTATATAATCCTTCTCAGAAAAATGTAGAGAAGATCAATCACTGTGGCCAACAACAACAATAATGTTTAAGAAGCAATACAGATTAAGGCACATTTTGGAATCGAAACGGTGCTAGGTTGAAATTCTAGTTCTACCATAAACCAGCTGTGTGATCTCATAGAAGCTACTTAACTAATTTATGTCTCAGTTTCCTCTTTCCTCATCTGTGAGTTTCCTCTTTCCTCTTTACGTCCTGATATGCAAAAATTCCTAAGATATAATGTTAAAGGCAAGGTGCAGAACCATGTACAGGTTGGGCAGCCCTAACCCCAAAACTCAAAATCCAAAATGCTCCAAAATCCAAAACTTTCTGAATGCCAATATGATGCCAGAGTGGAAAATACCATACCCTACCTCATGTGATGGGTCTCAGTCAAAATGCAGTGAAAACTTTATTTCAAGCACAAAATTATTAAAAATATTGTATAAAATTACCTTCAGGCTATGCATATAAGGTCTATATGAAACATAAATGAATTTCATGTTTAGATTTGGGTCCTATCCCCAAGATATCTTATTAATGTATATGCAAATATTCCAAAATCTGAAAAAATTCGAAATCCTAAATACTTCTGGTTCTAAGCATTTTGAAGAAAGGACACTCAACTTGTGTATGGTGCATTAATACTTGCAGAAACATGGGGGATGGGAGGCAGGGGAAGGGATAAACCAAGCTTGTCCAACCCACAAGTGGCCCAGGATGGCTTTGAATGCAGCCCAACACAAATTTGTAAACTTTCTTAAAACACTGTAAGATTTTTTTGCGATTTTTTTTTTAAGCTCATCAGCTATCATTACTGTTAGTGTATTTTATGTGTGGCCCAAGACAATTCTTCTTCCAACGTGGCCCATGGAAGCCAAAAGATTGGACACCCCTGGAGTAAACATATTTGCTGATACACACACACACACACACACACACACACACACACACACACACACACACACATATATATATACACACACACATTATCTATCTATCTATAATGGCTTAAGGAAGGATATAAAAGCAACAATCTTGATTGTCTGCAAGGATGCAACCGTTCAATTTTGAACCATGTGAATGGATTATCTATTTCAAAAAGGAAACAAAACAAAGCAAAGTAAAAATTTAAAAATCCCGTGTTACTATGCTGTAAAGGAAAAGTTATTTGACTATGTAGTAGGAGTGTTAGGACCACATCTTTTATTTCTCAAACTACTTCCCAGAGAATAAACTTAACACTGATGAACTAACTATTCATAGATCAAACTGGAGAACCAAGGCAAAGCTATCCTCAGAATATATTAGAAAAGTGGCTGTAATTTTGGGTGGCAGGAACATAAATGTCTATTATATTATCCTTTTTCTGTATCTGAAATATTTAAAACAAATTAGAAAAAAAAGACAACACCAAAAGCCTAAGCAACAAAAGAAAAAAAAACAGATAAACTAGAGTACATAAAAATTAAAAACTTTTGTGCTGTAAACAATACCATCTAGAGAGTGAAAGGACAACCCACAGAATGGGAGAAAATATTTGCAAATCATAGATCTGATAAGGGGCTTGTATCTAGGATATACAAAGAACTCTTATAACTCAATAACAAAAAGCCTGATTTGAAAGTGAACAAAGGATCTGAATAGACATTTCTCCAAAGAAGATCTATAAATGGCCAATAAGCACATGAAAAGATGCTTGACATGATTGGCCATCAGGAAAATGCAAATCAAAATCAATGTGATGTCACTTCACATCCACCAGGATGACCAGAATAAAAAAGAATGGAAAGTAACAAGTGTTGACGAGGATGTAGACAAATTAGAACCTTCATATACTGCTAGTGGGAAAATGGTGCAGCCACTGTTGAAAACAGTCTGGCAGTTCTTGAAAAAGTTAAAACATAAAGTTACCATATGACCCAGCAATTCTACCATTAGATATATACCCAAGGGAAATGAAAGCACACAGTCCATACAAAACCACGTACACAAATGTTCACATAGCAGCATTATGCAAAATTGCCAGGAAGTGGAAATAACACGAATGTCCAGCAACTGAGAAAAGGATAAATGAAATGTGGTATATCTATGCAATGGAGTATTACTCAGCCATAGAAAGGAATGAAGTACTGATATATACTATAACATGAAACTTAAAAATATTATGGTAAGTCAAAGACAGTAGTCACAAAAATCACAAGTTGCATGATTCCATTTATATGAGACATCCAGAATGGACAAATTGATAGGGAAAGAAAGATTAGCAGTTGCTTAGGGCTGGGGGAAGAGGGAAATGCGAAGCGAATGCTAGTAAGTATGGGGTTTCTTTTAGGGGGGATGAAAATGTTCTAAAATTAGATTGTGGTGATGGTTGCACAGCCTTGAAAATATTGGCTGGGCGTGATGGCTTATGCCTGTAATCCCAGCACTTTGGGAGGCCGAGGCAGGCGGATCACTTAAGGTCAGGGGTTTGAGACCACCCTGGCCAACATGGTGAAACCCTGTCTCTACTAAAAAATACAAAAATTAGCTGGGTGTGGTGGCATACGCCTGTAATCCCAGCTACTCAGGAGGCTGAGATGGGAGAATCACTTGAACCCGGGAGGTGGAGGCTGCAGTGAGCAGAGATTGCGCCACCACACTCCAGCCTGGGCGAAAGAGTGAGACTCCATGTCAAAAAAAAAAAAAAAAAAAAAGTCAAATGAGTAATTAGGAATTCAAAAATTCTTCCAAAGTCAGAATGTCTAAGGTGCAGAAAACCAGTGTGTCTCTTACTTCCATCTGTAATTTTACTGGAGGCGAGTCGAACAACCTCAGTGATCAAAGCTGTCTTTCCCAATCCGCTTTCCGAAAAGCCCACAGGAAAGTGATATTCTACAAAGAAAGTGCTAAAAAGAAAAAAAAAGTGATTAAAAACTAACCAAACAATAAACCTAATTTCCGTCTGATAAATCCAACATATATTTGAAATCTTACTTTCAGGACCTCTAGTACTCAGAGGCCCTACCTCTTCTTCAAAGCCTTCCACCAACCCTGTCTGAGAGAATCAAAGGCTCCCTTTCTTGTGTTCCCACAGCAATTTTAATACAAAACATCTATTTTGGGCCCTAAAGCTTTATGTTATAGATAGCCATTTAAATGTTTCTCTCTCCTGCTAACTGTAAGATATGTAAGAACAGAGTCTGTATCTTAATTTTCTTTAGTCCCATACTTACTTACACAGTTCTTGGGATATAGCAGGGATTCAATATATTTCTGTAGATTAAATGATGCATATGAAAACACATCCCAAATCACAGTATTATGCAATTGTTGATTATTACCATCAGACACACTTTCCAAAAATGTCAAATTTAGCTTTCTCATGTTAGAGACATACCGCTTTTTTGCTGTAGTCACCTTAGGTGGTGGACCAGCATAGCTTTTTTTGCCAGGGGTCATCTGAGGACTATCTGGAGGAACTCCCATGGTTTCGATGATGATTCTGACTGAATGTGTTCTACCCAAAAGGGCCAGTCTATCCACACTTAGTGTCATCGTTTGGGCATCTTCTGGAGTTTCTGAGAGCATCTGTTGTTCAACCAAATTTCTGAAAGGAGTTCACACAAGCAGTGAGGCATACTGCTACAGGCTTCACATGAAACAATCTAGTTTGCACAGGCAAGATGAGGAAAAAGGGAGGGCAGCAAGTTTTTATTTTTTTATTTTTATTTTTGACACAGGGTGTTGCTCTGTCACCCAGGCTGGAGTGCAGTGGCACGATCATGGCTTACTGCAGCCTTGACCTCCTGGGCTCAAATGATCCTCCCACCTCAACTTCCCAAGTAGCTGGGACCACAAGCATGGGTCATCACACTTGGCTAATTTTTGTATTTTTTGTAGAGATGAGATATTACTATGTTGCCCAGGCTGGTCTTGAACTCCCGGACTCAAGCAATCCTCCTGCCTCAGCCTCCCAAAGTGCTGGGATTACAGGTGTGAACAACCACACCCAGCCAAGTATCTTGACTCACAAGTTATCAAGGATTGGAAACAGCTTTTATTATCAGAATTCTGGTCCTATAGTACAAGAAATCTCAAAAAATGTAAAAAAAAAATATAATCTAAAGGTTTGAGAGTGTATATTCAGGGTAATTTGAATCTATGCTCCCAGGTAAAAAAAAAATTTAAAAATACTATATAGATATATACACACACACACACACATACATACATATATATATACATACATATATATACACACACTTATACACACACAACATATATACACACACATACATTATACAATACATATGAGTACAGAAACTGAAACTCCAAATTTAGGTTTTTCTAGAAGGGACACAGACCTTATTTCAGTTACCCACTATTCTAATGTAACTACTATTGTCACTTTTGTGTATTCCTTCTCATTTGCTTTCCTTATGCATATTTTCTACACAGTTGTGATCACAGTACACATACAACCTAGAATTCTGCTTTCTTCCTTAACCATTTAAATTATACCTATCTTGGTAGAATCAAAAATATGAAAACGACCATACTGCCAAAAGCAATCTACAAATTCAGTGCAATTCCCATCAAAATACCCTCATCATTCTTCACAGAACTAGGAAAAAAAATGTTAAAATTCATATGGAACCAAAAAAGAGCCCACATAGCCAAAGCAAGATTAAGCAAAAAGAACAAATCTGGAGGCATCACATTACCTGACTTCAAACTATACTATAAGGCCACAGTCACCAAAACAGCATGGTATTGGTATAAAAATAGACACATAGACCAATGGAACAGAATAGAGAATCCAGAAATAAAGCCAAATACTTATAGCCAACTGATCTTCAACAAAGCAAACAAAAACATAAAGTGGTGAAAGGACACCCTATTCAACAAATGGTGCTGGGACAATTGGCAAGCCACATGTAGAAGAATGAAACTGGATGTTCATCTCTCACCTTATAAAACTATCGACTCAAGATGGATCAAGGACTTAAATCTAAGACCTCAAATCATAAAAATTCTAGAAGATAACAATGGAACAACCCTTCTAGACATGGTTTAGACAAAGACTTCATATCCAAGAACCCAAAAGCAAATGCAACAAAAACAAAGATAAATAGATGGGACTTAATTAAACTAAAAAGCTTCTGCACAGCAAAAGAAACAGTCGGCAGAGTAAACAGACAACCCACAGAATGGGAGAAAATCTTCACAATCTATACATCTGACAAAGGACTAATATCCAGAATCTATAAGGAATGCAAACAAATTAGCAAGAAAAAATCAAACAATCCCATCAAAAAGTGGTCTAAGGACATGAATAAACAATTCTCAAAAGAAGATATACAAATGGCCAACAAACGTATGAAAATATGCTCAACATCACTAATGATCAGGGAAATGCAAATCAAAACCACAATGCGATACCACTTTACTCCTGCAAGAATGGCCATAATAAAAAATTAAAAAAAAAAAGAATGTTGGTGAGGATGTGGTGAAAAGGGAACACTATTACACTGCTGGTGGGAATGTAAACTAGTACAACTACCATGGAAAACAGTGTGGACATTCCTTAAAGAACTAAAAGTAGAACTACCATTTGACCCAGCAATCCTACTTCTAGGTATCTACCCAGAGGAAAAGAAGTCACTATATGAAAAAGATACTTGTACTTGCATGCTTATAGCAGCACAATTTGCAATTGCAAAAATATGGAACCAGCCTAAATGCCCATCAATCAATGAATGGATAAAGAAATTGTGGTATACATATATGTGTGTATATATATACACACACACACGTATATATATACACACACATATATACGTGTGTGTATATATACACGTGTATATGTGTATATACACGTGTATATGTATATATACACACGTGTATATATACACACGTGTATGTATATATACATATACACGTGTATATACACATATACACGTATATATGTGTATATACACATATACACGTATATATACACATATACGTGTATATGTATATATACACATATATACGTGTATATGTATATATACGTGTGTGTGTATATATATATGAATATATATATATGAATATATATATGAATATATATATATGAATATATATATATGAATATATATATATGAATATATATATATGAATATATATATATGAATATATATATATGAATATATATATATGAATATATATATATGAATATATATATATGAATATATATATATGAATATATATATATGAGTGAGCTGTGATTGTGCCACTGCACTCCAGCCTGGGCAACATAGTGAGACCCCGTCTCAAAAAAAAAAAAGTAGTCTACCCAAATAATTAGGTGACATCGTCTAAGTCATTTGGCCTCAAATATATATATATATATATATATATATATATGGAATACTACTCAACTATAAAAAGGAAATGAAATAATGGCATTTGCAGCAACCTAGATGGAATTGGAGACCATTTTTCTAAGTGAAGTAACTCAGGAACAGAAAACCAAATATCATATGTTCTCACTCATAAGTGGAAGCAAAGCTATGAGGATGCAAAGGCATAAGAATGATACAATGGACTTTGGAAACTGAGGGCAAGAGTGGGAAGAAGGTGAGGGATAAAAGACTACTAATTGGAGGCCGGGTGTGGTGGCTCACAACTGTAATCCCAGCACTTTGGGAGGCCAAGGTGGGCGGATCACCTGAGGTTGGGAGTTCAAGACCAACCTGACCAACATGGAGAAACGCCGTCTCTACTAAAAATACAAAATTAGTCGGGCATGGGGGCACATGCCTGTAATCCTAGCTACTCGGGAGGCTGAGGCAGAAGAATTGCTTCAATCTGGGAGGTGGAGGTTGCGGTGATCTGAGATCGTGCCATTGCACTCCAGTCTGGGAAACAAGAGCGAAACTCCGTCTCAAAAAAAAAAAAAAAAAGACTACAAATTGGGTACAGTGTCATATTGCTTGGGTGATGGGAGCACCAAAATCTCAGAAATCACCACTAAAGAACTTATTCAGGTAATCAAACACCACCTGTTCCCCAAAACCTATGGAAAACAAATTTAGCCATCTTTTCAGATTATTACATTTTTAAGAATTACAATGTTTACTGAGTTATTGTAATTAATCACTCTGATGGTGCTGGGCAAATGGGTCATTTCACCTTGGGAGATCTTGTGAAAATAACATTCCTTTGTGTTTACCTTTAAATAAACAGTCAGAGCAGCTCACCTATTTCTCTTGCCTGCTGACCTCTTCTTCAGCTTATGATCACTTGACTCCAGAACCTTAGATGATCTGGCAAGAGCTGTTGACTGGCTTATTTTTTTAGAAGGGACGATATCATCCTCTTCACTGAGGAAATCACTGATGCTGGTATCAGATTTCTATGGAGAGGAAGAAACAGAGACACTAAATGACTGCTGCTTTGGGAATTGTAGCTACGAAACATTTCTCTAAAGAAAGCAAGTTCTTCTCTGTACATACATCATTCTCTTAAAGAAAGAACTGACACCAGGGAGATAATCCCATATTTCTCCTGGTTATACAAAAATAATCTGAAGTTCACAAAAATAACCTACAAGTTCAGTTCAAAGCAAATAAAGGAAGGTAGATTCTTCTTTCAAATTCTCAATAATAATAACTATTATTTATTGACTATAGACCATATGTCTGGTATTATGCTTAATGCTACATGTATATTTCTAATATTCACCACATTCCGACAAGGTACCTTTATGTCAGTTTTTACAAGTGAGAAAATCAGAGCTGAAAAAAGTAAGGCAGCTTGTTTATGATCCATAGCTGTAAAGCCAGATTTTGATCTCCATGGGCTTCAAAGCCTGTATTTCTACCATAGTTTGAGGCCAAATGACTTGGACGATGTCACCTAATCATCTGGATAGACTATTTTTTTTTTTTTTTTTTTTGAGACAGGGTCTCACCGTGTTGCCCAGACTGGAGTGCAGTGGCACAATCACAGCTCACTGCAACCCTGACCTCCCTGGGGCTCATGTGATCCTCTTACCTCAGCCTCCCAAGTAGCTGGGACTACAGACATGAGCCACCACACCTGACTAATTTTTGTATTTTTTGTAGAGAGGAAGTTTGGCCATGTTGCTCAGGCAGGTCTTAAACTCCTGGGCTCAAGTGATCTGCCCATCTCAGCCTCCCAAAGTGCTGGAATTACAGGCATGAGCCACCGTACCCAGCCAAGACTACTTTTTGTCACCATTCTATACTACAAATGATTCATTCTGCTTTTAATCTTGCTAAAATGAACTGTTTACTATAGTCACAAATTTTCTTAATGAGAGAACCAATGGCTAAGCCCCTTGCAATTCATTTTTATTTTGAGAAAAGGCAGCTACTGCAATGGACTGATCAGCCCTCTACATCACAAAATGTAAAATAAAGAGAGAAGATGGCATTATAGTTACTGGGTTCCATTTTTAAAAAAAGACATAAAGCTTGCTAATATAATATAAATTCAGGACACAAACCCAAAGTTATTTTAAGTCTATCATTTAAAATTACCCTTTTTTCAGCATGTCAGGGGGTATAATGTGTTGATCTGTGATAGGGGGACAAATTAATTTAAATAAGCATGATAAGAATGTCTTCTTGGAAGCAATACAACTTTTTTTTTTTTTTTTTTGAGATGGAGTCTCAGTCTGTTGCCCAGGCTGGAGTGCAGTGGCGCAATCTCCGCTCACTGCAACCTCTGCCTCCCAGGTTCCAGTGATTCTCATGCCTCAGTCTCCCAAGTAGCTGGGACTAAAGGAATGTGCCACCATATCTGGCTAATTTTTGTATATTTAGTAGAGACAGGGTTTCACCATGTTGTCCAGGCTGGTCTCGAACTCCTGACCTTAAGTGATCTGCCCACTTTGGCCTCCTGAAGTGCTGGGATTACAGGCATGAGCCACCACACCACCACAATACAACTTTTAAAAGGCAAAATTACAAAGATTTTTGCCTTTAAGTTATCCTTTGAGTGGCAGCTTTTAAAAATGGTTATTGACTAGTGCAACTGAAAAATAAATTTTAAATTTTATATAATGTCAACTAATTTAAGCAGTGGCATGTGGCTACTAGCTACATTGAACAGCATGATTGTAAGATTACTTCCTTTTTTTTTTTTAATTATACTTTAAGTTCTAGGGTACATGTGCACAACGTGCAGGTTTGTTACATATGTATACATGTGCCATGTTGGTTTGTGGCACCCATCAACTCATCATTTACATTAGGTATTCCTCCTAATGCTATCCTTCCCCCAGCCCCCAACCACCCTACAGGCCCTGGTGTGTGATGTTCCCCGCCCCGTGTCTAAGTGAACTCATTGTTCAATTCCCACCTATGAGTGAGAACAGGCGGTGTTTGGTTTTCTGTCCTTGTGATAGCTTGCTCAGAATGATGGTTTCCAGCTGCATCCATGTCCCTGCAAAGGACATGACCTCATCCTTTTTTATGGCTGCATAGTATTCCACGGTGTATATGTGCCACATTTTCTTAATCCAGTCTATCACTGATGGACATTTGGGTTGGTTCCAAGGCTTTGCTATTGTGAATAGTGCCGCAATAAACATATGTGTGCATGTGTCTTTATGGTAGCATGATTTATAATCCTTTGGGTATACACCCAGTCATAGGATTGCTGGGTCAAATGGTAATTCTAGTTCTAGATCCTTGAGGAATTGCCACATTGCCTTCCACAATGGTTGAACTACTTTACATTCCCACTAACAGTGTAAAAGCATTCCTATTTCTCCACATCCTCTCCTTCAAGAATGAAGTTTATCAGATGGCTAAGAGCATTTCAACATTCAAAGTAGAAGGATTAGTACCAGCAAAAAATAGGGAGATACAAGAGCTAAGGCCAGGTGCAGTGGCTCATGCCTGTAATTTCAACCCTTTGGGAGGCCAAGGCAGGAGAATTGCTTGAGCCAGGAGTTTGAGACCAACTTGGACAACATAGTGAGACCCTGTCTCTACAGAAAAAAAAAAAAAAGAGCTAAAATGTTTCAGGAGTGGCAAGTGGCTTGAGACTCCAGTATGGCTGGAGACTCCAGTGGGTAAAGGGTATAAGTGGGAGATGAAGTTAGAGAGGTCAGTCAGGGTCAGATTCTAACACCATGCTCAAGGCTGATGACACACTGTGGTCTAGTAGAAAAACATACAGGCTTTTTGTCAGATAGACTACGGTGAGAATTCCAGTTCTGCCACTTAATTATTTGTACTTAACCTCTTTAAGCTTTTGTTTCATGCTATGTAAAAGAGAGATAATACTATCTCATGCGGCTGGTAAAAGAATTAAATAAGACAGAGCTGGACATGATGGCTCACACCTGTAATCCCAGCACTTTGGGAGGCTGAGGTGCGCGGACCACTTGAAGTCAGGAGTTCAAAACCAGCCTGGCCAACATGGTGAAGGCCTGTCTCTAATAAAAATGCAAAAATTAGCCAGGTGCAGTGGCATGTGCCTGTAATCCCAGCTACTCGGGAGGCTGAGGCAAGAGAATGGCTTGAACCTGGGAGGTGGAGGTTGCGGTGAGCCGAGATCATGCCTCTGCACTCCAGACTGGGTGACAGAATGAGAGACTCCGTCTCAAAAAAAAAAAAAAAAAAAAAGAATTAAACAAAATAATGAATTAAAAACAGTATTTAGTGTTCTATTAGTTTCAGCCATAAAAACACAAAACAAACAACCCCCCCAAGTATTTAATAAATGACAGATAAGATGTGAAGTCCCTAGCACACAGAAAATGGGTAATAAATGTGTAATAAATATTTCCTCTTTATCCTATAGGGAACACAGTATCAGTGATGACTGTGAAGGTGGGAAGTCATGAAATCCTAACAGTTCCTAATGTCTTTCCCGTCCACCACCTCCTGTCCAATTCCACTGCAGGTACTCTCATTCAGGCATTCTGTCTCATGCTTCCCGTAGCCCAGTGGCTTCCTATCTGCTTCTCGTTATTCCCTCTTCAGTCTGCCCCACTGTAGGGTTGCCAGACACAGATTCCTAGAACACTCTTGTGATATGTGATTTCCTCTTCACCTGACATGAAAAGCCTTTCACAGATTGGCTGCAATGTGCCAGCCTGCCTTATCAACTCCTTTTCCACACAAATTCTCATCTAGTCAATTGGGTCCCTTGTAGCGCAAAAATGTGTTTTTCTGCACAGGTCATTCTTTCTACGCCCATTTTGTATCTTTTCTCTGCTTCTCAAAACACTATCTTTCAATCTCAGTTAAAACCCTTTATTCTTCATTATGGTTTTTCCCCACAATCTCATGTAAAAGTTTTCCCTGCTTCTTCCAAACTGTGGTAGCCCTCACTGGCTTACTACTGGGCTGATATAAACTACCTTGTATTTCAGTATCTTTTTTTGACCTGGAGAAAAGGAAAATCAGGAGTATGAACCTTCACACATATAAATAACTACTTGTGGAACAGGGATTGGACATAGTATGTATAGATTCTAGAAGATGCTAAGCCAATGAAAAGAGCATAAGGCTTGATAGAAAAAAGAACTTTGAAAAAACCAGAGCTGCCAGAAAAGAGAATCCCTGTCTTACAGGCCAGAAGAGTTTTGTCTCCTGTGAGTAAGAAGTGTTTTTGGAATATTTTTAACAGATACCAGTTAAGGATGGTTCTGAGGGTATAACTACATCAGCTCTTCCTTATAAAAGCTCTAAGGAAACCATAAAATATATTAATTAAACCATAGGCTTTGGACTCAGGCAAATGTGAATTTGAATTCTGGCTCTAATACTTATTTGCTATATGTTCTTGCACAAAATATTCAAATCCTACTAGGCCTGTCTCAACATCTGTAAAATGAAGATAATACTTTCCTCTTGAGGTTGTCATTAAAATTAAGTAAGGTAAGTTATGTAAAATGCATAGCTGTCATGCCTGCAGCTACTAATATTATTAATACATTTGTTCTCTAATTCTCAATGCTTCAGGTTCAGTGACTTACAGGTGCTGTATAAAATAAATTCTCCAGAAGACTCTGGTCATACTGAGGGTCATTCAGCTCACTGATGCAATACACATCACTCCCAGGAGATGGGGAATCTGGAGGAGAGCCTAGCCCATCCCAGAAATTGCCTTGGGATAATTCAGCACTGCAGAGATAAGAAAACAAAGCAGAAGAATTTTAATAGAAGTTTCAGCTGAACTATTCTCTCTTTAGTGAAACTTTCTGAGGTTCTAAATGTGGAAGGAGATATGTTAAACAAAAGACTCACATTAAACAAAAGACTACTGAATAAATATTTCCCAATTATACTACCCCTCCTCTGGGATGCTAACAACCAGTATTCAGAAACACACTACTGACACTGATTGTGATCTCATTCATGTATTCAACAAACATTTATTGGTCACTTATTATGTGCTAGGTCCTGGAAGATATAGAGGTGGCTAAGCTAACACAATCTGTACTCTTGTATTATTTATAGTCTGATAGGGAGAAAAAAGGGTATAATTCAATGAGTTAAATATTATATATCGATTTTGCAAAAAATTCACAGATACACCCACTTCCAATAAACAAAAATACGTGTATTTAGGACTAATTATGGTGATATTAGTTCTATATCGAATACAAAAAATGAATAAAACACAGTTTACAAACTAATAGGAAGATAAGCATATAAGTAACTATAAACTCAGAATTTTGAAGGAACAAATACTCCTTTTTTTTTTGAAATCCCACGCTGGTATCTTTTTTTTTTTTTTTTTTGAGGTGGAGTTTTGCTCTTATTGCCCAGGCTGGAGTGCCATGGCATGATCTAGGCTCACTGCAACCTCTGCCTCCTGGGTTCAAGTGATTCTCCTGCCTTAGCTTCCCTAGTAGCTGGGATTATAGGTGCCTGCCACCATGCCTGGCTAATTTTTGTATTTTTAGAGATGGGGTTTCACCATGTTGGCCAGGCTGGTCTCTAACTCCTTAGGTGATCCACCCACCTTGGCCTCCCAAAGTGCTGGGATTACTGGTCCCTTTTTTGATAGCAATTTTTACTTTCTAACTTTCTTTCAGGTCCTTGTATAAATTCCATATTTTCCCTCAAAGTTTAGGCTCCTTGAGGGCAAAGTATGCATATATTTCTGTTTCTCCTACAGTAATTAACATTTAATAAGCACCTGTTAGTGAACTTAATGATTTCTTAATGAACATGATGCCAGGTACTGTAATACACATTTTATTTATTATTTCTTTCCATGTTGCTTCCTTTCAAGCTAGCTGCTATACTTTTTTCCTTAATTTCTCAAGAAAATAGTATATAATCACTACCTTCAAATTAGACAGTGTTCTTATATTATTTTGAACAAGCAGATAGTTAACATTCCCTTCCTCACCTTTCCTTAGGCTACAGCAGGGTTTCTCAATCTCAGCCCTGCTGACATGTTGGGTCAGACAATTCTTTATCTTTGGGACTGTCCTATGCATTTCAGATCCCTGGCCTCCACTTACCAGATGCCAGTAGCACGTTCCCAGTTGTGACAACCGAGAAATGTCTCCAGACACTGTAAATGTCTCATGGGGTTGGGGTGGGGAAAAATCACCCCCTCCTTGAAAACCATCAATCTATAGTAACTCTCAAAGGTCAGAACAGCTTCCTAACTGCCATAATCCAACTAACAACTTCCCAGTCGACATGGCCTCTCTGCAGCTTCTGCAGCCCAGGAGTTTGAGACCTACTTCATTTTGAAACTTTACTTTTTGTTCTTTTATATAACTGTATTATTTGTCACATATACACTCCCCTTTGTATACCCTTAAAGTTATGAAAATTTTTCCAGTTGCTTGTTATTCCCCACTTTGTACACCCTTAAAAGTTATGAAGACTTTTCCACTTTTTACTCTTTTTTGAAATTAATATTTATTTGAATTTATTCACCTGTCTATGATATACTAAAAGGGCTAAAATTTGCCTGTGTTCCTTGGCCATAAAATAAGCCTATTCTCATGACTATCCTTTTCTTTTTCTTCTTAGACATAATTTTAAATAAAAGAATACACATACCTATTTTGAAAGTCAAATACGACTACAAGGCTTATAATAAAAAACAGTAGCTGACTGACTCCTCAGAGGTGATCACTTTCAATTCCCTTGGATGCTTCTTCTGGTATTTACCTTCATATTTCTCTTTTTAAAAATTGTATTAGAGACATGGTATTGCTTTATTGCCCAGCCTGGAGTGCACTGGTGTGATCATAGCTCACTGAAGCCTCGAACTCCTGGGCTCAAGGGTTCCTCCTGTCTCAGCCTCCCTAGTAGTAGCTAGGATTACAGGTGCACACCAATACACTCGGCTAATTAAAAATTTTTGTAGAGACTGGGCCTCATTATGTTGCCCAGGCTGGTCTTGAACTAAACGATCTGACATAGCCTCCCAAAATACTGGAATTACAGGTGTGAGCCCCCATGCCTGGCTTTACCTCTATATTTTGAAGTGACACATTAATATACTGTTATTTTCTGATTTTTCACTTTTCTGTATGATCTATGAACTTCCTATTATGAAAAATGAAGGACCCACTCTCTTATACCATTACACTTGAACCACACATTTCCCTTTTACCCATCTTCTCTATTTAGTTATATTACAAATTTTTTGGTTAAATTAATTTTCAGGGTTAATATTGTATCAGAGCCAAGTACAGTATAATTTATTGCACCTTTTTTCTTATACAACTAATTATCCCTGGTATAAATTAACTGCCTTTTCATTTGCTTAGTTTTCTTTGACTCTATTACTACTTTACGAGTGAACTCTTCAAGAGAATTGAAAATTTCCTTTGAGAGAACTTAAAATTTGGTCAATATATGTTCCATTCCCCTCCACCTCTGCACTCCTTAGAAACATCCCTACTGAAGTCAGGGATGCCCCAATATGGACTGTTTGCTCTCTCTCTATGACATATACCCGAAATCTCCTTCTATCCCTCTTCTGTGTTGTAGCCCCTATTTCTTAGACTATATGTCTTACTCTTTCTTCCTAAAATAAATGTTCAGTAGAAGACATTTTCCTGTGGTTTTCTGAGGAATAGTGCAAGACAGGTAAACTTCTGAGACTATGGATAAATAAAGTTATTTTTACTCTACCCTCACACTTGATTAATAGTTTGATTAGGAGTGGAATTTTAGGTTGAAAATAATTTTACTTCAGAATCTTAAGACATTTCTGCACTGAATTCCAAGGAACTGGTAGAAAATCTGATGTCATTCCAATTCCTGATACTGTATATGTGACCTTTATTCTTTCTCCCTCTCTGGAAGCTTTTAATATGGTCTCTCAGTATTTTAAAATTTCATAATTATGTGTCTTGGTGTATCTTTTTTCATTCACTGTTCTGAGTTCTTGATCTTTCTTTTTCCATAAACAGCTTTATTGAGATATAATTCACATACCATACAATCTTCCCATTTAAAGTGAGCAATTTGGTCAGACATGGTGCTCACGCCTGTAATCCCAGCACTTTGGGAGGCCGAGGCCGGCGGAAGACTTGAGGTCAGGAGTTCAAGACCAGCCTGGCCAACACGGTGAAACCCCATCTCTACTAAAGATACAAAAAATTAGCTGGGCATGGTGGCATGCGCCTGCAATCCCAGCTACTCGGGAAGCTGAGGCAGGAGAATCGCTTGAACCCAGAAAGTGGAGGTTGCAGTTAGCTGAGGTTGCGCCACTGCACTCCAGCCTGGGTGACAAAGCAAAACTCTGTCTCAAAAAAATAAAAATAAAAAGACTAAATAAATAAAGTGAGCAATTCAATAGTTTTTAGTATGTTCATAAATGTGACCAACCATCACCACTCAATTTTAAAACATTTTCATCATCTCAAAAAGAAACTCCATAACCTTCAGCTATCACTACCCTACCCATCATCACTCCCAGCCCTAAGGAACTATTAATCTATTTTCTGTTTCTATAGATTTGCCTATTTGGACATTTCATCTAAATGAAATAAAAGTATATATATTTGTTTGTGACTGGCTTCTTTTTATCTGAGACAAGGTCTTGCTCTACAACCCAGGCTGGAGTACAGTGTTGCAATCACAGCTTACTGCAGCCTCAACCTCCCAGTCTCAACTGATCCTCCTACCTCAGCCTTCTGAGTAGGCAGGACCACAGGCATACGCCACCACACCAGGCTAATTTTTTACTTTTTGTAGAGATGGGGTCTCCCCCTGTTGCCCAGGCTGGTCTTGAACTCCTGAGCTAAAGCGATTCTCCCAACTCGGCCTGCCAGATCACAGGTGTGAGCTACCACACTGCGCCCGGCCTGGCTTCTTTCAATTAGCATGTTTTTAAGGTTCATCCATGCTGTAGCATGTAGCAGTACTTCACCTTGATGGCCAAAGGTGAAAACACTACTCTACTGTATGGATACTCCAGATTTCTTAATCCATTCATCAGCTGATAGACATTTAGGTTGTTTCAATATTGGGGTTGCTTAATTTTTTTTTTTTTTTGCATGTGACTATCCAGTTGAATAATGCTGGTATGAACATTCATGTACACATTTTTACATAGATGTATGTTGTAGTTTCCCTTGGGTATATAGCTAGGAGTTGAATTGCTGGGTCACATGGTAAACATTTGTTTAAAAATTTTATTGTTTTCTGTCATATGGTAAATCTATAGGTACGAGTTTGAGGAGTGGACAGACTATTTTCCAAAGTAGCTTCATCATTTTACATTCCTGCCAGCAGTGTACCAGGGTTTCAAATTCTCCACATCCTCATTAATGCATAGACTATTTGACTTTAGTGGGTGTGAAGTAGTATCTCATTGTCTTGATTTCCCGATAACAAATGGTGTCAAGCATCTTTTCATGTGTATATTGGCTTTTTTTTTTTTTGAGACGGAGTCTCACTCTGTCGCCCAGGCTGGAGTGTAGTGGCGCGATCTCGGCTCACTGCAAGCTCCGCCTCCTGGGTTCATGCCATTCTCCTGCCTCAGCCTCCTTAGTAGCTAGGACTACAGGCGCCTGCTACCACACCTGGCTAATTTTTTTGTGTTTTCAGTAGAGATGGGGTTTCACTGTGTTAGCCAGGATGGTCTCGATCTCCTGACCTCGTGATCCGCCTGCCTCGGCCTCCCAAAGTGCCGGGATCACAGGCGTGAGCCACCACGCCCAGCCATATTGGCTATCTTAATATATTTTTTGGACAAATGTTTATTCAGATCCATTGCCCATATTTTTAATTGGATTATTTGTTCCTTAATTATTAAGTCATATAAGTTATTTATATGTTCTATATATAAGTCCTGTATCAGATGTAAGATTTGTAAATATTTTTTCCCTTTCTGTGGTGTCTTCTCACTTTCATAGTGTCCTTTGAAGCACATACGTTTTTAATTTTGATGGAATCCAATTTATGTATCTTTTCTTGTTTGTGCTTTTGGTGTCATATCTAAGAATCATTTCCCAAATTCAAGGTCACAGATTTACCTTTATGTTTTCTCTAAGAGTTTTATAGTTTTAGCTCTTCCATTTAGCTGTTTGATACATTTTATTTATTTATTTATTTATTTATTTTTTATTGATCATTCTTGGGTGTTTCTCGCAGAGGGGGATTTGGCAGGGTCATAGGACAATAGTGGAGGGAAGGTCAGCAGATAAACAAGTGAACAAAGGTCTCTGGTTTTCCTAGGCAGAGGACCCTGCGGCCTTCCGCAGTGTTTGTGTCCCTGGGTACTTGAGATTAGGGAGTGGTGATGACTCTTAACGAGCATGCTGCCTTCAAGCATCTGTTTAACAAAGCACATCTTGCACCGCCCTTAATCCATTCAACCCTGAGTGGACACAGCACATGTTTCAGAGAGCACAGGGTTGGGGATAAGGTCATAGATCAACAGGATCCCAAGGCAGAAGAATTTTTCGTAGTACAGAACAAAATGAAAAGTCTCCCATGTCTACTTCTTTCTACACAGACACAGCAACCATCCGATTTCTCAATCTTTTCCCCACCTTTCCCCCTTTCCTATTCCACAAAACCGCCATTGTCATCATGGCCCGTTCTCAATGAGCTGTTGGGTACACCTCCCAGACAGGGTGGTGGCCGGGCAGAGGGGCTCCTCACTTCCCAGTAGGGGCGGCCGGGCAGAGGCGCCCCTCACCTCCCGGACGGGGCGGCTGGCCGGGCGGGGAGCTGACCCCTCACCTCCCTCCGGGACGGGGTGGCTGCCGGGCGGAGACGCTCCTCACTTCCCAGACGGGGTGGCTGCTGGGCGGAGGGGCTCCTCACTTCTCAGACGGGGCGGCTGCTGGGCGGAGGGGCTCCTCACTTCTCAGATGGGGTGGCTGCCGGGCAGAGGTCTCCTCATTTCTCAGACGGGGCGGCTGGGCAGAGACGGTCCTCACCTCCCAGACGGGGTCGCGGCCGGGCAGAGGCGCTCCTCACATCCCAGACGGGGCGGCGGGGCAGAGGCGCTCCCCACATCTCAGACGATGGGTGGCCGGGCAGAGACACTCCTCACTTCCTAGATGGGATGGCGGCCGGGAAGAGGCGCTCCTCACTTCCTAGATGGGATGGCGGGCGGGCAGAGACGCTCCTCACTTTCCAGACTGGGCAGCCAGGCAGAGGGGATCCTCACATCCCAGACGATGGGCGGCCAGGCAGAGACGCTCCTCACTTCCCAGACGGGGTGGCGGCCGGGCAGAGGCTGCAATCTCGGCACTTTGGGAGGCCAAGGCAGGCGGCTGGGAGGTGGAGGTTGTAGCGAGCCGATATCACGCCACTGCACTCCAGCCTGGGCACCATTGAGCACTGCGTGAACGAGACTCCGTCTGCAATCCCGGCACCTCGTGAGGCCGAGGCTGGCGGATCACTCGCGGTTAGGAGCTGCAGACCAGCCGGCCAACACAGAGAAACCCCATCTCCACCAAAAAAATACGAAAACCAGTCAGGCGTGGCGGCGCGCGCCTGCAATCGCAGGCACTCGGCAGGCTGAGGCAGGAGAATCAGCAGGGAGGTTGCAGTGAGCCGAGATGGCAGCAGTACAGTCCAGCTTCAGCTCGGCATCAGAGGGAGACCGTGGAAAGAGAGGGAGACGGAGACCGTGGGGAGAGGGAGAGGGAGAGGGAGACCGTGGGGAGGGGGAGAGGGAGAGGGAGAGGGAGAGGGGAGAGGGGAGAGGGGAGAGGGGCTGTTTGATCCATTTTGAGTTAATTTTTGTACATGGTGTGAGATAAGGGTCCAACTTTTTTTTTTTTTTTTTAGAAACAGGTCTCGCTTTGTCGCTGAAGCTGGAATACGGTGGTGTAATCCTAGCTCATTGTATCCTTGAACTCCTGGGCTCAAGTAATCCTCCTGCCTCAGTCTCCTGAGTAGCTAGGACTACAGTCATATGCCACCATACCTAGCTAATCTTTTTTATTTTTATTTTTTGTAGAGATGGGGGTTTCACTATGTAGTCCAGGCTGGTCTCAAACTCCTGGCCTCAAATGACCCTACTGCCTCAGCCTCCCAAAATGTTGGGATTACACCATGAGCCACCGTGCCTGGTCCCAACTTCTTTTTTTCTGCATGGGGCTATCCAGTTGTTCCAGCACCATTTGTTGAAAATACTATTTGTTGCCCCATTGATTGGTCTTCACAGCCTTGTCTAACTCATATTAGTTGACCACAGACAGATGGGTTTTTTTCTAAACTATCAACTCTATTCCATTGATTTATATGTCTATCCTTATGCCAGTATCACACTGACTTGATTAGTGTTGTTCTGTAGTAAGCTTTAAAATTGGAAAGTGTGAGTCCTACTTTCTTTTTTTTCAAGATTGTTTTGGCTGTTCTGGGTCCCCTGCAATTTCCTATGAATTTGAGAAACAGCTTGTCAATTTCCACAAAGAAGTCAGCTGGGATTCTGATATTGTGTTGAAAGATAAACATAGGATTTTTTCCATGTATTTAAATCTTCTTTATTTCAACAATGTTTTATAGTTTTTGATTTTTTATTTTTTTGAGACAAGATCTCACTATGTCACCCAGACTGGAGTGTAGTAATCATGGCTCACTGTTGCTCAAGGGATTCTCCTGCCTCAGCCTCCCAAGTAGCTGGGACTACAAGCGTGTGCCATCATGACTGGCTGTTTTTCTGCATCTCTTGAGATAATCATGTGGTTTTTGTTTTTTATTCTATTGATATGGTGAGGCCAGGTGCGGTGGCTCACGCCTGTAATCCCAGCTACTTGGGAGGCTAGGGCAGGAGAATCACTTGAACCCAGGAGGCAGAGGTTGCAGTAAGCCGAGATCAAGCCATTACACTCTAGCCTAGGTGATACAGTGAGACTCGGTCTCAAAAAAAAAAAAAAACTATCTATCTGTCTATCTCTCTCTCTTTATAGATACAGATATAGATAATGGTGGATCACATATATTGAATTTCAGGTGTCAAACTAACTCTCATTCCTGGAATAAATCCTGCTTGGTCATAGTATAAAATTATTTTTATATGTTGCTGGGTTCGGTTTGCAAGTATTTTCTGGAGTATGTTGTGTTGTTACTTCCCTGTAATAGAAATCTAAACTTCAGATCAAACTAATTGGAGGTTTTGTTTTTCTTTCTTTTTTTTTTTGAGATGGAGTCTTACTCCTTCTATCATCCAGGCCAGAGTGCAGTAGCATGTTCTCGGCTCATTGCAACCTCTGCCTCCAGGTTTCAAGCAATTCTCCTGCCTCAGCCTCCTGAGTAGCTGCACCACCACGCCTGGCTCATTTTTGTACTGTTAGTAGAGACAGGGTTTCACCCTGTTGGCCAGGCTGGTCTCGAACTCCTGAACTCTGGTGATCCGCCCACCTTGGCCTCCCAAAGTGCTGGGATTATAGGCGTGAGCTTTTGGAGCCTTTGAAACACATGTTCTCCCATAACCTTTAAAACTTCGGCACATATTGCTTTTAACCACTATGCCCTATTAACTTTCCAAGACATGAATGTAGACAGTATCTTTTATTCAAGAGACAATAAATAGATGAGTCTGGTTGGAGGGCACATGTTATTCACAATGTTAACATAAACAGCTACCAACAGTAAAAATACTATGTGTTGGCCAGGCACTGTGGCTCATGCTTGTAATCCCAGCACTTTGGGAGGCTGAAGCGAGTGGATCACTTGAGGTCAAGAGTTCGAGACCAGCCTGGACAACAAGGTGAAACCCCGTCGCTACTAAAAATACAAAAATTAGCCAAAAGTGGTACTGCATGCCTGCAGAACCAGCTACTTGGGAGGCAGAGGCAGGATAATTGCTTGAACCCAGGAGGAGGAGGTTGCAGTGAGCTGAGACTGTACCATGGCACTCCAGCCTGGGCAACAGAGTGAGACTCCGTCTCAAAAAAACAAAAAACAAAAAAAAACCCCGCAAAATATTATGTGTCAAGCATTGTGTTACTCCTCTATATACATCATTTTTAATCCTTACAACAATTTTGCAAAGTTAGGTACAATTCCAATTTTACCAATGCCTCTGAAGTTCAGAGATACCTGCTTAAGGCCACAAAGCTAATTAGAGATGAACCTCGAATTTCCACTTGTATCTGTTTAAAATCCATGCTCTTTTCATCATACCATGTTAACACTGGTATTGGGGAAAGAGTTGGGAGATAAGAACGGTAAGGTAGAATGGGATCATTCTGTAAGTGAAGCCAAAAGTAAAGGGCTAAAGTATGGAGTTTTATTTAGTAGGCAATAGTGATAGTTTAAGGAATAGGGAAGGGCTTGGTTAGTCTAAGGACATGTTACTTTAGGAAGATGAATCTGATAACAATGCATACTATGAATTGGAGGAAGAGTTTAAAAGGAAGAAAGCCAGTTAATAGTGCTTACCTGCCTAATAGCAGCTGTATAGCTCTGGTATCAGCTTTTGTGTCATGTCTCCAAAATGTATTCTCAGTTGAAGGGAGGAGGTGATCTTCAATGTGGTCTTTAAACCGATTCCTAGAAAAGGCTCTGATCCTAAGGTGTGGAAAAATACTTTCTCACTGAGTGGCTAACAGATGGAAAAAATCTAAATCATAATCACTTCGTACATGCAGCTGGTCTGACTCAGAAAATTTAACATACTTTAGACTTAACTGCCTTAAATAAAACTTTACACTTTGCAAAGCTCTTTCCTACAGTAGAATCCCATCTCATTTCTGTGAGGTAGGGAGAGAATATCCCCATTTTACATCCAAGGATACCAGTTCGGAGACAGTAAAGAATTTACCCATTTACACATGCTGCCAGTACCAGTGCTAGGATAAGATTTTTAGTATCTTAACTCCTAGTGTAGGCTTCTTTCCCACCACATCAGGAATTATTTGATAAGCATTTCCAAGATTACCTAGTCCATAACTTGACAAAAAACACAGGTTAACAACTATTAAGAAATGAACTGTTAAGGTTCTGTCTATCCTGTAACTTACTGTGTTGATGCTCTAAGAGAATCTTCATTAATAGGAGGATGAACTTGGTCCAACAACATGCTGGTCTCTGGGCTTGATTTCATTGCAGAAATCACCATGGCATTACGCAGTTTATTGCCTTGTTCTAACAGAGCTGAAGAGGGTAAATGCAGAAAACAGAAAAATCCAAAATGCAGCAGAAACATTTGGAATATTCAGTGCATTTCCTTCTATCAGAGGACTCACTAGTGTGTACTGTAATAGTTTGCTCATCTGCCTTCCCCATTAGCTTGAGAATTCCTTGAGGACATTTACGCAAAAGAGATGTTTACTGAGTTTCTACTGTGCACTGTTTTAGATGCTGGCATTGTAACAATGAATGAAGTCTCCATTCCGGAGACTCACCTCTTGTGGGGGTTGTTATATCCATATACTGGCTCTTCCAACTGGTGCTTGTACCTAATAAGGTTAGTAATGTTTATATATTGTTTTTGTATCCAGATATCAAATTTATACTTCTATGGATGAAGAAAAGAGTGCTAAAAAGCTTCCATGACTCACACAGCAGGTTAATGGAAAAGTCAGGATAAAACCTGACTTTTCCGACTTTCTGATAGGTAAAATTTACCCCATCCCTTAAGGGGTCCCACAACAATAGCAGCAACACAAATCAGAGAATACACTTATGGAATGTTTACCACATGCGAGGCACTATTCTAAGTATTTTAACGTGTATTACTCATTTAATCCTCCCAACAGTCCTCTGAGATATGTACTATGACTACTTTTGTTTTCCAGATAAAAAATTGAGGCAGAGAGTAGGTAACTTGACCAAGTTGTACACGCAATACATCTATAACCAGATGATTCCACATCCTATGCTTTTAATTGCTATACTATCTATGACCCTACTTAGTTCTTAGGCTTCTTTTTAAAAGCTGAGTACTAGCTGGGCATGGCAGCATGTGCCCATGGTCCCAGCTACTTGGGAGGCTGAGGCAGGAGGACTGCTTAAGTCAAGAAGACTGCTTGAGTCTAGGAGTTTGAGGTGATAGTGTGCTATAACCACACTTATGAATAGTCACAGTGTTCCAGCCTGGGCAACATAGTGAGATTCTGTTTCTAAATAAAAACAAATAAAATAAAAAAGCTCAGGCCCAATAGTATTGTTCCAACAGATACAGGAGGTATTATTATTTTCTTGAGGTTCCACAGGTGCTTAGAAAGTGCCCAACTCCTAGTCTAATTTTATAATTTCTAAAAATAAAATATGATGGTTAGGCCAAGAAAAAAAACAAGTCAAATATATCCATAGTCTTACTCATTATTTACATATGTTTAGAGACAGAGTCTTGCTCTGTTGCCCTAGCTGGAATGCAGTGGTACAATCAAGTTCGCTACAGCCTCGAACTTCCAGGCTCAAGCAATCCTCCCATCTCAGTCTCCCAAGTAGCTAGACTATAGGTGCATACCACCATGCCTGGCTTATTTTTTATTTTTTTGTACAGATGGTATCTTGCTATGTTGCCCAGGCTGGTCTTGAACTATTGGCCTCAAGCTATCTTCCTGCCCCGGCCTCCCAAAGTCCATAAACATCAAAACATCTAATATTTGTTACTATAAAGAGGTCAAAATATAGCTTAAAAACTTAAAAAAAATCCAAAATCTTAAATATCATATGTTCAATGTGTGATGTGGCAATACAACTAAACTAAAAAATAAAGCTCACTCACTGTGATAGGCAGAATTCTAAGATGGCTACCCCAAGATCCCCATTGCCTCATATACTCATACTTCGTCCTAGTGATTCAAACACTTGTCTAGGTATTACCATGAAAGGATTTTGCAGATGTAATTATTTAAAACTTTTTTTTTTTTTTTTGAGACAAGGTCTTACTCTGTTACCCAGGCTAGAGTGCACTGGCATGATCATGACTCACTGGAGCCTCGACCTCCCAGGGTCAAGTGATCCTCCCACCACAGCCTCCCAAAGTGCTGGGATTACAGGCATGAGCCAGCTTGCCCGGACTTGCAGATGTAATTAATGCTTACCTTAAGACAGGAAGATTATCTTGGTAGGCAGAATCTAATCATATTAACCTTTTAAAGCAAATTTTTCTCTGGCTGGTTAAAGGATATGATAGTCAGAGATGTGAAGTATGAGAAGAATCTAATGTATCATTGTTATTTTGAAAATGGGGAAGAACAGGATCCTGCTGTGTAGTTAGTGTTTCATAAATACTAGCTGGTTGACTGATACAGCTTTGTACCCTCTATTCTGGTATGTTATTAGTACATCAAAGACCAGAAAAATCATTAGGTTTATGTATTTGTTGTGTCCCTCACATGACCTCAACTCTATGCTTACTAAAGTGGCCCACTTAATCTTGTGGTTGCAAGACACCTTTAAAGATCTTATCCAGTGCAACTGGAGGCCGTTATCCTAGGCGAACTAAGTCAGGAACAGAAAACTAAATACTGCATGTTTTCACTTATAAATGGGAGCTAAAAACTGGGTACTCAGGGATATAAAGATGGTAACAATAGAAACTGGGGACTACTAGAGGGGTAAGGAAGATGGGGGCAAGGGTTGAAAAACTATTGGGTGCTATGCTCAGTACCTGGGTGATAGGATCATTCATACCCCAATTCTCAGCATCATGCAATATACCCAGGAAAGAAACCTGCATATATACCTCCTGAATCTAAAATAAAATTGAAAAAAAAAAAAGATTTTATCCAGCTATGTACTTGATAATTTAACCCCATCTGTAAAAGTCACATCAGAAGGTTATCCAGCCCACACTTGACCATTTACAGTGATGTGGTCCCTCTCCCATTTGTGCACAAGTCAGACTACTAACTCAGACCGAGTTGAAATCTACCTTGTTTTACCTTTAAATCCACAGATCCTAGTAACTCTTATTGAAGAGGTTGCACATTGACAGCCCATGGGTTGTGCATGGCATATTTTGTTTGGCTTGAATAGCTGGCCAGCAAGGTCTTGATTTAAAAAGCAAAAGCAAAACAAAACAGGCCTAGGTAAACAATGAACCTAGAGTAAGATGAAGCATAGGACTTTACCTTAAAGTCTGAGACAGTAATAAATGAGAGCTGCCCCCTTTGATAGCACAGGAGCTGCCTAAGTCTGAGCTTGTGTTTTCATTTTAAAATGGGGATAATGCCTACCTCACGTGACTTTTGTAAGATTATGTATATAAAGCACTTGGCATAGTAGCTAGCACATAATCAGTGCTCAATAAGTGGCAGCTGTTTTCTCCAGGCTATCTCTTGCTGCTCCTTTTACCAGTCTGGTTACTTTCCTTAGAAGGAACACATCTCCTCTCCAGAACACATGGACACAGGGAGGGGAACATCACAGACCGGGACCTGTCGGGGGTAGGGGGCTAGGGGAGAGATAGCATTAGGAGAAATACCTAATGTAGGTTACAGGTTGATGGGTGCAGCAAACATCATGGCACGTGTATACCTATGTAACAAAACTGCACATTCTGCACATGTGCCCCAGAACTTAAAAGTAAATAAAAAAAAATAAAAGTTAAAAAAAAAAAGAAGGAACACATCTCCTTTCCCTTAGATCTTTAATGTTACCTTCTTTCTCTTTGCTTTTTTTTTTTTTTAGAGATGAGATCTTGCTATGTTGTCCAGGCTGGACTCGAACTCCTAGGCTCAAGTGATCCTCTTACCTCAGCCTCCTGAGTAGCTTAATGTTATCTTCTTAATGAGGTCTTCCTTTGCCAACCTATGTAAAACTAACATCCCCTTCTCTCACCTTCCTGGCTTCATATATCACCATTGCCATGATCACCAAGTAACACACAGTTATTTATTTAGTCTATCATTTGTCTTCCAATCAATATAAAATCCATACAGCAGGAGTTTATATATATATATTTAACTACTGTAGCCCTGATACCTAGAAGAGCGCCAGACATTTGGTAGTGCTGAATAGATAACTGCTTATTGAGTCAACAAATATCTTTCCTAAAGTCTGGTGCTCAAGTCTACACAAGTGAGCTGACAAGTGCTGAGTACATTGGGTCAATTTTCCTTCTTGTTAATGTAGTCTTTGCATTAAAGACTGAAATTAATAGTTTATAATCTTGGAGTGTATATATATATATATACTTTTTTTTGGAATTTTATATATATATATATTTTTTCTTTTTTTTCTTTTTGAGACAGAGTCTTGCTCCGTTGCCCAGGCTGGAGTGCAGTGGTACCATCTTGGATCACTGCAACCTCTGCCTCCTGAGTTCAAGCGATTCTCCTGCCTCAGCCTCCTGAGTAGTTGGGACTACAGGCACCTACCACAACACCCAGCTAATTTTTTGTATTTTTAGTAGAGACAGGGTTTCACCATGTTGGCCAGGCTAGTTTCGAACTCCTGACCTCAAGTGATCTGCCCGCCTCAGCCTCCCAAAGTGTTGGGATTACAGGCGTGAGCCACCGTGCCCGGCCCGTGTATTTTTTAAAGTAGGGAATCTAAGACAATTCAGTTGAAAAACTATAAACAAAATGTTTTTGTTCTTTTACAAAATGTCCTTAAGAATGTAAATTATGTACCCAAATAGTTATTTAAAAGACTTTTCTGATGCTACAGATATTTTAATTTTGGAAATTTTACTTGTAGGGATGTAGACAAATTCCTGTTATGATCTTGAGGTCAAAGAGATACATGGTTGACCATTACAGTGTAATGTAAGTCAACTGCTTTTATTATACCACTCCTTAACATGAGGTAATCTAATTCTGTTCCTGTTTGCTTTTTTATTTCTGTCTAAGCCCTTATAAGGGTAAACTGTCTCCTTTCTTCTTCTATTTGGCCACAGTCATTATTTAATTCCCAGGATTAAGATCAGCAGCTGTGTACTGAACGTTCTCACTAAGACTAAGAGTTTTCAGAATGTGAAATGGATTTTGTACTAGTCTCCATACAGTGGGATAAATAAATGCTGATCACGAGACAAAAACCTTACCTGCCTTGAATTATTTGGGACAAAGTAAGGACTAATCCTTTTCTATGATAAAGGTTTTCCCCTCATATCCAATTCCTTTTAAACGATTCCTTCCCCAAACTTACAATTATAAGCACTGAGTAATTATTCAGAAATACCTTGGTGGTTTAATACGGCTGTCTTTAAATGGTGTGAGATGCTGGACTCTAGCAAGACTGCCTGTTTTTATTTGACTTAGTTCAAACAAGAGTCTTGGTTCTCTTTGTAGGCTGGCTAACAAGCAGAGCAATCCCATAAACGTAGTTTAGTCTGACTCAGTTCACAAATACATACATACCTGAAAGAAGATCCTTGGTAGGGAGGTTGTTTGAAGAAAGAATGCATGAGTCACTGTGACTCTTGGCAACTGTTCTAATTTGAGGCTGGAATTCAGAACTGTTCAGAAGGGACATCTGCTTCCGTGGAGCTCTGCCTTTCAGAGTTACAGACTCTAAACTCTGTCCTGAATTAAGACTGTGCTGTAGTCCAAAGGAAGAATCCTTTATTGTATCAGGGTTCTCTGCAAAGCATACATGGTCTTTTCCCCTGTTTTTTTAAAAAGGGAGAACATCAGCAATATATAATCTATTATGGTAACATTCTATTTTGTCAGAGACAGAAAGTAGACCAGTGGTTTTGGCAAGGTAGTTTGGACCTCAAAAAGCGTGACTTATTTGCAATACAACTTTGTAAATCTCTTTTTCATCTCCCAAATTATAGAAATAATAGATGCTTTACCTACAGTGAGGGAGTCATAGCTTAAATGAGACAATAAAACGAAGAGCTCAGCAGAGCCTGACACAAAGCAAATGCTTCATAAATAATTACTTAAAACAAAAACCTGATTCTTATTCCATTCTGTTTCACAGAATAGCTCCCTGTCCCTCTTTTCCCTCATGAACATCTGTCCTGCATCTGGATATCATTTAGTCATTTATCTGTATGTTGGCTTCTCCGCTAGATTGTGAGTAGTCCTGGAAAACAGAAATCATGTCTTACTTATTTCTAGGCCCAGCACCTAGTATCAAACCAGGACCAGAGTGGGTGCTTCACAGTTATCTGCTAAATGAGGACTGTGCCTCTCTCTGCTGTTAATCTTTTACTCAACCATAAATGAAAGACAGAAATCACAACTACAGTGCAGTTAACTGACAGATTGACTGGTATTAGGTATGGTAATTACCTCGGAGTGGTTGATCTACTGCTGTTGGCTGCTAACTCTTTTCCATCAATTTTGATGGTATGTATGTCGCGAGGCCTTGATGGAACCTGAAACTGGGTACTGCTGGGTTCAGTATTCTCTCTGAATCCCTGCTTAGATAAAAGCACATTTTCTGTCATGTCAGTGGTAGGAAGTGGATGGTAGCTGTCGTAAGTTTCTGACAGAGGTTCCAGGGCAAGTGAGACCTAAGAGAGACAGGTAGTATATGAGAAATTTTCTTTAGCATTGATTAACTAATTTTAAGACTCCCCTGCTTAATATTAATTAATGTCCCCCATTCCCTACAGGATTGTAAGGAATGTCCCCCATTCCCTAGAGGATTGTAAGGAATGTCCCCCATTCCCTAGAGGATTGTAAGGAATGTCCCCCATTCCCTACAGGATTGTAAGGAATGTCCCCCATTCCCTAGAGGATTGTAAGGAATGTCCCCCATTCCCTACAGGATTGTAAGGAATGTCCCCCATTCCCTACAGGATTGTAAGGAATGTCCCCCATTCCCTACAGGATTGTAAGGAATGTCCCCCATTCCTTACAAGATTAATGTCCCCCATTAATTGTCTAAATTCCTGCCTACCTTGGAAGCCTCATCTCTTACTAAGCTTCCTTCCTTCATCCCTCTGTTCCAATAGACCAATTACTTATGGTTCTCTAAATGTACCTTATATTTCATTGCTTTATGCCTTTGTATATACAATTTCCCCCAGTATTCCTTCTTTACGTCTAAGTAGAGATGCCATGTCCACTGCCTTCTTCATGTTTCTACTTAATCTGTATCTATCCATTAGCATAATCACCATTTACTGAACCTTTTACTACAGGCCAGTAACTGTGCTAAGTTCCTCATATAGAGAAGATAATGTGATTATACAAGGCCATCAGGAAAGTATATTACCCTAATTCGAAGATTCTTTTTTTTTAAAGCAAAGACTTGGAGAAGGTACTTGCGACCTTTCATTCATCATCCTGATTAGATTATGCATTCCTTGAAGCACGGGCTATCTTCTTCATTTTTCTATCGACTACTTAGCATAGTGTGTGTATAAATAGTATGCAAGTCTAATATGCCTAATAATGCTAATGGTCTGATGAATAAAAGAAGGACATAACATTTTCTGCATTCTTATTATTAGTTGCTTGGGAAAAATAAGGTCCTAGTTCTATGCTGGAGATGAAGAGGGGTGAGGAGGGAGGACAACTAAGATGAAAAGGTAATTACTTTAAGTTTCCTTATCATCTCCTTCCTGTGAGTTCAAGTTCTTTGTGAAAAGACTCTCTAGTCCTCTGAAAATCCCAATGGAGAAACGCCTAATGGAGGAATGAAAAATAAAATGGAGTTTTGAAGCAAAACCTTAAGGAAGAAAGTGAAGGATATACTCCAAAGGAAAAGAATAGTAGCGCTGAAAGTTCAGTTTCAATGACAAAGAAAGCAGAAGGAATTGTTTAAGCACCCAAAGACCGTCAAATAATGAATGCCCTAACACAAAAATGAAAAACTGCAGTTAGATGTTTTACGATGTCTCTGGGAAGGTCAATGAAATATTTTATCCAGAAGAACTGCCAAGGCACAAACTCAATAAAACATGCCTGGGTCTTGATGAGAATTCTGTTCATGAACCATAATATAAAGTCCTTCAAATCTATTCATCATGAAGATCTTTGTACAAAGACAAATGACAGCAATGCGGTGGGATGAATACTATGTGCAGTGATCACTGTTAACAGCATCACATAAAATCCTGGTTGCTCAAACATAAATGCCAGGAAGTGTTCCCTTACCATTCATCACTTGCCAAAGACTGCCTCTGCATTCTAGAAACAAAGGAGACACTGAGGATAAAGGTAGTGTTCCTGGCCTTAACAATGAACTGCTGACTGGCCACAGAGTTTGCTTTAACTCATAGGCCTGTACTGCCATTGGCCCTTGAATAAAGAGTCAGAGAAAGTCCAGACACTTGCCACGCCCATCTTACAATCAAAACACAGTGGCCTAACTCCTTTGTTTAGTTAAACAAATACTTGTTGATACCAGCTCTGTGCCAGGCTCTGTGCTACCTCCCTGAGGAAAACAGAGGACTAAAACAGGGACTCACACT
Source organism: Homo sapiens (assembly GCF_000001405.40). Taxonomy (NCBI): domain Eukaryota; kingdom Metazoa; phylum Chordata; class Mammalia; order Primates; family Hominidae; genus Homo; species Homo sapiens. Next base: position 74,141,737 of record NC_000011.10, read on the forward strand.
GTAATCCCAGCACTTTGGGAGGCAGGGGTAGGAGGATTGCTTGAGCCCAGGAATTTGAGACTGGCCTGGGCAACATAGTGAGAACCTGTCACTACAAAAAATTTAAAAAAAAAAATTAGCTGGGCATGGTGGCATGTACCTTGAAGTCCTAGCTACTCGCTAGGCTGAGGCAGGAGGACTGCTTGAGCCCCGGATATTGAGGCTGCAGTGAGCTATGATTGTGCCACTGTACTACAGCCTGGGCAACAGAGCAAGACTCTGTTTCAAAAAAAATAACCCCCTCCTCCCCCACAAAAACACCCTCTGCCTCAGAGGATCATAGTATTTTGTAGAGGAAGTTAGAAAAAAAAGTAATTTTTCCATTTCTCTATCGGCCAGGAAGGGCAGTGGTGACATACCTATCAAGTACAATGACTACGGCTTCTAGTGCTTTGGCAAAAACCTTAGATATGGTTGCAATTTCATATTGTTGGAACATTTGCTGTATCCCTGGGGGTTACAGATCTCTCTCTGTTTGCTGTGGCTAAACCAAGAAAGAAGGCACACACAGATTTCTTCAGAAATTATGATTCCATGAAAGATTGTGAGGAGATGAAGAAGGCTGATATCTTTCGGAATACAAAGTGATTTTGAAATACAAAGAATTTCTTTGGGCTAAATTACGTAGAAGTTTGTCACTGATTTGTGTTCCTGAACTATGAAACATGAATATGTGGGCTAAGAAATAGTTTCTACTGATAAATAAACAATTAACAAAAAAGTAATTTTAATATAAAATAGTAAGTTTTAAGATAAGGATGTGTACTAGGTGGTATGGGAATGCTAAGAAGGGGTCTGAGGCTGGGGAAAAGGTGAGGAAGGAGTGCCAGGGATGATTTCCAGGAGTGAAATACAAACATTTGAGCTTAGAATCTTAAATACGAATGAGGCAGAAAAAGCTGAGGGGGATGGAAGTAGAACATTAGAGGCAGAGGGAAAAGTATTGGTCAAACTTTGACGGTATAAAACAGAAGAATGTTCTGTCAATTCCTAGCCGTCCAAGAGACCATCTACTTTAACCCTCCTGTTGCATTTAGCTCCCAGATCTTCATTCCTGTCCACCTCAATCATTTGCCTCCCCAATCATGATTCATCCTGGTGCTCACTCCTCTGCCAATCCCTTCACTGAGTCCTGTAGAATTTCTATTTTATACAAATTACTTTACCACTTTAATGAAACATTTTTTTCTTTAAATGTCCCCATTTCCTCAAAGTCTCTTCCAATAGAAACCACCTACACTTGCCAGGCTAAAGGGAGTTAACTTTTGCCTTTTTGGTGCTATCTCTAGACCATCATTCTATCACTTAAATATATCACCCCTCTTCCAAAGCCCACGCCATCCACATATACCAAGAATGTACCATATGCTTCTCACATCCGTAAGAGAACAACCTTAAGGACACTCATCAGTCTTCTAGCAACGACTCAAGGTTCGCTTTAACAATAAGTTGCCTACAATTATCTACTATATCTACAACATGTATCAGTATCAGAGAGAGCAAATTAGTAAGTATAATTTTCACAATCATGTTGGTCAATGCAGCATTTTTTAAAAAGTCAACTATTTAACAATGCTTATTATTTTTTAAATTTAGAGACAGGGTCTCGCTCTGTCACCCAGGCTGGAGTGCAGTGGTGTGATCATAACTCACTGTAACCTTGAACTCCTGGGCTCAAGTGATCCTCCTGTCTCAGCCTCCAAAGTAGCTGGGATTACTGGTGTGCACCACCACATCAAGCTAATTTTATTTTATATATTTATATATATATATATTTAATATATATTTTATATATTTTAGGGGTCTTGCTCTGTTTCCCAGGCTGGTCTCAAACTGCTGGCCTTAAGTGATTCTCCCACCTCAGCTTCCTGAGTAGCTGAAATTATGGGCACACGCCACCATGCCTGGCTCAATTTACTAAAATTGCGTTGAAAAATTTTAAGTCTAGGTTCATTAAGGATATTGTTCTATACTTTTCTTATATTGCCCTCTGGTTTTGGTATTAAGGTGATGCAGGCCTTAAAATAACTGTTTTCTCCTTTATGTTTGGAAGAATTTGCCAGTAAAGTGATCTGGGCCTGGAGATTTCTTTTTCAGAAGGTTTTAAGCTAAAAATTAAATTTAAAAATAATTATCATTTTATTCAGGTTATCTATTTGATCTTGAGTGAGTTTTGGTAGTTTACAGTTTTTAAAGAATTGGCTCATTTCATCTAAGTTGTCAAATTAATATGTGTAGAGTTGTTCACAGTATTTCCTTAATATCTATGGGTGCTATAGGCTGCTGTCTTTCTTACAGTAGAATCAAAAGGAAAGTGAAATATTTGTGTTCATGAAAGAGAACAAGAGACATTAATTTCAAAACAAACAAAAGAAAAAAGCATATTTCTTTGTGGAAGAGAATGTGAAAGTTCATTATACAAATTGGGTCCTTCTTATCATATCCAACTAAATCAGTTGAGGGGCCAGGGGAAAAAAAGGGCTCAGGGTATATAGATTGCTCCAACAATGCAATTCTCTGCAAGCCTGGATGCAGAAATGGCCTGCTGTAACCCTCAGAGCAGTTTCACCTACCAATGAGAGGGTCACTCATCAAAAAGAGCTTGCCAGCTCCCCAAAGCTTCTCTAGTGCCAATAAGCTTTTTTGGCACACAATATGTACAGTTTTTCTTTTTTAAAAAAATTTTAATTTTAGGTTCGGGGTACATGTGCAGATTTGTTATATAGGTAAACTCATGACGTGGGGGTCTGGTGTACAGATTATTTCATTACCCAGGTACTAAGCACAGTACCCGACAGGTTTTTTGTTCTGAACCTCTCCCTCTTCCCACTCTCCTCCTTCAAGTAGGTCCCAGTGTCTATTGTTCCTCTATTTCTGTTCTTCTGTTCTCATTATTTAGCTCCCACTTGTAAGTGAGAACGTGTGGTGCTTGGTTTTCTGTTCCTGCGTTAGTTTGCTAGGGATAATGGCCTCCAGTTCCATCCATGTCCTGCAAAGGACATGATCTCATTCTTTTTTATGGCTGCATAGTTTTCCATAGTGTATACGTACCACATTTTCTTAACGGTCTACCATTGATGGGCACTCAGCTTGATTCTATGTTTTTGCTATTGTGAATAGTGCTGCAATGAACATAACATGTGCATATGTCTTTGTGATAGAACAATTTATAGTCCTTTGGGTATGTACCCTAAAAGTATAATTATTTAAAGCTATAATTATTTTTTAAATTTAATTTTTAGGTAAAACCTTCTGAAAAAGAAATCTTCAGGTCCAGATCACTTTACTGGCAAATTCTTACAATACTCAGTAGTGGGACTGCTGGGTCAAATCGTAGTTCTGTTTTTAGATCTTTGACGAATCGCCACACTGCTTTCCAGAACGGTTGAACTGATTTATGCTCCCACCAGCAGTGTATAAGCATTCGCTTTTCTCTGCAATCTTGTCAGCATATGTTATTTTTTGACTTTTTAATAATAGCCATTCTGACTGGTGTAAGCCATTCTCACTGTGGTTTTGATTTTTACTTCCCTAATGATTAGTGATATTGGGCATTTTTTCACGTTTGTTGGCGCATGTATGTCTTCTTTTGAAAAGTGTCTGTTCATGTCCTTTGCCCACTTTTTAATGGGGTTATTTTTTGCTTGTACATTTCTTTAAGTTCCTTATAGATTCTGGATATTAGACCTTTGTCAGATGTATAGCTTGGAAATATTTTCTCTTATTCTGTAGGTTGCCTCTGTTGATAGTTTCTTTTGCTGTGCAAAAGCTCTTTAGATTAATTGTCCCAGTTGTCAATTTTTGCTTTTGTTGCAATTGCTTTTGTTGTTTTCATCATGAAATCTTGCCAGTTCTTATGTCGAAAATGGCATTTCCTAGGTTCCAGAGTCTTTACAGTTTTAGGTTTTACATTGAGGTCTTCAGTCCATCTTGAGTTGATTTTTGTATATGGTGTAAGTAAGGGGTCCAGTTTCAATCTTCCGCATATAGCTAGCCAGTTATCCCAGTACCATTTATTGAATAGGAAGTCCTTTCCCCCAAATTTTTCTTTCTAATAAAACTCCCAACCTTCTCTTTGTTCTTTGAACATACTGAAGACCACCACCTACCTATATGTCCTGAATTGCAATTCTTGCTTCCCAAATAAAATGCTTTAAATTTGGAGATTTGTCTTTATATTTTATTTTGACTTCAACAAGAATATTTCTAATGGTAAAATATACAAACAAGATATGACTGTGTCAAAAGATAGCATCAGGAAACAAACTCTAGTAAGAATTATGATGGGCCTGTAGAACAGACAAATAATGAAAACTGAATAAACAGAAAGTACACATTTAAACTGTTATTTTTTTAAGTAAATAATGAGTGGTATACCTGTGAAATGCAGTTACATATTAAGATTAAAAGCTTTAGGGTGTCAAAGTCTCTTATCAATGGTAAAATTTATAAAAGAATGTTTAGTGAATGCAGCAGAATTTGGGTGTAATAGCATGATTTGCATGTACACATCTAACCAAAATTAGTTATTCAGCATGTTAGTGGTATGGCTACAAACTTAAAAGGTGAATTGAGTGAAAATGTTAAATAATTTGTGGCATTCTTCTTTGTAGTTGATGAGAACACAGATTAAAAATAACTTTCCAAGAGTTGTATCCATTTAAAGTATCAATGAGAACTTTTATGTAAGGGAAAAATTTTTGGATGTGATGCTCATGACAAACATATCCAAGGAAATACAGCTCTCTGAACTGAAAAAAGTTTTGAAAACTTTATTAAAGACTGATGACAAAGGATGATGATCCTGAAATGGTCTTTGTTGACAATAAACTTGTTTCAAGATCTAAATCCAAGGTGGCAACACTTTGCAAAGACAGATAACCATAAAGCTATTTACTGTCTTATTTACTTTGTCTACAAGGCTAAAAGTCAAACCACACACACACACACACACACACACACACACACACACAATTAACATATGAATTAAATTCCTGCCAGGCGCGGTGGCTCACGTCTGTAATCCCAGCACTTTGGGAGGCCGAGGTGGGCAGATCACTTGAGGTCAGGAGCTCGAGACCAGCCTGGCCAACATGGTGAAACTCTGCCTCTGCTAAAAATACAAAAATTAGATGGGCGTGGTGACAGACGCCTGTAATCCCAGCTACTTGGGAGGCTGAGGCAGGAGAATTGCTTGAACCTGGGGCGGAGGTTGCAGTGAGCCGAGATCGTGCCACTGCGCTCCAGCCTGGATGACAGAGTAAGACTCTGTCTCAAAAAATAAAATAAAATAAAATAAAATAAAATGAAATAAAAAAAATTCCCTTGGTCAATATTTTGCTTGCTAACTGGAAAGCAGGCCAGGCACAGTGGTTCACACAAATAATTCCAGCATTTTGAGAGGCAGAGACAGGAGGATTGCTTAAGCCCAGAGTTCAAGACCAGCTTGGGCAACATCTCAAGGCCTTGTCTCTACAAAAAAATACAAAAATTAGCCAGGTGTCGTGGTGTGCACCTGTTAGTCCCAGCTACTAGGAAGGCTGTCGTGGGAGGATCACTTGAGCCCAGGAGGTCAAGGCTGCAGTGAGTCATGATCTAACCACTGCATTCCAGCTTGGGCAACAGAGCAAGACCCCGTCTTAAATAACAACAGCAACGACCACAACAACGACAACACCCCTGAAAAACTGGATAAGCAGTATGTAGCCTATCATTAGTACATGGATATTAGGTGACTTAGTATGAGTTATGGTGCTAAAAAATGTTTTTGAGCTTGAGTTTAAAGAAGTCTCCTGGTTTATGTTGTCCAAGGACAAATCCCAGCCTCAGATCACTAGCACAGACTGGTCAAATACAGGGCCATTTTAACTGACATTACTGCCTATGTAAAAAATCTGATGGCTTATCTGCAAGGGCATTAACAAGGAACCATATTTCATTCAATTTACTCATTACTTGATGACTGTATCTCTGGAAAGTTTTATTGGCAAGGAACTATCTGTCCTACTTTTTTGTATTTTTCCATGCTGAAACAGGATTTCCAGAAATGAAACTGATGGCATGAAATACATTCCTAAAATTGTAGAGCTAAAGACTGATAACCCAAAAAGATTTTTTTTGGTTTCAAGCTTTATGAAAACTAACACTATTCAACTTACCTTTCTCAATTTATACTGGAAGTGTAACATATGGAGGTTAATAAAGTACAGTACAATATTTAGGATTAACTGTGATGTTGAAATCTTAAATTTTACAAATGTCTTAAATTTTACAAATTTTACAAATGTCTTAAATTTTACAAATTTTACAAATGTCTAACTATCAAAACTATTTTGCCAAGATTCTACCTTTGTTTGGAAATACTCATGTTTGTGAATGGTTAAGATCTGTTATGAAACTGAATAAAAACTAAATCTTATAATTAAAGGGTTTAAAAATGAATGATGTAATGCCCATCATATATTTAATACTTGGTACTAACTTAGCATAGAAGTAAATGTATCACATTTCTAGCCAGATCAAATGAATGATTTCAAAAGAAAAAAGCTATAGTTAAGTATTCCTGTTTCCCAATTTCAAACTTAAAATAATCGTATGTTTATGTGTATATATACATAAATATCTTATATATGTATATATACACACATATACCTTATATGTGTGTATATAAGATATATGTGTGTATATTTATATATGTGTATATATTATGTTACATGCTTATATAATAGCATAAGTTTGATACTTTTGATACTTTTCAAAAGTCTGAATATATTTTTGGCAGTTGATTTCTTTTACAGCCAGTCTGCTTGACTCATTTATTTTTTTTGACATCTGATCTATACTAATAATGGAATACAACAAAGCTTCCTCTCTCAATCAGCTTGATTGTAATGAACTATATCTGCCTTCTTTGCAGTCCCTCACTCCCCAGTCTGACCAAACCTGATCTTCCCCTTCACAGCAACAATGTAAAGCCACCTTTCTTCCTTCATCTCCATTCTATCAGCTCCTTACTGGCTACACTTACCCCTCTTTTCAGGAGAGATCCCATGGTTAGTCAACTCAATACTGTCCTTGGGGACAGCAAAGCAGTGGTATAACAAGAATTCAAGTTCCATCATTCACTGCATGTTTTTCTTTTTAAAGTATCAAAATTAATATAACACATGCACATTTAGATTCAAACAGTTCGATAATTTTGTTACATAAAACAAGTCCCTTACATAGACACCATTTCTCTTTCCTCACAGGCGGCCACTTTCAATTTCTATACCTGATTCCTGTGGTATTTACCTCTATAGCTCCAAATAACATGATTATGTCTATACTTTGACTTCTAGTTTCCAGGCATAACCTTTTGACTTCCTAATACAGGAGATAAGAATTTAGCTCTCTCCCACATCCACTTGTTTCCTCCATCCTCCCAATGTGCCAATATAGTAAACACTGATTATTGATCTGACTACAATTATAGTATGAACATGTATTCCATTTATAGCTGAACAATTAGAAGTACTGATTACTTTTCCTTTCCTGCACAACATTTTCCCAAAATGCTGTCTTGTTTTCTCATTTGCTTAGTTAAAAAAAAAATTTTTTTTTCTTTTTAGAGATCAGGTCTTGCCATGTTGCCCAGGCTGAACGTGAACTCCTGGGCTCAAGTGATTCTACTGCCTCAGCTTCCTGAGTAGCTGGGACTGTAGGTGCATGCTAACATTTGCTTTGTGTTTTTATTGTTCTTATTGTTAATTCAATTCTGAACTTTTTGCCAGTTATCGAATTCTCCTCTTAAGATTTTCAGACACAATAGGTGTTTTGTAACTTTTTTTTTTTTTTGAGAAATCTCTCCCAGAGCCTTAGCATATACTCCAATTTGGAATAGCTGCCATCTATGCCTTGTGTACAGCTGCTTCACCTCAAATCAAGGGATTCTCTTCGGCTCCCTCCTGTGTTGTATCTCTTGTTTGCAATATCCCACCTTGTCTTCTTTTTAAGTTTACTCCCTCATTTTGGCAGAGAAAGTCCCTCAGCTGCTTTGTCAGGAAGAGTGTGGGAGAGGTACAAATTTTTGAGACTTTGTATATACAAAAACTTCATTCTACTCTTACACTAGATAGTTTGCCTAGAGAGACAGAATTCTAGGCCATTTTCATTCAACATTCTGGAGGCATTATTGAATTGTCTTCTGGACGCTAATGTGGCTATTGAGAAGTTTGAAGCCACTCTACTTAATTCTTTGTGTGTGACTGTTTCTCCTGTTCTCTGGAAGTTTATAGAATCTTGTTTTTGTTTTCAGTGCTCTAAAATGTCACAATGATATAACTTGCTGAAAGTCTGCTTTCATCCACTATGTTGTACTTAATGGACACTTTCCTTTTGTAAAAAAAAAAAAAAATTGATATCAAGAAAAATGTTTCTGTGGATGGGTGCGGTGGCTCACGCCTGTAATCCTAGCACTTTGAGAGGCGAGGCAGGTGGATCACTTCAAGCCAGGAGTTTGAAACCAGCCTGGCCAACAAGGTGAAACCCTGTCTCTACTTAAAAAAAAAAATACAAAAAAAAATTAGCTGGATGTGGTGGTACATGCCTGTAATCCTAGCTACTTGGGAGGCTGAGGCAGGAGAATCACTTGAACCTGGGAAGCAGAGGTTGCAGTGAGCTTAGATCACACCACCGCACTCCAGCCTGGGCTGGGCTACAGAGCAAGACCCTGTCTCAAAAAAAAAAAAAAAAAAAAAAACAAAAAAAAAACAAAACAAATTTCTAAGCTTTTTAAAACATATAAAATTAGAAAAAAATAAATAACGACTACAGGTACTTATTATCCAGCTTCAACAATTATTCACATCTGGCTAATCATGTTTCATTTATACCTTTTCCAAGCCCTGCTTTGTTACTGGATTATTGTGAACCAAGTTCCAGATATCATGCCATTTCTGTAAATATAGTTTTAATAATATGAGGACTCATTAAAAAAACATAAACACCATACCATTATCACATTTAAAAAATTAATAACAATTCTTCAAAATTATCAAAACTTGAGTCAACATTCTAATTTCCCTGATTGTTTCAGATTTTTTACAATTGGTTTCTATGAATCAGGATCCAAACGAGTTCCACAGGAGACTTTTTCTTTCTTTCTTTCTTTTTTTTTTGTTTTTTGAGATGGAGTCTCACTCTGTCACCCAGGCTGGAGTAGTGCAATGGCACAATCTCCGCTCACTGCAACCTCTGCCTCCTGGCTTCAAGCGATTCTCCTGCCTTAGCCTCCTGAGTAGCTAGGATTATAGACGCCCACCATCACACCCAGCTAATTTTTGTATTTTTAGTACAGATGAGGTTTCACTATATTGGGCAGGCTGATCTCGAACTCCTGACCTGGTGATCCGCCCGCCTCGGCCTCCCAAAGTGCTGGGATTACAGGCGTCAGCCACAGCGCCTGGCCCACAGGAGGCTTTTTCAATCTGGCAGCTCATGTATTTAGTACTGAGAAGTCTTCCTAAATTGCCTGTAAGCATCCAACACTCTTTATTTATTTATTTATTTATTTATTTATTGAGACAGGGTCTCACTCCATCACCCAGGCTGGAGTGCAGTGGCATGATCTCGGCCCACTGCAACCTCTGCCTCCCAGGTTCAAGTGATTCTCCTGTCTCAGCCTTCTCAGCCTCCCTAGTAGCTGGGATTACAGGCACATGCCACCATGTCCAGCCAATTTTTGTATTTTTTGTAGAGATGGAGTTTTGCCATGTTGGCCAGGCTGGTTTCAAACTCCTGGCCTCAAGTGATCCAGCTGCCTTGGCCTCCCAAAGTGCTAGGATTACAGGCATGAGCCAACGTGCCTGGCAGACAACACTCATTAAAGGGGGAAAAAAAATAAAGTGCACAATTTATAAAATTTACAATGTTCAGTATTCAATAAAAATTTAATAGTAGTAGGAAAACATGCCCTATAACCACAGAGCAATTAATCAATAGAAACAGACACCAAATGATGGGTGATAAAATTGATGGGACCTTAAAACCGCTATCATATAGATGCTCCTAATGCTTAAGGATGTGAAAGAAAATGTGACTGCAAAGAAAAAAAGAAAATGTACATTAAAAAAGGAAATGTAACTTTTAGAGATGAAAATATTTGAAATGAAAATATGACTGATGGGGTTAGAAGCAGGTAAGATACTGCACAAGATGATTAATGAACTTGAATATAGAGTAATAGTAACTATAAAACGAAATACACAGAGGATGAAAAGACTGGAAAAAACCAAACTCAAGTCACTGGTAGAAAAATGTCAAGCAGTCTAAGATACTTTGAAGTCTCATGAAATCACATGCTGGCTCCTTGAAAAGATTAATAAAATTGTTAAACTTCTATCCAGCCTGATCCAGAAAAAAATGAGAAAACAAATTACTAATATTAGGAATGAAAGAGGAGATATAATCACAATTGCTTTAGACGTTTAAAGACAGAAAAGGGATGTTATAAACAACTCTGTGCCAATAAATTCAACAACTTCAATGAAATGGATGAATTATTTGAAAACCAAACTACCAAAGCTCACTCAAAAAGAAAGATTACCTACACAGCCCTGAATCTACTATATAAATTAAAGTGGTAGTTAAAAACCTTCCCCATAAGGAAAAATCCAGAAACCAGTTAACTCCACTGGTAAACTCTACTAGACATTTAATCAATTCTACGTTAACTCTTCCAATAAACAGAGGAGGAACTCTTCTAAAATCATTTTATGCCAGCATTACCCACACATCTAAATCAAAGACAATGCAACAAAACAATACTACAGATTAATATCTCTCCTGAACAAAAATGTAATGTTTCATTTCATCCTCACTGAAACATTAAATCACAATAATATATAAAATGGCTAATACTATATGACTTCATTGTGTTCATCGTAAGACTGATGGTCTGGTTTTGTTTTTAGAAATGAATCAATAAAATAGGCCATATTAACAGACCAAAAGAAAAAAATCCAAATGACTATCCTAACACATACAGGAAAAACATTTGATAAAGTTCAATACCCATGATAAAATCTCTCAGAAAATTTGGGAAAAGTGTTCTTAAAACTTGGCACTTTTCTAATTGATAAAGGACAAATATGAAAAACCTATATCTAACATCACATTTAATAGTGAAAGATGCCAGACATGATGGCTCTCCTCTAATTCCAGCACTTTGAGAGACTGAGAAAGGAGGATTGCTTGAGGCCAGGAGTTTGAGACCAGCCAGCCAACATAGCGAAACCCTGTCTCTACAAAAAAATTTTAAAAAACAGTTAGCGTGCACCTGTAGTCTTATTTACTCAGAAGGCTGAGGCAGGAGGACTGCTTGAGTCCAGAAGTTTGAAATTGCAGTGAGCTATGATCATGCCAGCCTGGGTGACAGAGTGAGACTCTGTCTCTTAAAAACAAAACAAAACAAAACAAAACAAAACAAAACAAAACAAACAAAAGCAAGTGAAAGACCAAATGCTTTCCTATGAAAAGAAAGAATGAAGGAAGAATATCTGTTCTCTATTCAACATATACTGGAGATCTTAGTGTGATAAGGCAAGAAAATAGAAATAAAAGGCATATAGATTAGAAAAGAAGTAAACCTGTCTTTATCCACAGATGACATCATTGTCTATAGAGAAAATTCTCAAGAGTCAATGAAGAGCATGAATACTTTGGGATAAATCAAAGTATATGCAAGCCTGCATGATGCTAAGTATAAAAGATTGTAGAAAAAAAATTAAAGAGCCAAACAAATGGAGAAATATACCATGTTCATGGATTGGAAGACTCAATATTGCTAAGAACTTAATTCTCTGAATTTTATCTGTATATTGTACAGTATCAACAAAAATCCCAGCAGATATTTTTTATGGAAATCAACAAGCTGATTCTAATATTTATAAGGAAATGTGAAGAACTTAAAATGGACAAAAATTTTCAATAAGAACAAAATTAGAGGGCTCAGAGTATCTTATTTCAAGGTTTACAATAAAGCTGCAGTAATACAGTGTTGCTATCCTAAGGACAGAAATTCTAATCTGCAACAAGAATTCCATTAAAAACAAAAAGAAATACAGATCAATGAAACAGAAAGGAGTCTAGAAATAGACTCACATATATATAATCAATTGATTATATTCAAACAAAATTTAATGGGGTGGGAAAGGGCAATCTTTTCAATAAATAGTGACAGAACAAGAAGATACAATTATAGAAAAAAAAAATCCTGACCTTATTTCACACTACAGTATACCCCAAAATTAATCAGACATGAATTATACCTAAAACTAAAAGCCAAAACTATAAAAATATTAGGGGAAAACAGTGGAGAAAATCTTTGCAAACTTGGATTAGGGGAAGATTTCTTAGGTAGGCCTGAGTTTATAAAAAACATAAACCATAAAAGGTAAGATTGATGGCTGGGCACGGTGGCTCAAAATAAAGGTAAGATCGATAAACCTGATTTCATTGAAAGAAAAACTTCTGTTTTTCAAAAGACACAATCATGAAAATAAAAGAAGAAAAAAATTAAACAAAGGGAGTATATATTCAGGGCAACTTAAATCTATGCTTCTGAGTTGTAGTCCTCAAGTTTGGCCCAAAGTCTCTACTTATTAAAAAAGAAAAGAAAGAGAGAAGCCAAAGGCTGGGAATATAAATGAATGAATGAATGAATGAATGAATAAATACTTATAGCCCTAATGTTAAAAAGCTCTCAAAACTAAAAAAGATAAGCTTATTTTTTAAATGGGCAAAAAACTTGAACAAACAATCCACAGAAAGTATCGGGGGTTGATACATTTTCCTATGAATAGGCCAGAGAGCTAATATATTAGGCTTTGCATGCCATATGGTCTCATTACTCAACTCTGCTGTTTGGCATAAAAGCCACATAGACCATATATAAATGAATGGGTGTGGCTGCGTCCTAATACAACTATTTACAAATATAGGTGATGAGCCAGATTTGGCTTGGGGGTTGCAGTCTGTGAACTCCTGAAGAAGATAAAAGAATAGCCAAAAAGCCCATGAAAAAATACTCAACATGTTAGTCATCAGGAAATACAAATGAAAATCTCAATTAGATATCAGTACATACTCATTAGAATGGCAAAAATTTAAAAGAGTGACCATAGCAAGAGCTGGTGAAGCATAAACACCTTCAATTTTAAGAACAGCTGTGGTTCCCAATGGTTCCAGAGACCCTGCTTATAGCCAGCAAAAATGGTCTTTGACAGCAGCCTTCTAGACATATTTGCCTTTAAGAGTCCTGTTCCTGGCAGGCCTCCACAGGCTCCAAGATAGTGGAACAAGAGAGGAAACAAATCTTTAATTATAGCTTCTATTTCTTCACTGTAACCACTACTTATTTCTGTACTCCTCAGTCATTCAAAATTTGACAAAAGTCTCCACTGCTCTATTAAAAACAATTCTTCAACAAATCCAATGACTGCAAATAAAAAATACACAAATATTATTGTATGAATTGACATTTAAATATGAACAAAAAATGGTACAGGCATTCTGGAAAATAGTCTGGCAGTTCCTTAAAAAGTTAAAAATAGAGTTACCATATGGCCCAGCAATTCCACTTGTAGGCATATACCCAAGAGAACGGAAAGCATATGTTCACAAAAGAACTTATATATGAATGCTAATAGCAACATTATTAATAATAGTCAAAAAGTCAAAACAATCCAAATGTCTATCAACTTTAGAATGGGATATATCCATATCGTCAAGTATTATTCATCCACAAAAAGGGATGCACTTCTGATACATGCTATAACATGGATGAAACTTAGAAACATTATGTTAAATGAAAAAAGCCAATCGCAAAAGGCCACATATATTATTCCATCTGTATAAAATGTCCAGAACAGGCAAATACACAGAGACAGAAAGTAGGTTAGTAGTTGTCAAGGGCGGGGGCAGAGAGAAACAAGGAGTGGCTGTATTGGGTACAGTGTTTCTTTTTGGGGTGAAAAATGTTCTAGATTTAATAGCAGTGATGATTGTAAAAACCACTGAATTGTGCACTTTAAAAGGGTGAATTGGCTGGGTGTGGTGGCTCACAGCTGTAATTCCAGCACTTTGGGAGGCTGACATGGGAAGATTGCTGGAGCTCAGGAGTTCCAGACCAGCCTGGACAACATGGCAAAACCCTGTGTCTACAAAAAATCCAAAAACTGGCCAGGTGCAGTGGGTCATGCCTGTAATCCCAGCACTTTGGGAGGCCGAGGTGGGCAGATCATGAGGTCAGGAGATTGAGACCATCCTGACCAACACAGCAAAACCCTGTCTCTACTAAAATACAAAAAATTAGCTGGGCATGGTGGTGCACGCCTGTAGTCCCAGCTACTTAGGAGGCTGAGGCAGGGGAATCACTTGAACCCAGGAGGTGGAGGTTGCAGTGAGCTGAGATCGCACCACTGCACTCCAGCCTGGTGACCGAGCAAGACTCCGTCTCAAAAAACAAACAAATTAACAAACAAAAAAACAACAAAAACTTAGCTGGGGGTGGTGGTGTGTGCCTGTAGTCCCCACTACTAGGGAGGCTGAGGTAGGAGGATTGCTGGAGCCCAGGAGGTCGAAGCCAAGTCAGTTGAGATTGCATCACTGTACTCCAGCCTGGGCGCACAGTAAGACCCTATCTCAAAAAAAAAAAAAAAAAAAAAAAAGGTGAATTTTATGGTATGTGGATTATACCTTGATTTTTTAAAAAAACTAGGTGCTGTGGAGCACACCTGCAGTCCCAGCTACTCAGGAGGCCGAGGCAGGAGAACCGCTTAAGCCCAAAAGCTTGAATCTAGCCTGGGAAACATAGTGAGATCCCTTCTCTTAAAAGGAAGAAAGAAAAAGAAAAACATAAAACCTTACCCTGTGGCCGGGCACAGTGGCTCATGCCTGTAATTCCAGGATTTTGGAAGGCCAAGGCAGGCAGATCACTTGAAGTCCAGAGTTTGAGACCAGCCTGGCCAACAGGGTGAAAACCTGTCTCTACCAAAAAATACAAAAATTAGCCGGGCATGGTGGTGTGCACCTGTAGTCCCAGCTACGCTGGAGGCTGTGGTGGGAGACTTGCTTGAATCCAGAAGGCAGAAGTTGCAGTGAGCAGAGATAGTGCCAGTGCACTACAGCTTGGGTGACAGGGCAAGACTCTGTCTCAAAAAAACCCCAAAGAAAACCCACCTTACCTAGAACATTGTACTCCTCCCGATTTCATTTTTCCTTGTTTTTTCCCTAGTCATCGATCATATGCACATATGCAAATTTGAATTTTCCTTTGTCATCAATCCAAAATCATTTTTCCAGCTGCCACACAATCATAACTATGTAATTTTATCTTCTATGGATATAAAAGATTCCACAAATAGACTATAACTTTAATATTGTTGAATAAATTGTTTTCATTTTCCCAATATTAAAAATGTATTTCCAATACTAGACTGAAGCATATAGCTTCCTTCTCTTTTCATAGTATTTACTTAAGGTAAATTCCCAGGGGTGGAATAATGAGGTAAACGATATACAGTAATTCATGTGGCTTTTGAAACATAATGCCAAACTGTCTGGCAGTGCTGATGCAAATTTATATCATCAACAGAAAAGCATGACTAAACCAGACTCACTTCACCCTTAAGTCATCAATATAAAGTGTCACTATTTTAACATTTAATATATTATAAATGAGAATAGGATAAAAACAATAAATGTTAAGTTTTTTTTCAGTTAGATGGATCTATTTCTGGAATCTGTTCCACTGACAAAATTATATGCTTATGATTTTATAATATTAATAAATTCTTACATTTGGTAATGTTAGATGTTTTTTCCTTATCCTTTTTAGACTATTTTCTTATTTAGTATTTAATTTTCTCTATACATTTTAGAATACAATTGACAAAGTATAACCCTCCTGGAATTTCTAAGGGGTTTGAATATTCAGAATTTTCTAGAAAGTGCTCCCAATGAGCCCCCCACAGAAGAGGGACCATTCTATGTTCTTTCCTAGTATCTCATGCATATCTATCACACAGTATGTATTACACAGGGTTCTGGAAAATTAAATGAAAGGGCCATCTCTTATCTCTGTATATCCCAAGTTAGTGGCATGTAACAGTATATGAAGAAAACATAAGTTGATATCTTCAATAAATAGTGCTGGAAAACTGAATACCCACATGCAGGAGAATAAGAGTAGACTCCTCTCATCATACATAAAAATAAGCTAAAAGTGGACTAGACTTAAATGTAAGATCTAGGACTATAAAACGACTAGAAGAAAACATAGGGGAAATGCTTCATGACATTGGTCCAGGCAAGGATTTTTTGGGTAAGACCTCAAAAGCACAAGCAACAAAGCAAAAATAGACAAATGGGAGTACATCAAACTAAAAAGCTCTGCACAACAAAGGAAACAATCAACACAGCAAAGGGACAACCCACTGAGTGGGAGAAAATATTTGCAAACTTGGCATCTGACAAGAGTTAATATCCAGAATATATAAGAAACTCTAACAATTTAACAGCAACAAAACATTTTTTTAATTAAATAATGAACATAAAACTTGAATAGACATTTCTTAAAAGAAGACATGCAAATGGTTAATAGGCATATGAAAAAATGCTCAACAGGGCTGGGCGTGGTGGCTCACATCTATAATCCCAGCACTTTGGGAGGCCAAGGCGGGCGGATCACCCGAGGTCAGGAGTTCGAGACCAGCCTGGCCAACATGGTGAAACCCTGTCTCTACTAAAAATACAAAACTAGCCAGGCGTGTTGGTGCATGCCTGTAATCCCAGCTACTCAGGAGGCTGAGGCAGGAGAATCACTTGAACCCGGGAGGCGGAGGTTGTGGGGAGCCGAGATGGCGCCATTGCACTCCAACCTGTACAACAAGAGCAAAACTTCGTCTCAAAAAAAAAAAGAAAGAAAAAAGAAAAAATGCTCAACATCACTATGATTATGGAAAGGCAAATCAAAACGACAATGAGATATCGTCTCACTCCAGTTAGAATAGCTATTATCAAAAAAGACAAAAAGTAACAAATGATGGTGAGGATGTGGAGAAAGGGATACTCATGTATTGTTGGTGGGAATGTCAATTAGTACAATCATTATGGTCAACAGTATGAAGGTTCCTCACAAAAATTAAAAGTAGAACTACCATATGATCCAGGAATCTCACTACTTGCTTTATAGTCATGCACCAGGTAACAACATTTCCATCAATGACAGACCACATATACGACAGTGGTCCCATAAGATTATAATAAGGTTGAAAAATTCCTATCGCCTAGTGACTATAGTGTTGTAATGTGGTAGTGCAATGCATTACTCTATGTTTGTGGCGATGCTGATGTAAACAAACCTGCACTGCCAGTATAGCACATACAATTATGTATGATACATAATACTTGATAATGATAATAAACAACTATGTTACTGGTTTACAATTTACTATATTATACTTTTTCTTTTTGTTTTAGAGTGTAGTCCTTCTACTTATTAAAACAAAGTTAACTGTACAACAGCCTCAGGCAGGTCCTCAGGAGGTATTCCAGAAGAAGGCACTGTTATCATAGGAGATGACAGCTCCATGTGTGTGACTGACCCTAAGACCTTCCAGTGGAACAAGATATGGAGGTGGAAGACAGTGATAGTGATGATCCTGACCCTGTGTAGGCTTAGGCTAATGTGTGTGTTTGTGTCTAAGTTTTTAACAAAAATGTTTAAAGAGTTAAAAAAAAATGAAAATAGAAAAAAGCTTATAGAATAGGGATATAAAAAATTTTTGCATACCTGTAAAATGTGTTTGTGTTTTAATTGTTATTACAAAAGTCAAAAAGTTAAAAAAAAATTAAAAGTTTATAAAGTAAAAAAAGTTAAAGTAAGCTAAGGTTAATTTATTATTAAAGAACAAGATTGTTTTGTAAATTTAGTGTAGTCTTCTAAGTGTACAGTGTTTATAAAGTCTACAGTACAGTAGTACATGGTAATGTCCTAGGCCTTCACATTCACTCACCACTCACTCACTGACTCACCCAGAGCAACTTCTAGTCCTGTAAGCTCTATCCATAACTGCTCTATATAGGTATATATCTTTTATCTTTTATACTGTTATTTTATCTTCTATACTGATATCTTTTAACTTTTATACTGTTATTTTTATGTACTTTTTCTTTGTTTAGATATGCTTAGATACACAAATTCTTACCATTGTGTTATAACTGCCTTCATTGTGTTACAACAGTATTCAGTATAGTAACATGCTATATAGGTTTGTACCCTAGGAGCAATAGGCTATACCCTAAGCCTAGGTGTATAGTAGGCTATACCATTTAGGCTTGTGTCAGTACACTGACGTTCGCACAAGGATGAAATTGCCTGAGGACACATTTCTCAAAATATATCCCCATCATTAGTAATGCATGACTGTATATTCAAAGGAAATAAAATCAGTATGTCAATGAGATACCTATACTCTGTTTATCACAGCACTATTCACAATAGCCAAGATGTGGAATCAACCTAAGCATTCATCAACAAATCAATGGATTTAAAAAATGTATATATACACGATGGAATACTATTTACAATAAAAAAGAATGAAATCCTGCTATTTGTGACAACATGGATGAACCTGGAGGACATTATGTTAAATGAAATAAGCCAGGCACAGAAGGACAAATATTATACTGCATAATCTCACTCAGATAGAATCTAAAGAAAGTAGATCTCATACAAGTAGAGCAGAATAGTAGTTAACAAAGATTAGGGAAGGTAGCAGGGAGGGAGGATGGAGAGAGGTTGGTCAATGGGTACTATCGTACCGTTAGGAGGAATAAATTCTGGTGTTCTATTGTACAGTTGGGTGAATACAGTTAACAATAATGAACTGTATATTTCAAAATAGCCAGAAGAGAGGACTGTGAATGTTCTCACCACAAAGAAAAATAATACATGTTTGAGATGATGGATATGCTAATTACCCTGATTTGATCCTTACACAATGTATATATGTATCTAAACCTCACATTGTACTCTAAAAATATGTGTATCACGCGTCAATTAGAAATAAAATTTACAAAGTAAGCTGAATCAATAAATGAATACATCAAAGATACCACTTACATGAGTCAAACAAGCAATTATTGTTCAGTACTATATTATGAGCTATGTGAAAAACAAAGAAAAGAGAAAACAAAGGCTTGCCTCTCAGGGAATCTAGAAACTAAAACGAAGAGGAATTAAAGAGAGCCTACTAATAAACAATTTTGGAAACTATGTAGAATTATAACTGTACAATGATTAATTAATGCTTTTATGAATGTAAAAAAGAGTACAAGAAGAATGAATGCTGTAGGAGGTGTGAAGGACTCTCGGAACTTGAGATGGCACTAAGGCACTAAGAGGATTTGGATAAGTGGGAAACAAAAGTAGGTCTACTGGGTAAAAACATGGGCAAAGGCATGAGGTGGAAATTAGCATGATATACAGGAGCCATGGACCTATCCATTCTACAAACAGACTCAACTATTTCTGCCCAAAAAGTTTATTTTATGCAGCAAATAATTAAAATATATTTTTACCTGGAGTTCTCCAAGTTTCTTAGACGTTGATGAAACAATGGTAAAAAATCCATTGATTTGATGGGTTGGAGAAAGTTGAGCTAGTCCATTGATCTGAACTCTACCAATTGGAAGACCATCAAGTTTGGTGATTACTTCCAGCACCAGCACAGCCATATCTAACCAGAAACAATTACAACATGGATATTTTTCATTTACTTTTATTTTCTTTTTTAAGACGTGGGTAGAGGGGTATATGCGGAAAAGCTTTCTAACTTGAAAAAAAATATTTTATGTTGGATAACACCATTGCATTGGTGAAAGTGAGGGGAATTAGGTACTTTAATAAGTTGCTAATAGGATGGTTAACTGGAAAGCAATTCAGCAATAACTCAAAAAAGTACAAAAGCACATTCCTTTTTCCATGAAGTTCTACTTTTTTTTTTTTTTTTTTTTTCTTGAGACAGGGTCTCTGTCGCCCAGGCTGGAGTGCACTGGCACAATCATAGTTCACTGCAACCTCGAACTCCAGGACTCAAGTGATTCTCCCATCCTAGCCTCACAAGTAGCTGAGACTAGAGGCACACGCCACCACACTGGGGTAATTTTTTTTATTTTTGTAGAGACAAGGTCTCACTGTGTTGCCCAGGCTGGTCTCAAACTCCTGGCCTCAAGTGATCCCCTGATCTTGGCCTCCCAAAGTACTGGGATTACAAGTATGAGGCACCAAGGCTAGCCTACTCCTTAAACTTTATTTTACAAGCTGTAAATTGATCTATGTACCAGAATATTTAATAAAATGTGTTTTTTTAATAATGGCAAAATGGTGAAAAATAAAGTAATAAAAAGAATATAAGTAGCTCTATACTGATATGGAACAACATCCAAGATGAATTGCTAAGTAGAAAAAAAAGTGCTGACTGTATATGTATATAATCTGTGTAAATAAAAGAAATTATGCAAAGAGCTTTTATTAGTATAGAATTTATTTTATAAGTAAATATATTCTTGTGTAAAGATACACAAGAGACTGGTAACCTTTCATACCTTTAAAATGTTTTACCATGTGCATGTATTTCCTAATGAAAAAAGTGACACAACTGATAGAAAATACAACTGATTTAAAAACTATAACAGAGATAACAAAACTATCTGGAAAAAGTAATTTAACTTAAAAAAGTATTTTAATTTCAAATAATCACTTATCATACCATTCTGGGGGTAGAGGAGTATGAACCCAAGATCAAAAGAACAATAAAGATTCACAGAACAACAACAAATACCACACACTGAGGAAAAAATAAATCAACTGACCAAAAATATTTAGCATAGCAAGTATTTGATAAGAAAAATACCCTTAAAAGAGTATTGTTAAATGTATTTGCCAATAACTCAGGCTTTGGTTTTGACACACAGAGCAACAAATCTCAGTTTTCATTCTCACCATTTCTAGTTTTGAATTGACAAAGGATTGCCCTTGCACAGCTGCAAGGGTTGGTCCCTGCCTCCCAGGAGTATCTAATTGCATACTCTTGGGTTATATCTGGACCACTGAGCTATTGAGAGCACTTGGAACCAAGAGAAATGAAAATAAACTTCTCAACTATACTCTTTGGTCACTTAGACTAATACCTTCATGCCCAGAGGAGAAGAAATATAATGTATGCATAAGGAATCTCAGATCATTTCAGAACAGTTTAACTTCTGGTATTTTCTTAACCAAAGTTGAGAAAATGGTTCGTTTTCAGCATTTGTTAATACTGTAGTGAAAAGCATGTAGGAATTATTATTAGAAGACTTGTGATTGTGTTCTGACTGCAATATTCACAAGCTATTTCTGTATAAGCCATGGTTGTCTGTAAAGTAGGCTCATAATATTCGCATCACTGCTGTTCTGAGGAACTGGGGTTGCTGCAAGCAGAACACTAGTACAGTCCAGTGTCTTCCCACATGGTAGTTGCTGAATGGTTGGTAAATGACTTTAGGCAAATTACTTGACATATCATAGTCCCTGTGTAACAACTTGATATGGTTTGGCTGTGTCCCCATCCAAATCTCATCTTGAATTGTAATTCCCATAATCCCCATGTGTCATGGGAAGGACCGGGGGAGATAACTGAATCACAAGTGCGGTTCTCCTTATCCTGTTCTCATGATAGTGAGTTAGCTCTCACGAGATCTGATGGTTTTATAAGGGGCTTCCTGCTTTGCTGGGCACTCATTTTTCTCTCTCCTGCTGCCATGTGAAGGACGTGTTTGCTTCCCCTTCTGCCATGATTGTAAGTTTCCTGAGGCCTCCCCAGCCATGTGGAACTGTGAGTCAATTAAACATCTTTTCTTTATAAATTACCCAGTTTCAGGTATGTCTTTATAGCAGCATGAGAATGGACTAATACACCACTCATGGGGGTTATCTGAAAGTCATATGAGCAAATAGATATAAAAGTGCTTTGTAGACTATAAAATGATGTACACATGAAGAATAAGGGAAATGGACTAACATGTATTCATTGGCTATTTACTAACAGCCAGGGTCTTCCACATCTCATTAATTCTCTTAACAACTCTACGATACTGGTGTTTCTGTCTTCATTTGGGGATAAAAGAGGCTCCGCAAAGTCATGTATATTCCTAGGTTCACCCAGCTTTAAATTGACAGAACTGGGCTAAAACTCAGTTCTATCCAATTATAAGTCCACTACACTTAATTATAAGTCCACTACACTATTCATCACTTCTAGGACAAAAAGCTTAATTCTTAGTAGACTTCTGACCTTTATACTTCACTTGTTGTGGAATTAGAATCCCTACTGTCCAGCACTATTCCTACTCCGATTTGTCTTTCACATTCCTACTAACTGAATCCTATCTGATCAAAGACAGGTAAAAATCACGTAGTGTAGCCATAATTTTCTCAGTTTCTACTCTAGTAGTTCCATGCTCCAAACATTTTCATGGCTGCTATTTTCTGCAACAGAATAAAACGTAAAGGAAGAAAGATGTAAGAGTATGAGGCATATCTCAGAATCCTATAATCCTTCTATTTCCTAAGGCAGTATAATACAATAGAAGTATCAATAATTTCGGAGTCAAGTGCCTCCCTGAATTTAGGGTTGGTGCCAGGGTAACCTTGGGTTAGTTACTTTTAACTCTTTGAACCTCAAATTCGTCACTCAGAAAATCAGGATAATACCCGTTGCAAATGTACAGGGCCTCAGAGCATGCTTTCTAGTGCTCTGCAGAGGCTTCATCTTATTTCTCCTACTGTATTTTCACTTTCTGTAAACAAAAAGTTATGAAGATTTAAAATGTAAAGGTTTTCTCATTAGTTAAACAGAAATCTGTACTTAACATGTTTTTGCAATTGCCTTAACTTCTGTTTAGAATAAGGTAAAATAGATATGAAGAAAGTGGCCAGGCATGGTGGCTCACCTGTAATCCCAGCACTTTGGGAGGCCAAGGCAGGAGGATTGCTTGGGTATGGAAGTTTGACACCAGCCTGGGGAACAACAATGAGACCTCATCTCCACAAAAAATACAAAAATTAGGTGAGTGTCGTGGCATGTGCTTATATTCCCAGTTGCTCAGGAGGCTGAGGTGGGAAGATTGCTTGAACCCAGGAGGTTGAGGCTACAGTGAACTGTGTTTGCATCGCTGCACTCCAGCCCGGCTGTCTGAGAGAGACCTTTTCTCAAAAATAAAATAAAATAAAATAGATACGAAGAAATAAATAAAATGATTTTAAACATCAAATAAGATGATAGACTTGAAAGTATTTCAAAAATTGTAAAATGTGATACATTTCCTCTTCTTTTTTTATATGTTATTTTTATCTGAGGAACTCATATAATCGTTCTTACTACCTCTCTCCAGCCTAGAAAAAAAGAGCAACCCCATCTCATTTCAAATGTTAATTCTGGCACAGCCTATATATTTCACTCATTTGTAAATCTCTTCATGCAATAGTGACTTCTCCTTTTTTGACTGATACAGTATCCTAATTACAAGGTTATTTTGCACTTGTCTTAATACCTTAAGTGTAATAAAAATGGCTTGAGAAAAAAATATGGTTCATGCTAATATGTGACAACATATTAATTAGTTTACTTTTTGCATTTTGTATTAAGTGAAATATGTACACAAAAGAGTAAATAAAATAATAATAATGCGAATACCTACCACACAGCTTAAGAAATAGCATACTTTTTCCAAGTTTTTGGTTAGAGCACATACTTTTGTGAACTAATATTTGATGTCTTATCTCTTCATTTTCTGTCATTTTCTTTCTTTTTTAGAAACAGGGTCTCACTCTGTCACCCAGGCTGGAGTACAGCGGCATGAACATGGCTCACTGCAGCCTCGACTTCCTGGGCTCAAGTGATTTCTCTCACCTCAGCCTCCCAAGTAGCTGGGACTACAGGTGTGCACCACCATGCCCAGCTAATTAAAAAAATTTTTTTTTGTAGAAACAGGGTCTTGCTATGCATGTGGAATCTAATTTTTTTGTAGAAACAGGGTTTTACCCAGGCTGGTCTTGAACTCTTGGCCTCAAGTGATCTTCCTGCCTCAGCCACCAAAGTATTGGGATTACAGGCGTGAGCCACCACGTTCAGCCTCTTATCGCTTCATTTTCTAAAAAACACATCATGTCGGCCGGGTGCGGTGGCTCACACCTGTAATCCCAGCACTTTGGGAGGCTGAGGCGAGCAGATCGTGAGATCAGGAGATTGAGACCATCCTGGCTAACACGGTGAAACCCCATCTCTACTAAAAATATAAAAAATTAGCTGGGTGTCGTGGCGGGCACCTGTAGTCCCAGCTACTCAGGAGGCTGAGGCAGGAGAATGGCGTGAACCCAGGAAGTGGGAGGCGGAGCTTGCAGTGAGCCAAGATTGCGCCACTGCACTCCAGCCTGGGCAACAGAGTGAGACTCCGTCTTAAAAAAAAAAAAAAAAAAACCATGTCATGTCTACAGTTGGACTGTCACTTATAAGGTTCACCTCATGTGTCTCCTATTGAAATTCTACCTTTTCCATGGCCTTCTTTCTTAACTAGAATTATGAAATTTGGGTGCTGGCACATTTGATGTTTTAACTCTTTCAATTTACTGGTGGGAAAATTAAGGCCCAAGAAGATGAAATGGCTTGCTCAAAGTCAAACAGCAAGAGCATAGAGTAGAAGCAGGATTCTGGCTTCTTAATAACATAAGATTAGCCCTTATTAACTTCCTAGAATATTCATATGATATTACTATATGTGTCAAGTAATCAGACATTTAATTATATACTGTCTGGCATTGCTCAATACTGTTTCATGTATGTCAGTTTTGTTTTCAACTAATCTTTAAGTTCCTTTTGGGCAGGGAATACATCTCAAATCTCTGTACACGCTGCCTGAGTCTTAATATTTTTATAAGACTTGTACCTACAATGTGTCAGCTACTAGACCGATCACTTTACAAACATTTTTTTCATTTAGTATTCACAATAATTCCTGACAGGTAAGTGCTATTTTTCCCAACTAACTAATAGGAAACTGGGGCCCTGAGATGCTAAGGAACCTCTCAGCATCACCTAACAATCTAGTCCTGAAGCCAGAGTTCAAACTCTAGACTGTCTAGATGTCAACCCGTTCAACCGGGTTGCTTCTTTGTGCAAATATCTAGAAAATGGAAGGGCAACTATATGATCCCATTTTACAGATGGGGAAACAGGAATCAGATATGGGAAGAGACTTTCCTAAAATCATGTAGTTGGTAACACCAATGTAAATGTTCGGATGCCAAGTCCAATGCACCAATATACCATAAGATGTTCAAATAAATGTCTGACCTGTTGATTACCATGTTAATAAATACCTTCTCTCTTATTGAATTTCTAATCACTCCTCATTTGTTATATTATATAAAAATACTACCTGAGGATTTAATTTTTAAGCTTACAGTACCAAGATTATTTATATCTTTTAATCGCACTTACTGCTTTTAACCTACTATTAATAACTAAACTTTTTTGTGAAGTTAGAGTTCGGGATCATTCTTATTAATTTTTTGGATTTTTTGTAAACCCCATGGTGCCTAAAACAATGTGTAGTATGTGCTAAACATATTTTTTGAATGACTGAATTACAGCATTTGTTCTTTACATGTTGATGTTTCAAAAATTTTTTCTCGAGAGAATGTAAGTTACTCAAGGACAAGTTAATCTTAACTCACCCCTGGCTCTCCAATATTCTGAGCCCAACCATGTTTACATGATAAATGCTCGAATTTTATTGACTTGAACTGAATTGACTTGATAAATAACCCCATCATCCAAAATGTATTTATGTGAAAGCTTGACCTGAATAAAGAAGTAACATAGTACACTCAGAATACTTTTCTTGTACAAAAATGAAGACATCTTGGCTTCTGGTTCCCTACAGAGGGATGCTTTCCATTTCTGAACATCTGTAATACTAACTCACTAAACCATTCATTTAGCATTTAGTATGTATTATCTTGTACTATTGGTAAATTTTACATCTATATCCTCTTTCCTTGAGTATAATGTAAACCCCAGAGTTGAGACTACAGTTATTACCTAAAAAAGCATGGTGTAGTGAAAAGAGCATGAGTTTTGGTGACAGACAGAAGTGGGTTCAAATCCTAATTCAGCCATTTATCAACTTTGTGACCTTAGAAAGTATTCATTTCATCTCTCCAACTTGTTTAATTGTCTATAAAACAGAGAAAATACCTATCTTTCAGGGTTATTGTAAGGATTAGAAGTAATACATTTCAAAACTGCTGGCACACAGTAACACTCAATAAATTTACAAAGAAAAATGTCTACTATAAAAACTCTTTGACTCTTCAATAATTAAGAATGCCCATATATGCTAGGTACACAACAACACTTATTGCTGACAATATAACCACATGCTTTGTATTACGTCTGCAGGTGCAATGATAAAACAATAACATACCTGTTAGATAAGAGGTAAACTGTTTTGGACCACAACGAATAGCGTAACGTGTAGTTGTTCTCACAGCTTTTGGTTCAGTCTGCAATGCATCCCTGGGACAAAAGAGGGTTCCATCTGATGTTTCTCCCCACCATCTCACTCGGACAAGTACACAAGTGGGAGGCTTTGCAATCTTCCATATGACTCTATTAACAGTAAGTTTTAGAAAACAGCGTAGCTGGCCTTCAACCAGAGGTGGCAGGCTTGTAGATGGAGAAATGTCACTTAAACCTGTAGAGGAATCCAAGAAAACTGAGTCAAAATTTAGACTAAATATAGAAAACATATAATATGCTTTTTGAATGAAAACAAACAGAACACTTTAGTCTTAAGTTCAGCAATTTATCACCACTTAGAAAGAAGGTTTATCCTACCCATTATTCTAATACATGAGAAGTAACTATCAAATCAGACCACCGAATAATCTATCTGGTCATGTAAGCCACTCTGATAACTAATTAGTATTTAAGGTTTGATTTGATTTACTCTAAGTTAAGAACATACCAACAAAGACACACTAATATAAACTTTTCTTTAGTTGAGTTACTATTTGAAAAATACAAATATCAGAAGTAGTTGACATTTTTCTAAGTATGGTTGAAATTTTTCTAAGTACAGTTGTTTTAATTATTGCAACATCTATGGTTTTTAAGATATGTAATCTTTATCTAACTCTCTTTTAAAAAAATCACTAACGATAAAACAGCAACAACTCCCTTCACTCACAAACGATTTAGACTATATCATACAACTCAGCATTTCAATGAAGAACGTCTTAAATTGTAACTTTTCTTTCCTGCCAAGATCACACAGTCAGTGAGGACACAGACTATCTAATCTTCAGATTCTGCCACTATTTTTAACACAGTGCTGGGTTCATATATTTATTGGCTTTAGTATTTATTGGGTTTCATAAAGACATTAAAGTGTAAACAAAGCAATTAATCATGACTTTCTAAAAAATTTTCCTTTAATGACCCTGATTGTCTTTCATTCATAGTACCTTTTCGGGAAAACTTAAAGGAGATTTAAGAAACCATTCCTATATTATTTATACCTTTTTTTTCCTTTGACTTTTCTTTGAGGAGTGGTTATGCCTCAAAGAAGAAAATATATGGAATGTATCAGATCAGGACTAATTATTTGGACTTCTAATGCAAACACCGCCTCTGCCCTCTATAGTGGAGAAAAGACCCACCATAATCCTTATGGATAGTTTCAACATAAAAATTATACACAGTTGTGTATACATTTCTACATATGGAAATGGTATAGCAAAAAGTGTATTCTGTTCTATGCTATGTTATATTATTTCTACTTTGACTTTCCGATTATCAACCAAACATGCTTAACTGTTTTGACACAGGGAGCACTAGTATGCTTCAGTCTCAGATCCTCCTATCTTTCCTGGCAGGAAAGTCAGTATCTCAAAACTGCCTTAGTAATCTTTAAACAGCTTGGATAAGAGTAATTCCCAGATTGTAGCTTCAGTCCTCAACCCAATGGCCTAATGTCCTATCACTGTTCCCAATACTTCTTTTCTCGCTAAACTGCCTACAATGCAAAAAGGCAGGGTCACCCACTGTCCTTTTTCCCTTCGAGGCAGTCTTGTAGAGATTCAATGTCAAGTTTCCTGATCTGCCCTGGGTTCCTAGGTTGACTGTTCTCACTGCAGCTAACATCCCCTACTCGGTGAGCTTGTGTCTCCTTGAGCTGCTAACCTGATGAGGACTCTCTGCTGCACACTCTTTCATGATCTCAGGTCCTTCAGGAGATCGTCATGCCCTTACCCCCACTCCAATCCTATCACACCTGTCATTCCCCACTCTTCCCGGCTCTATACTCTACAATTATTTTTCCCAACTCCTGCTCATAGTCAGCCCTTCATACTTCATTCATTCAACTAACATTTACCGAGTCCTGCTTTGTACTAATCCTTGGTCATTCAGTAATGTATAAAACGTGATTCTTGCCCACAATCACACAACAAATGATATAATCCCTTTGCCAATTTATGTTTCTTCCTGTCCCTGTGGACCTCGAAAGCTACACACACACATACATTTCACTTCGTTATCAAAACCAATCCCATCATTGTTTGTTCTTCTCCTCTACAGTCATCCTACCGGTAACCTTCATCTCATTAATCGCCTGTCTGTGGCCCCTACCCCAGCCCCTAATTCCTTTCTATTCTCTGGAGGGCCAATTGCCCTTCCTTTTAACCTTCTGGTTCCCTGGCTACTTCCTTCTTACGTCCCTTTTCTTGTTTATCCAGCGGGGGTGCGGGTCTCCCTAAAATTCCTTACACCCTGCTCTCCTATTACGCTTTCCTCAATCTTTGATCGCTCAGGTTACCTCTTTTTTTGCGCCCACGGCTGCCCCCAGACCCTTGGCCTTTTCGTTGTTTCATGATGAGCCCGAGCTCTTCTTCACCAGCTCAACTCCGTCTCCAGCACCTAAGCAGTATCCTCCCGCCATCCCTCCCCACGGCGCCTGCGTTCCCCGGCAACCGGCGCCGCTGGGCAGCCTGGGAGGCAGGAAAAAGCGACTCTTCCTCTAACAGTCTCCGGAAAACGGTGCGAAGAGAAGGCGCCAAGACGCCTTCCCTCCAATACACTACAATACCCAGGACGCTTTGCTACAATACCTCTCCGGGGTTGGCTGGGGGGCGCCTCCAGCTGCGCAAGCGCATAGGGATGCGCCCTTTGTGGACTCCATTGCGCAGGGTGCATTGCCCTGAAGAGCGCTCCTCCTTCCGGTGAAAGTCGTCGGGTTCCCAGCCGGGAGTCTGCGGAGTTCTCATACTCTGTTACCCAGCTTCCTTTGTATGAGTGCTGTTGCGCACTTCCGGTGGAAGCGCTGAAGCGAGTGGGTGGAGTTTACGGAGCCGGTGGGCGGTAGGCGGTGCTACGGGTAGCTGGGTGCTGTCCAAAGGCGACAGGGCGTCGTTAGGGGAGCGAGTCGTGACCGGTTGGGCCACACTCAACGTGGGACGAAGCTTCGCCTACTGTTTGACTACGTGCGTGCAGCCTCCCCTCGATGTCGGCCCTCGAAAAGAGCATGCACCTCGGCCGCCTTCCCTCTCGCCCACCTCTACCCGGCAGCGGGGGCAGTCAGAGCGGAGCCAAGATGCGAATGGGGTACGTGACCCATACCCCTTCTCCCTATGGGCCAGGCCCCAGCCGTTGGAGAATGGTATCTCTGGGCGTTCATAGAGGCACGGGAAAGGAGTCTACTGATAGGAGAAAATGTTGGCGGCCTGGAGATATTTAGATGGAGTAGAAGGCAGATTGGGGTACTAGGGGAGGCGCCAAGTCAATAGAAATTGGAGGAAAAATAACGTTGTTGAAGGGAGAGGGGAATGAGGCAAAGGTTGGGGAAGCTGAGAGACTAACATAAGGGATCTGAGAATCACTTCCACAATAAAGGAGGCTTAGAAAAGGGAGTAGAACGGTGACAAAGGTGGAGGAGAATCGGCCAGGGAAGGTGGAGGGAAGTGGGGAATGACTGAGAGAAAAGTTGAGGGGAATTGGGCCAACAACTAAGGAAAGGTTTGGGAGGAGTAGATATTATCAGAGTTCTAATATCTGCACTGTGAGAACTAGATACTAGAAAAGCTGAGGGGGGTAGAAAACACTCGAGACAGGGCTGGAGAAGGAAAGAGGAGAACTAGGAAGCAGACGATTCTAGAGAATTCCCAGAGGTGTAAAGACAGATTCAGCGAATGAGAGGTGAGATTAGGTCTCTTAAGGGAGAATGAGAAAGTTTAGGGAGTAGGCCTAAGGTAAGGTGGAGAACATAGCCACGAAGATTGTTAAGGGTAGTAGGAATGTGCTGAGAAGCTGGACAGGATAAGGGAGAGAGAAGAAGGAGAGGACTGAAGAATTTACAGAGTGAGAAGCTGGACAGGATAAGGGAGAGAGAAGAAGGAGAGAACTGAAGAATTTACAGAGTGACCATAGGCTCTAAAGATTGAGAGATGACTATAAATACGGTTTGGTGAATGGAAGTGCTGCAGTTGTAAGGTCTGGGAAGCTTAGAGGAAGATTTGGGCAATCAGTTTTTGCTGGGCTAGTAGATCTGAGGGAAGCGACGTACTGGCCTAAGACTTTGAATTAGTGAAGCATTGGGAGTTCGAGAAATAGTTTGCTGGAAAGGAAGGAGAGCCATGTAGAAGAGATAGGTTTTGGAATTTTAGATCGTTAAATGGCTTGTGCCAGGTTAGGGGATACTTGGGCCGAGGAGAAAGAATGAGGTGAACATGGGAGAAGTAATTGCTGGAAAGTGGAGAGAATTGAATAGGCATTTGGTTTTGAGGGGATATTTGTAGTTTCAAACAGGATTCTGGGAATTAGTGACTGTAAAGAGAAAAGGAGTAGGAAAGATACTTAGGTATGAGGGCTCCAGAGTATATTTGGGATTCTAGAGATGAATTGGTAGATATTCTTTGAAAAAGGACTACAGAAGAGAAACCTTAGGTTCTGAAGAAGTAATATGTGTAAAAACTTATCAAAAAGGAGGCGAGAGTAGGAGATGCAGTACTGTGACAGTAAGTCCTAGGGATGAAAAGAAAGGAGAATCCTATAAAACAGTGGGGTAAAGGAATGGGAAAAATGGGTGGAAAAACCAGGGAAGGAAACTAAGAATTGAGTGGAGACCTGCTATGATACGCAGTAGAAAAATGAGAAAACTTTAGCAGGAGGAGATAGAGAGATAGACGCACAATAGAGGTAGAAGGCTACATAGAAGGTAAAGTGAAGATTGTTTTGGCTTTGGAAGACAGAAAAGTTGGACTATAACATGAATAAAGAGAATTTGGAAACTGACCCATAACATTATTTGGGAAAACTAACCTGGAGTTTAATATTAATGTAACATTAATTGTTGTTAAATATCTTAGTTGCTGCCTTTCTTAAAATAAATTTGATTTTTCAGTATACCAGCACCCTTCTATACAAATACATAAGAAAATCAGATTTTTAATAATTATACATTCCTTAGATAAGCTTAATTAGAGCTCAGCTTCTCATCTTGGAGAAACAAGTTCTCTGAAGATTGAAGAACTGAATGAAGATACTGAGAGAAAAAAAAAGGAAAATCTGCTGATTAGAAGATTGTATAATTGTTAGTAATTTATCGTTTTTATTTTTTATTACTTTTCATTTTATTTTTTTTTAGAGACAGAGTCTCACTCTGTTGCCCAGGCTAGAGTGCAGTGGCACAATCTCGGCTCACTGCAACTTCCACCTCCCGGGCTCAAGTGATTCTTGTGCCTCAGCCTCCCAAGTAGCTGGGATTACAGGCATGCACCACCACGCCCGGCTAATTTTTGTATTTTTAGTAGAGAGGGGATTTCGCCATGTTGGCCAGGCTGGTCTTAAACTCCTGGCCTTAAGTGATCTGCCCCACTTGGCTTCCCAAAGTACTGGGATTATAGGAGTGAGCTACTGTGCCTGGACAACTTACCTTTTTAAAAAGATGCTTTGGTCTTCTTGGTTTAGGTTAACTGCTTATCCTGGAAAAGAAAGTTCTTTAGAAAGGCCTTTCTTTATGATAGTATTGTGAAGAGAAGAGCATATATTGGCGAATATTTGTGTGGTCCTCAAATGGCTTATTTTCCCGTATCTTTCTTTTCTACTTTATTGGTATATAAGCAGGCTTCATCTAAGTCTCATGGTAGTAATAATATAGATTCTCTTTCTCCTTAGAATCATAAAGCTGAGAGAAAGCATAGACATGGTCTCATTTCACCACTTCATGTAGTTGAGGAACCCAATATTCAGAGAGTTCTGTATTCTATAAGGGAATGTATTAATAAATGAGGGAACTGAGACTCAGATATTCCTAAGGTACCCTAGAAGCTTAGCGGTAGGGCCGTTAAGGACTAGGACTTGGGTCTCTTGACTGTGAGACCCATTGTGTATTTTGGAGTCATAATTGTCATCTGGGGATACTTATTTTGAGTTGTGTATCTTACTCATTTGCATATAATCTAGGATTCAGTCTTTTTCTTCAGTCGTAATTTATGAAGTCTCACACCAATTTCAAAGCATTCTTTATGTCTCCTTATGCTTACTTGCTTTTTTCTTAACTTCCATTCTTCCACTCTATCTATGTTACTCACAAGTTAGTCCTGTTCTCTTGATAGTCTCTTGTGTGGCTTACTCTTAACTATTTTTCATGATCTCTTGCCTTCAATTTCACTAAACATTATTTAGGCATGTTTGCATATTCAGGGTGCATATTCTGAGTTGGTGATTTTTCATGAGTTTCCATAATTCAGTTTTTCAGATTAGATTTAGTAATTCCAAAGTATTGTTGGATAATTTAATAATAGCAATTTTTAAAGTAAGTACTGTGTGCCAGACATTGTAATGGTAACTTTATGTTATTTAATGTGTCCACAGACCTGCATGGTGAATATTTTCCTGCATTGTGGGTAAAGACATTCAGACCCAGAGATTAAAAGTAACCCAACTAGTAGGTAGCAGAGCTAGGATTCAATCTAAGTTTAGTCTCTAGAATCCATTCACTTTTCAGTACACTAATATTTTCTCTTGGGTAAGGCCTGAAATCCTGGTGTCACTCTTCCTTTTAATAGATGCCAATGGATGTTGCCAAAAACAGTGGTTTTGAACTTCTTTATTAAAGCTTTTAGAGCTACTCTGACTAAAGTAGATTTGAGATCCCTATTTGCTTTGCACCCCTGGTGTGCTTGAGAGAAGTATCTTTTGAAAGTCACTGCTTTCGTATATACTATTACTATTAGAGGAACTATAAAATATTAAAGCCATTCATTATTCAACGTGTTTTTGGTTTATCAGTAGTTGTACTTTTTGGCCAGGTGTGGTGGCTCATGCCTGTAATCTCAGCACTTTGGGAGGCCGAGGCGGGTGGATCACCTGAGGTCGGGAGTTCAAGACCAGCCTGACCAACATAGAAAAACACCGTCTCTCCTAAAAATACAAAATTAGCTGGCGTGGTGGCACATGCCTGTAATCCCAGCTACTCAGGAGGCTGAGGCAGGAGAATCACTTGAACCTGGGAGGCGGAGGTTGTGGTGAGCCGAGATCGCGCCATTGCACTCCAGCCAGGGCAACAAGAGCGAAACTCCATCTCAAAAAAAAAAAAGTTCTACTTTTCTATTATTATCTCTTAAATTCCTTTTTTTTTCTTTTGCAAGAGATAGAGTCTTGCTGTGTTGCCCAGGCTGAAGTACAGTGGCTTTTCACAGGCATAATCTTGGTGCATTACAACCTCAAACTCGTGGGCTCAAGCAGTCTTCCCACTTCATCCTCTTGAGTAGGTAGGACTGAGGATACATGCTAGCATGCCCAGCTCTGTAGTGATTTAACTGACATGTATATAGTAGTCCCTTTTTATATTCTATGAGGTAAACTAGGGCAGGAGTTAATATTTTCTTTTAATAAATGAGAAAACTGAAATGTTCATTGACTTGCCTAAGATCACAGAATCATTATGTGGCAGGAACAACATTCAAACCCAGGACTTCGTATTTTTAGTCCATTGTTCTTTCTATAGCTTGCATTGAAGGGTTTGATATTTGAAGTGACAAAGATCTAAGTTTGAAGCCCAACTTAGGTATTTACATTGGTCGAGTCATTTAACTTCTCATAGTCTATTTTCTTATCTCTAAAATGAGAATACTTCTGCTTACCTGAGAGTGCTGTGAGAATAAGATAATACATAAAAAGCACTTATAGTTCCTGACACTGACACATAAGCTCTTAAAGAATGATAGCTAGTAGATAATTATACATTGAGAACTGTGAAGAAGGTTCATAGTTTATGTGGAAGCTCTCCTTTCAGTTTCTTATGTTATCAGCTTTTTTGTCCCCACAAGCTGTATGTTTATTCATATCTGATTAGATAGTCTTTCATCCATCTTCTTAAATTTATTATGGATATCAGGCCTCTTAGGAAGGCTTTAATGAGCTATTCACACAGATGGGGAAATAAAGGGCAAAGTGAAGTGATTTGCTCAAGGTCACAAATTGAGTTACTAAAATAATCAAATCCCAGTATTTCTGTTTTTTTTTTTATTTTTTCATTAGATTTTTAAAAAGTTAAATTTATATGCCATAGAATTCACTCTTTTAAATGTACAATTCAGTGATTTTTGGTATATTCACTCAGTTGTACAATTACCACCACTAATTGCAGAACATTTTCATCCTCCCATAAACTCGTTACTCATTAGCATCTTCCCTTCCTCCCAGCATGTATTGCTTCTGGATCTTGAGTCACAGAAAGGCTTTTCCTTTTTTTGGGTTATAAAGGAATCATTTATATTTTTTCCTGGTACCTGTGTAGTGTCCTTTTTTTTTTTTTTTTTTTTTTTGAGACAGAGTCTTGCTCTGTCACCGAGGCCGGATGGAGTGCAGTGGTGTGATCTTGGCCCACTACAACCTCCACTTCCCGGGTTCAGGCGATTCTCCTGCTTCAGCCTCCCAAGTAGCTGGGATTACAGGCATGCACCACCACACCCAGCTAATTTTTGTATTTTTAGTAGAGACGGGGTTTCATTATGTTGGCCAGGCTGCTCTTGAACTCCTGGCCCCAGGTAATCCACCCACCTCAGCCTTCCAAAGTGCTGGGATTACAGGCATGAGCCAATTTTTTTTTAATCCATTTGAAGTTTATCTTGATATGCAAAGTGAGGAAAAGAAGACATTTTATTTTTATCCAAAGGCTATCTAGTTGTTTTCATCATTTATTAAATTTTTTAGTCCTTTACCCATTACGTAAATTTCACTACAATAAAGAAATAGTCCTGGCCAGGCTCAGTGGTCCATGCCTGTAATCCCAGCACTTTGGGAGGCCAAGGCATGTGGACCACTTGAGCTTGGGAGTTGGAGACCAGCCTGGACAACATGGTGAAACCTCTTCTCTACAAAAATCACAAAAATTTAGCTGGGTGTGGTGGTGTGTGCCTGTAGTCCCAGCTACTCTGGAGGATCATTTGAGTCCGGGAAGCAAAGGTTGCAGTGAGCCAAGATAATGCCCCTGCACTCTAGCCTGGGACACAGAGTGAGACTTTGTCTCAAAAAAAAAAAAAAAAGTCTTCTTTCTCACTGATTAAAATGACACCTTTGTCATATGCCAAATTTCTATATAAATCCGGGTCTGTGGAGTTTCTTTTACGTGCCACTACTGTACTTTTAATTAGAGGATTTATTAATATGTTTTGATGGGTGGTAGAGGTTGTTTACCCCTCATTCATTTTGAGGATTTTCGTGGTTCCTCTTGTTTTTTTCTCACAAATAAACTTTCTAATCCCATAGACTAGTGCCAGAAAAAAATCCTGATAGTATTTTTATTGGGATTACATTAAATACAAACATTAATTTAGAATAAACGTTTTTATGATGTTGAATGTTCCTTGAAGAAATATGGTATCTTTCAATTTGTATGAATCCCTTTTGAAGGAAATATATTTCAGATTCCAAGTATTGACCTAAGTTATATTCAATCTAATATTACTTAAATTCAATAGTACTCTTAAATAATTGTGAAACTCAGTAGATTTACTCTTTAAATACAATTAAGTCTACAAAAATCCCCAAACTCACATTAGCAACATTATATTGATGTGAAACAATCTAATTTGCTGTTATCAGTTTACTGTAGTTTAAACTACAAGGACATTTATTATTGATAGGATGTTCCAGGGTTCATTCAGTTGCTAAACAATTTCATTCAGGACCCAGGCTGTTTGCATCCTTTCTTTTGCCATCCTTAGAATGGTGGCTTTTCCTTCTCTTGCTTGTCACCTTATGGTTGCAGGATGGCTGCTGCCACTCTACTTCTATCTTATCTTTACAAATAAAAAGAAGCGGGGGCCAAAGTCCTTTCCTAGCTAAGCTTGTCTTTTAATTTTTTCCCAGAAATGCAAGCTCCCCAACAGATTTTTCCCTTAAGTCTTATTGTCCAGAACTGTTCACATACCCATCCTAAAACCAATCACTGGCAGTAGGGAATGGGATTAACTATGACTGGTTTAGACCAATTTTGATTCATTCCCTTGGACTGGAGGAGAGACAACAAGAGATCTCCACTAGCTGCTCAAACAA
The DNA here is from genome assembly GCF_000001405.40 of Homo sapiens. NCBI lineage: Eukaryota > Metazoa > Chordata > Mammalia > Primates > Hominidae > Homo > Homo sapiens. The sequence continues at coordinate 74,178,477 of NC_000011.10, forward strand.
AAGTATTACAATTCTGTTAGGGAAGAGAGAGTGGGAAGTGGGCAGGTAATGTCTGGAATAGAGAATAAACAGCATCTGGCCCAAATCCTGAGGTTAACAAGTGGAGAAGCCTAATCTTCTGATTTCAACTTCCCTACTGTTTTCATTGCAGTGTAAGTATAGGAAGTAATAATCCCACCCCCAACTCCCCTGCCCCTTATTGCCAGATTTCAGCCCCTTGACATTCATTTCAGAACTTCTGAGTAAAAGTCCGTTTTTCCATTGTTGCTTATTGCCAGCAAATCTATTTCTTCTTAGTATCTCCAAAATTGGGTAATTTGCTCTTTTGTTTTATTTTAAACCTAATGAGCCTTCCATGTTATGCTACTTGATGTCAGATTTCAGAAAACATCTCTAGTTGTTTGGGAAAGACTGTTTCCTTCAAACTACAAAATAGTTTTTTTTTTTTTAAGAGAAGAAACTTTTAATTAATAGTTCTATTAAGAGGGTGGCCACACTTAGATATTCTTCAAATACAATATTGATTACAAGTTACAGGTATATTCTACCAATATATTTTGAAGATTGAATAAGAGATTATATTGAAAATTCCAATCATTTCAAACCACACCGGAAGACCGAAGTTGTTTACTTATCAGTCCTTTTCCTATATGCTTCTGTGTGTGTTTTTGGCCATAGACTTTTTCCAGGTTTAAGTAGACATCCTCTCTCTGCCACTAACAAGTTGTATGACTCTGGTCAGTTTCTCTTCCTGGGCCTCGTTATCATGGAAAGAAAGAACGCTTTGGCACCTGACGTACTTGTTTAAATCCAAGCTCCCCAGCCTGGGCAACATAGGAAAAACTTGTCTGTACTAAAACAAAACAAAACAACCAGGCATGGTGGTGCGCACCTGTTAGTCCCAGCTACTTGAGAGACTGAGATGGGAGAATCACTTGAGCCTGGGAGTTTGAGGTTGCAGTGTGCTGTGATCGTGCCACTGCACTCCAGCCTGGGAGACAGAATGAGACCCTATCTCTAAAAATAGTAATTATAAAATAAAAAGTCAAATCCAAGCTCCGGTGCTACCAAAAATGGCTCTGGGAAAGTTATTTAGTATTTCTGAGTCACCTTAAAATGAGAATACTTTAATGGTACTGTTCAAAACCATGCTTGGTACGTAATAAACACCTAGTTGTTTCCTTTCATAAAGTAAGATTTGAGTTAGATGATCTCTAACAGCATGATTCATGATGTAGTTTTTAGAATCCTGAAGTCTGCTGCTTAATGGCATGCCTTGGAGTAAGGAACACTTCAGACCTACCACAACCCTCAGCCAGCCATCTGGTTGCTTTCTTTTCATTCTCTTCAAAGTACTGCTAATAAGGACATTTTAAAAACAGTGGTGCCTTGATTTAAATAGCTGGCTGCAATTAAACTTCAGTATTTAGCCTCCACTACCAGACTCCTAGACTTTGACAGAATTTGTGACAACAAGTGATTAAGACTGCTACTGTGCCCATTCATGACTCATCAATAACTCTCTTAACAGACTTAAGCAGCCTAGATGTTGATGTGTTATTCCTATTTAGATTTGAGACATTCATGTAAAAACATACAACTTACATTTCTTGGTTATTGTTCTCTAGGCAAGGAAGGTTTTTCCTCCTTCCCTTTCTCCCCTTTCTCTCCTTCCTCCTGGCTTTCCTTAGGATTTGATCATATAATTTTGTTGGTTTTGGTCATTATCTCCTAGTAGGCATATCACATTGTAGACAAGCAGAACATTCTCTATTCTCCTTAGTCCTCTGAATTGTAATTATTGGTCAACTGTGTATTCCTCAAAACTGTTGAGGTTCATAAGGGTAGGAATTGTGTCTGAATTTTGCTGGTGCTTAGAATGCTGTCTCCTTTAGTGCTAACTGAACGAGAAACCCAAATCCTGGCCTATTTAACCCCGTTCTATAAGAACAACGTTATTTCCCCATCAGTTCCCTTAAGATGGTATAACTAGGGCTATACTGCCTTTCTCCTAAAAGCGGTTATACTTCATAGAATAATAGAATCTCTATTTCAATACCAGCTTTTAGGTAAAATGTATTGTGTTTACAATATGTTACTTTGAGATTTAAAATAATTATATGGTCGAAACTCTTGTAATAGGTCTTGTAATAGGCTTGTAATAGGTCTCATGATATGTACAGATTCAGGCTTGTTACTTTTATTTTATCAAAATTTGACAATTTATGTCTTCCTCTTTGATTCCCCAAACCTGAAAGCAAGTCCACTATTATAAGACAGCAAATGTCAATTAGCAATTATTTTCACACTAGCCTTATTTTATAGTATTCAATTTTTCTGCCCTTGCCCAATTTATCACTTATTCTCTAAGAGCGAAGACTATTTTCCAAGCACCTTCACCAAGTTTAGGGACCAGAGCAAGTGGTCCACCATTAAAGGCTAGTGTTAAAAGCGCTCCAAAGTCATGTCCTAAGCAGTGGTAATTTCCTAAGTGTTTCTTGCACTTAACAATTGCCAAGTTTATTTTGTTGGCAATGCCTTCCATTTTCTTCACTTTTTTTTTTTTTTTTTTTTTTTTTGAGACGGAGTCTCGCTTTGTCGCCCAGGTCGGACTGCGGACTGCAGTGGCGCAATCTCGGCTCACTGCAAGCTCCGCTTCCCGGGTTCACGCCATTCTCCTGCCTCAGCCTCCCGAGTAGCTGGGACTACAGGCGCCTGCCACCGCGCCCGGCTAATTTTTTTTTTGTATTTTTAGTAGAGACGGGGTTTCACCTTGTTAGCCAGGATGGTCTCGATCTCCTGACCTCATGATCCACCCGCCTCGGCCTCCCAAAGTGCTGGGATTACAGGCGTGAGCCACCGCGCCCGGCCCACTTTTTCAACTCCTATCCATCTTTAAAACTCATGAAGCACTTTCAGACTACTTTAGTTCATTCATTTGCTCTCTCTTCTCTGAGCACCTATAACAATTTTGGCATCTCCACTCATCAATTGTTTGCATTGGTATTGTACTTTTTCACTGTTACTGTGTCAGACTTATCGAAGATAATTTTATGCAGATTTTTGTGTGTTTCCTCAATAACATTTAGAACTCCTGTAGTGCAAGGACCTTTGTTTCTTTGTGCTTTCTACTGTAACACAGTTAAATGTTTTTGTAAAATTTAATTTAATGGACACATAGCACAAATTCATTTAAAATAAAGTTCTGAGGCTTTTTCTGATCAGTCCAGCTTGCACCGATTTTTCTATTTTCTGTCCTTTGGTGGCACCTGTCATTTTACCAGGAATCAGCAAACATTTTCTGTTAAAAGCCAGATAGTATTTTAGGCTTTGTGGGCCATGTTAGTCTCTGTTGCAGCTACTCAGCTCTGCTGTTTTAGAGTGAAAGTAGCCACAGACAATATGTAACTGAATGTGTCTGTGTTCTAACAACACTTTATGGACACTGAAATTTGAATTCCACATAATTTCCACATGTCATTAGTCTCTCTTCTCCCCCTGCCCTCCACCTTTTAAAAATGTAAAGATCATTCTCTGATCCTGGGCCATGCAAAAATAGGTGGTGGGCTGGATTTCCCGTAGGCTGTAGTTTGCCAACCCAGTTAGTTCTATACTTCTACTGTCTTGTAGTAGAAGGAAGGTAGGTTTTAAAATCAACAAACTAGGATTCTCTTCCTGGCTTTACTACTTACCGCTTAACTGGTGCAAACTTGACTTTATTTTTTTTTAAATGTAGATAATAATGCTAGCCTCATAGAATTTTTGAGGAGAAAATGAGATGATTTATGTGTAGAAATATTATTTAAATTGGAAAACTGTCTAATGGAAACTTACTGTATTTCCTCAATTCTAAGATACATTTCTTTTTTACATTTAAATTGATAATGTCTTTTTTTTTTTGAGACAGAGTTCTCACTCTGTCACCCAGGCTGGAGTGCAGTGGCATGATCTCGGTTCACTGCAACCTCTGCCTCACAGGTCCAAGCAACCCTTCTGCCTCAGCCACCCGAGTAGCTGGGTTTACAGGTGTGTGCCACCACGCCTGGCTAATTTTTGTATTTTTAGTAGAGACAGGGTTTCACCATGTTGGTCAGGCTGGTCTCAAACTCCTGACCTCAAGAGATCTGCCCACCTTGGCCTCCTAAAGCATTGGGAGATAGTGTCTTAACAATGCTGTTGGTCAGGTAACAATTCTAACATGGTTCTCATTGCCTGAACATAAGTGAACACCAAAACCAGAATCAAAATTTACAAAACGTATACATGTTGAGAACTTCTTAGAGGTAAAACTGGACTGCTCTTTTAACCACTAGGAACTGAATGCTTGTGAGGAGGCGTGGGTGTTCAATCGGGTGGGTTGAGCAACATTCCTAAAGTGAGAGTCAAAAGTAAGGCTGAGGCCAGGCACCATGGTTCATGCCTGTAATCCCAACACTTTGGGAGGCTGAGGTGGGAGGATTGCTTGAGCTCAGGAGTTCAAGACCAACCTGGGCAACATAGCTAGACCTTGTCTCTACCAAAAAAAAAAAAAAAAGTACGGGCTGGTGCAGTGGCTCACGCTTGTAATCCCAGCACTTTTGGAGTTCGAGGTGGGAGGATTGCTTGAGCCCAGGAATTTGAGACCAGCCTGGGCAACATAGTGAGACCACATCGCTACAAAAAGTTAAAAAATTAGCCAGGCATGGTAGCATGTCCCTATAGTCCCAGCCACTGGAGAGGCTGAGGTGGGAGGATGAATTGAGCCCAGGAGGTTGAGATTGCAGTGAGCCATGATCGTGACACTGTACTCCAGCCTGGATGACAGAGGGAGACCCTGTCTCAAAACAAAACAACAACAAAAAAAGTAAGATAGCTCTAAATAATTGTAAAGCTGGCATATGAACTGGTGTTTAGTTATATGAAACATTCCATCACCAATGTTCTTGTGAGGCACAGAAAACTATATTGGTCCAAGTGATTCAAAAGAGAGTGGGACTCCAACTATGAAGAAATGGTCAGGAATACCTTAAGTATTTTATTCTGCTTTCATTTATATATATTATATATATGTCTCCATAAGTAATATATAATGGATCTATATAAGTGTAAAAGAGCTATTTCTTCTATAGAAAAATAGAATGAATTCTTTTTTATATAAAAAATGTAAAATGAATTCTAAGTGATAAAGTATTGTGTCATACTTGATAGTTCTTTTTCTTAGTTTTTCATCTTACAAATTCTTTTTCTTAGCTTTTCATCTTACAAATTGATGGTGCCTTGTACATACTGTATTTCATCTATTCTAGCAACAAGATTGTGATCTGCTTGTTTAGTTTTCTTAATTGTAAACTCCTTTTGTATGTTATTTACTTGTCCTAAGGCAGTTAGCATTTAGGAGCTCAATAAACATTTGTTGAGTGAATGAATGACACTCAGATGCAATGGAAACATCACATTTTCCCAATAGCAATAGTTTAGAATTGTCCATCCTGAATTTAATAGAGAAGTAAATGGGAGGGAGGAGCCATAGACTTAGAGTGAAATTTAAAAAATATGATTATTGAAAGCTTGCAAAAATGAACTCGTGCCCTATTTATATTCTTTTGTGATTCCATATTTATATCTCTCTGTCTTTATTCTTTTAAGAAATATATCTTAGGTGGCTGTGAGGATTAAATTTGTATAATGCTTATAAAGTGCCTAGTACATATACATGTCTAGCTTGTTTCATTTAATCCTTTTCATTCCTTTAATTAAACAGCTTTTCCTTAAGCATAAGAACCATTGTTCATTATATATAAAAACCACTTTTAATTGAGTTTTTCTCTGTTAATTAACTGAACTATATTATTAGCTGGGTTTCATAAAAAATGGCATTTTAGCATATTATGGATAAGTAGGCTTGGGAGTGGAGCTACTCATAGAATTTACCAATATTTTATAACACTGTTGGGAGAAATGTGTCTTGGTATTCCCACCATCAACTCATTTTTAAGTTGGAAAATCTCTATACTAACATTTTTTCACTGATTATTGGGAATTCTAATCTTTTGTGGGTAATTAGAGGATTTGTACTTTTGCCTCTTCCCTAACCAGATTGATGTTTAGTAAGGGTGGTACTTTAAATTTTTATAGCATTTGATTTAACAAAATCTTCACGCCAGATATCATCCTTGTGAATCCTTTTCCCATCTAATTATATTAACATGTGTTCCACAAGAAAGACTGGGTGTGCCGTTTATGAGCTCTGATGGATTATTTCATAGCCATAGTGTACAGTGACTGTTTACCTATTTCCCCCCTGCATGAGCTCTTTGAAGGAAAGGACTAAATTTTAATCAATGGGAACTTCTAGTCTGCTTGTTTCCCTAGTGCCTAGGAAGTATATCAGGGCCTGCCATGCAGGATGTACTCAAAATGTCTCTTCAATTGAATTGAGATTAAATTAGCTGCTTATATAAGCAAATTGTGACTGGAAAGAAGCTCTGAAATGATTGCCCTAATGATATTTACTGTTTGCTTATGAAGTATGTCTTTTTTTTTTTTTTTTTTTTTTTTTTTTGAGACAGAGTCTCACTCTGTCACCCAGGCTGGAGTGCAGTGGCGCAATCTCAGCTCACTGCAACCTCCACCTCCCGGCTTCAAGCGATTCTCCTGCCTCAGCCTCCTGAGTAGCTGGGATTACAGGCACATGTCACCACAACCGGCTAATTTTTGTATTTTTAGTAGAGATGGGGTTTCACCATGTTGGTCAGGCTGGTCTCGAACTCCTGACCTCGTGATCCACCCACCTTGGCCTCCCAAAGTGCTGGGATTACAGGTGTGAGCCACCGCGCCTGGTCTGAAGTATGTCTTTTATTCTAGATCATCATGACATTCAGATGAGTCTGGGGAGGGGATCGTATGGCTGTTGGTCTGAAATATACTTCATTAGAGGCTTTTATATGAACCTCATTGGTTTTTAAACTTGAAACCTGCTTGTTTTCTTGCTGTTTTGGCAGAATAGTAGCTTACATAAATGCTGACTATTGGGTAATGCCACACACGTTGATTTTGAGGGTAAGCAACTGCATTAGCCTTTGCAAAACATCAAAAAGTCTGTATTCTGTCTGTTCTCTTGCTTTCATTAATGGTGTTTCAGTGGCTTTTTTTTTTGTTTGAGGCCAGATCATTTTAGAAAAGTTGTCATTATATCTTTTTTTTTTTTTTTTAACTTTTCGAGTTGTAGAAAAAGAAGTTAATAATTATGTTGTTTTCCTGTTGGGTGAAAGGTGGAAATAAAATTTAGAAAATTTATTTTCTAATTTAGGCAAAGTACAATTCTTTATTATCAAAGGTATAAGATTACACCTGTTCTCCCTGTGCTACAGCAGTCTGTGTTTATCCATGCACTTTAAGCAAAGTATATTTTTATGTGGTCTGACTCAGCAGGTTGGAAGTTCCTATGGCTTAAGTATCTTATCTGAAGATGGTTTTAAGTGAGGTAAGGTTTCATTTATTTGCTTGAAAGCACATCATATATTGGGCTGTACGTGTCCTGTTCTGCTTAATGCAAGACATTTTGTGAAATGCTTCTGTTTCCATTTTTGGATTCCACGATGCTCAACACAGAAAAGTAATAGTAATGGGAGCTAGGATTTTCAAGCACATGGTAAATCAGTATTTAATAAATTAGAACTCTTTAAGAAGGCCTTCTGTATTCTCTGTCTGTGAATGGCATCAGGAAAACTTGAGAGTTTTCCTTGATTCTTCCTTCTCACTTCACTCTTCAGCTCCCTGTGATCATGATCATAATAGTTCTAAACCTTGACTTTGTTCTTAGTCTATATGGTGCTCAACCTTGCTACAAGGTTCTTCTCCCAATCATTACTATCCCTACAGCAGGAACCAGTCCTCTTCCTAGGGATTTTCAGGGTGTTCATTGCCAGCTTTGATGATTTCAAGAATGGGGAACTTAATATTATTTTGAGGATAGTATTGAAAATGGTAAGGAAATAACCCTGAGAGTCAGATTCTAGCTCAGCTACTTCCCATGGTCTTAGACAAGTTATTTAAACTCCATTGGCCTTAGTTTTCTCGTTTGGAAAATGGGGATAATAATAGCTACCCCAGAGGCTTGGTGTAGAAATTAATTCCTGTGTTTATCTCCATTGTCTCCTCAAATTTCATTAAGTTATAGTAATTTGGAAAAAGGAATAAAGCTAAAGGACAAAGAAGAGTAGGGATATAAGATGCTAACAAAATTTAGGAAGCTAGAAAGCAAGTTGATAAATATTTAGAAGAGAAAACTGAAAACTACTTGTAGAAAGAGAATGAAAGTGCAAGCTAATCCATATCACTATCCTATAAAGGCTCAAGAATTCCAGGTACTAGGTGCCTGTGAAAGGGGGCTTAGAGTTTTCTTCTAAGAGTTTTCTAGTTTTGGCTCATACATGCAAGTCTGTGATCCATTTTGAGTTAATTTTTATGTATGATATGAGGAATGAGTCCAACTTCATTCTTTTGCATGTGGATATCCAGTTATCCCAGTATGATTTAATTGAAAAGGTTTCTTTTCCTATACAGTTATCTTGGCATCCTTGTCAAAAGTCAATTGACCATAAATGTATGTGTTTGTTTTTGAACCCTCAATTCTATATCATTGATTTATATATCGATCAGTATACTGGTACTACACTGTCTTTTGATTACTGTAGCTTTTTGTAGTAAGTTTCGAAATCAGGAAGTATAATGTTTCCAACTTTGTTCTTTTTTAAAAAACTTATTTTGGGTCCCTTGAATTTCCATATGAATTTTAGGGTGAGTTTGTCAACGTCTGCAAAGAAACCAGGTGTAATTTTGATAGGCATTGCTTTGAATCTATAGATCAATTTGAGAAGTATTGCCAACTTAATAATACTCAGTGTTCTAATCCATGAACACTGGATGTCTTTCTTTTTATGTCTTTTTTAATTTCTTCAACAGTATTACATAGTTTTCAGTGTTTAAATCTTGCATTTATTTGGCTATATTTATTCCTGCATATTTTATTCTTATCAGTGGTATTGTAAATAGAATTGTCCTCTTGATTTTATTTTTGGATTGTTAATTGCAAATTACAGAAATACAATTGATTTTTATATATTGGTCTTATTTTCTGAAACCCTACTGAAATTGTTCCTGTGGTTTTTTTAGTGGATTCCTTAGGATTTTGCCCTACACATTTTAACATGTATAGGTAATATACAAGTCCAAGTTTAATCAATATCTCTGCTGTTCTTCTGAAATAATACAATGACTTTAGCAACCTGTGGCAGGTGGAATAACAACATCCCCAGGATGCTGAGGTCTGAATCCCTGGAACCTGTGAATATGTTATTTTACATGGCAGAGAGGAATTAAGGTTGCAAATGGAATTAAGGTTGCTAATCAGCTGACCTTAAAATAAAGAGAATATCATGGATTATTTGGGTAAGCCCAGTGTAATCACTGGTGTCTTTTAAAGAGAAGGAAACAGAAGACCAAGTCAGAGCCTGAGAGATTTGAAGATGCTGTGTTGCTTGCCGGCTTTAAAGTGGAGGAAGAACCTGTAAGCCAAGAAATACAGGCTGCCTCCAGAAGCTGGAAATGGTATTTAGACCTCTCAATCTGGGCACTAGACTAACTCATTGCTACTATTCTGGTTATTGCTTATAGGCCTTTGTAGTAGACATATCTAGAATCGTGAGTTCATATTGATATTTCTTCCTTTTTCTCTTTTTTTTTTTTTTTTGAGATGGAGTCTCGCTCTCACCCAGGCTGGAGTGAAAGTGGCACTATCTCGGCTCACTGCAACCTCCGCCTCCCGGTTTCAAGCAATTCTCTGCCTCAGCCTTCTGAGTAGCTGGGATTACAGGCGCCTGCCACCACACCTGGCTAATTTGTGTATTTTTAGTAAAGATGGGGTTTCACCATCTTGGCCAGACTGATCTTGAACTCCTGACCTCATGATCTGCCTGCCTCGGCCTCCCAAAGTGCTGGGATTACAGGGGTGAGCCACTGCGCCCAGCCCATACTGATATTTCAAAAGGAAGGACAAAAGGAATCAAGCGTTCACCCTGACATTTTCATTTCAAAATTAAGATTATAGGGTTTTTTACTTTTTTGATTTTTATATAATTATCTCTTCCCTTAACAACGAAAGTCTTGGTTCCTAATGACATTAACCTAACTACCTATTTGCTTTATCCAAATATGTATGTATATGGTGCTCAAAATAACAAACTGTGCTACCATTAAAAATAACCAACAATATGATTACTGAATACTGTTTAAAATTTATTTTCAGTTCTTTTTTTTCCTTAAAGTATATTTATCCCACTAAAGATGTGCAGTCAAATAATTGTTTTTAAAGTCACTTGGAATAATTCTTAATACACCATTAAGGTAATTTGTTCTCTTTTATGTTAATTGTGGTAATTGATTTGTACAAAGTGTTTAACATGCTTATAAAACAAAAATTATTTACATGACTACAATGTTGAAGTATAAAACAATATATATTCAGGAAAGTATAGCTTTTTTGTTTGTAATATCCTACAAGTAACTATTTTCATTAGTCTCTGCTTTTATCAATGCACTTCAAAATATGTAAACATACAGTTATATTTCCCCCTTACATAAAAGATAACATTGGCCAGGTGCATTGGCTCACACCTGTAATTCCAACACTTTGGTAGGCCAAAGCAGGCAGATCACTTGAGCTCAGGAGTTCAAGACCAGCCTGGGCAATGTGGTGAGACCCTGTCTCTATTTAAAATTAAAAAATATAATAAATAAATAAAATAGCATACATATGGTTCTGCATATTGCTTTACTTATTTATTTATTTATTGAGACAAGGTCTCACTCTGTCACCCAGGCTGATGTGCAGTGGCGTGATCATGGCTCACTGCAGCCTTGACTCCCTGGGCTCAAGCTGTTCTTCCACCTCATCCTCCTTAATAGTTGGGACTGCAGGTGTGCACCACCGTGCCCCCTAATTTTTGTATTTTTCATAGAGACAGTGTTTTGCCATGTTGCCTAGGCTGGTTTCAAACCCCTAGGCTTAAGCAATCCACCCACCTCGGCCTCCCAAAGTGCCGGGATTGCAGGCATGAGCCACTGCACCTAGCTTGCACCTGGCTTGCCTACTGGTTTTTAAAATTTAAGATATTCTAATCACTTCTTATTAGTACACAGAAATCTTTTCCATTATTTTCCCTGCAGTTGCATAGTATTCTGTTGTATGGACATAACCCAGTGTATTCAGCCAGTCTCCTGTTGATGGCCATTGGGTGTTTTTCATCCTTTTCTCTTTCAAATAGTGCTGAAATGAGCAAAATTTACTCATATGTCATTTAGTATTTTGGGGGTTAGGGCCACTTTTAAGATAATTGTCTTTAATGTTCTACAGTTTTACCATAATGTATTACTTCTCTTTAAATCTTGTGATTCACTGGGCTTCATGAATCTGTAGTTTGATGTTTCCTCAGTTCTGAAAACTTCAGCCACAGGTTAAACATTCCTAATCTGAAAATCTGCACTGCTGCAAAATCTGAAACTTTTTGAGTGCTGACATGACACAAGTCAAAACAGAGCAAGAAATGATGTCAGTTTATAAAATGAGAGACAGACTTTCAAGACAAAAACCATTGTTAATGAAGCAGATGACTGGAAAAAAATTTTTAGAAAGCCACCTAGCAGCATGCATTCTCATCCCTAGAGGACCCACCTTCTGGTCCCTTGATAGGGTTAGAATGTTTGTCCCCTCCAAATCTTACATTGAAATGTAATCACCAATGCTGGAGGTAGGGCCCAGTGGAAAGTATTGGGTCATGGGGGCAGATCCCTTATGAATGGCTTAGTGCTATCCCCTTGGTAATGAGTGAGTTCTGGTTCTGAGTTCAGTCGAGATCAGGTTGTTTAAAAGAGAGTGGTGCAGATCCCTGCTGTCGGCTCCCACTCTTGCCATGTGATGTGGCTGCTCCAGCTTTACCTTCCACCGTGATTGTAAGCTTCTGAAGCCCTCACCAGAAACAGATACTGGTAGCATGCTTCTTGTACAGCCTGCAGAACTCCAAGCCAAAATAAACCTGTTTTCTTTATCAATTACCCAGCCTCAAGTATTTCTTTATAGCAGTGCAAGAATGGACAACACAGAAAATTGATACCGAAGAGTAGGATGTTGCTATAAAGATAACTGAAAATGTGGAAGCAGTTTTGGAACTGGATAACGGGCAGAGGTTGGAAGAGTTTGGAGGACTCAGAAGAAGACAGGAAGATGAGGAAAAGTTTGGAACTTCTTAAAGACTTGGTTAAATAATTTTGACCAAAATGCTGATAGAAATATGGACAGTGAAAGCCAGGCTAATGAGGTCTCAGATGGAAATGAGGAGTTTATTGGGAACTGGAGTAAAAGTCATCATGTTATGCCCTAGCAAAGAGTTTGCCTGCATTGTGTTGTTCATGCCATAGGAACCTGTAAAAAGTTGAACTTGAGAGTGATCAAGAGTATCTGGCAGAAGAAATTTCTAAGCAGCAAAGCATTCAAGAGGTGACCTGGCTGCTTCTCACAGCCTGGTATCAGATACAGGAGCAAAGGAATGACTTAAAGTTCGACTTTATAGGCCAGGTGCACTGGGAGGCCAAAGTGGGAGGATTGTTTGAGTTCAGGAGTTTGAGACCAGCTTGGACAACATAGTGAGACTTCGTTTCTACTAAAAATAAAAGAAGTTATCAGCTGGATGTGGTGGTATATGCCAGTAGTCCCAGCTAGTCCAGAGGCTGAGGCAGGATGATCACTGAAGTCTGGGAGATTGAAGCTGCAGTGAGCTGTGATCATGCCACTGCACTCTAGCCTGGACAACAGAGTGAAACCCTGTCTGAAGAAAAAACAAAGTTGGTACTTATTTTAAAATGGGAGCAGACTGTAAATGTTTGGAAAACTTGCAACCTGGCCCTCTGGTAGAAGAGGAATCCAGGAGGGCTTTGGAGTAACCACTTACTAGAGAGATTTGCATGACTAAAAGGGAACCAATTGTTAATATCTAAGACAATGGGGGCAAGGTTTCAAAGTTGTTTCAGATGTCTTTGGGAAGGTCCCTCTCATCACAGGTCCAGAGACCTAGGAGGAGAGAATGGTTTCAGGGCCCAAGCCCAGGGCACTGCTGCCCTGCTCAGCCTCAGGACTCTGCACCTTGTATCCTGGCTACTCATGCTCCAGCCAGGGCTCAAAATGCCCCAGGCACAGCTTGGGCCGCTGCTCTAGAGGGCACAAGCACTGTAAGCCTTGACCACTTCCATGTGGTTGGTAAGCCTGCATGCACATAGAATGCGAGAGTGAGGAAGGCTAGGTAGCTTCTGCCTAGATTTCAGGGCATATATGAGAAAGCCAGGGTGCCCAGGTAGAAGCCTGCTGCAAGGGCAGAGCCCCTGCAGAGAAACTTTGCTAGGGCAATGCTGAGGGGAAATGGGGGGTTGGAGCCCCCGTCAAAGACCCCACTGGAGCGTCACCTAGTGGAATTGTGGGAAAGGGGCTGCCACACTTCAAACCTTAGAATGGTAGAGCCACCGGCAGCTTGCATCCTGAGCATGGAAAAGCTGCAGGCACTCAGCTCTAACCTCTGAGAAAAGCTGGCAGGGCTATACCCTACAAGCAATAGGTAGAGCTGCCCAAGGCCTTGGGAGCCCACCCCTCACACCAGTGTGCCCTGGATGTGGGACATGGAGTCAAAAGAGATTATTTTTGGAGCTTTAAGATTTAATGACTACCCTGCTGGGTTTCAGACTTTCATAGGGCTTGTAGCACCTTTCTTTTAGCCAGTTTCTCCATTTTGGAATGGGAATGTTTACCCAATGCATGTACCACCATTGTATCTTGGAAGTAAATAATTTGTTTTGGTTTTACAGGCTCATAAGTACATCTCAGGCTGCTTCCACCTTATAGGTGGAAGGAGATGAGTCTTAGATGAGACTTAGGACTTTGGACTTGATGCTGAAACAAGTTAAGACTTTGGGGGAACTATTGAGAAGGGGTGATGGTATTTTGCAATGTGAGAAGGAGATGAAATTGAGGGGCCAGGGGCAGAATGATATGGTTTGGATGTTTGCACCCTCCAAATCTCGTGTTGAAATGTAATCCCCAATGCTGGAGGTGGGGCCTAGTGGGAGGTGTTGGATCATGGATGCAGATCCCTCATGAATGGTTTATTGCCATCACCTTGGTAATGAGTGAGTTCTTGCCCTGAGTTCTCTCCAGATCTGGTTGTTTAAAAAGAGTGTGGCACCTCCCCCTTCTCTTGCTTCTGCTCTCACCTTGTGACACAGATGCTCCCACTTCACCTTCCACCATGATTATAAGCTTCCTGTGGCCCTTACCAGGAACAGATGCTGGTACCATGCAGAACCATTAGCCAGTTAAACCTTTTTATAAATTACCCAGTCTCAGGTATTATGTTACAGCAAGAACAGACTTAACACATCCCTCAGCTGCTTCTGATGTTTCTTCTCACCTAAAAAAATAAAATACCGTGTTCAGTAACTTTTTAATCAAACACAACATTGTAGGTGGGAGACTGAAAGCCTGCCATTGTTGGTTGTTGCTTTTATTTAATAACTGGTAGAGGTGTTCTGTGATGTTACTGTGCTGGTTGGTTACCCTGAGTACATTATGTTTTTTCACTGTATTAATGGTATGTTGTATCTTTTACTGTTAAGTACTTATGTGTGAATAAGTGTAATAAAAATGATTATTAGTAACGTGTAAGTTCAATCAGGAATGATGGTGATGCCAAACAACCATAGATTTTCCACATGGGTGGCTAAGATAGTGACACCGTTGCTTTCTGATGGTTCAGTTTACACAAACTTTGTTTTGTGCACAAAATTATTAAAAACATTGTTTAAAATTACCTCCAGGCCATGTGTATAAGGTCTTTATTAAACATAAATGAATTGTGTGTTTAGACTTAGGTCCCATCTCCAGGATATCTCATTGTGTATATGCAGATAATCCAAAATTAAAAAGGAAACAATAAACTGAAATTTGAAACCCTTCTGGTCCCAAGCATTTTGGATGAGGGATACTCAACCTGTACGGCCTCTTCAAATACTGCTTTTATTTCACTGTCTTTATTTCCTTTCAGAACTTCAGTTTGACATATTTAAGACTTATTTACTCTTCCCTTCATATTTCTTAACTTTTGTATTTTCCATCTTCTATTTGTATTTTGGATTCTAAATGTATCTAGATGTATCTGAACAAATTCACTACTAGTTTACGCTTCTCCTTAGCTGTGTCTAATATGTTAAACTTGACTATTTGTTTTTTAATTTTAATTCTTTTCATTCTAGGAGCTTGTTTCAAGTTTCTGTTCATTTAAATGTGTTAAGCAGTTATTTTATATTGTATTTGATAATTTCTTTATGTGAACTCTTTACAGGTCTGTTTCCTCACGTATTTTATGCTTTTTGATTGTGAGATGGTCATTTGCCTTGGAACTTTCTTAAAGTTCTTAGTCCTAGAATGAAGATTGATTCTTCAAAGAGGATTTGCCTTTGTTTCTCTTGGGGGTCCTGAGGGCACTACCAGTTGGATCCACTTTACATTCTCATCTTGAAACTTCTTGGGATATGTAAATGATATGTATTTAGCTCCATATCAGTTTGAGAGCTGTCTTTGTTTTTTCTTGCTTCTCCCTTCTCAATGCTAAGTTTTAAGACAGGCCTTTTTTTATTTTATTTTTTATTTTTTAATTTAATCCTGAGATTGTGGTAAGAAGCAGAAAGTTAATTCTGTTTCAGCCTTTCACTGAGCTTATGATTCTTTGGGATCCCAGCTTGATGGAGAAAGGTTTCCTACTGGGCTCCGCAGCAAGACTTCCCACCTCGGGCTTTGTGTCCTGTTCTGTGTGCATCGCAAAACTTCAAGTTCAGACAGTTGGCAAATGCCATCAAGGTAAAAGCCAGATTTAATGGTCTAAGTGCCTCTCTGGATTCCCACCTTACTTAACTTTTGACCTGGGTCTTCCCTGTTCCTTACTTTCTTGCCAGCTCATCTATGCGTTTAAGAAGAACGAATGACTATATAATTACAATATATAAGATCATTATATATAATTATTTAATAATTATACACTATGATTGTATAAATATAACATCTATTTATATAATATTTTTCACACAAATACTTACATATAATTTTAGCCAATATTTCTCAAGTTGGATCTATTAATTACCATAGACAGAAGCAGTCCCTAATATAAGATGTCTATACTCAGGCAGACTGTCAGTCATTGTGTGAAAATGGGGAACGCTATTTTCAACATGCAAAGTTTCAAAATTAATGTCCCTTTCTCATGAAGCTGATGGAGGATGTGTTTCATCAAAATAAGAGACTACAACAAGAAAAATATGGGATATGGGATAAGGGATTCAACACAGGTGAAAGGCAAGAAGAATTCCTGAGATGATACTAAATTGTTAGCAGTTCATTATATCAGACAGCAGGCAGTCCTATTTGGAGCAGATGAATGGAGGATGCCAGAAATGGAAATTTGAGTGAAAAATAGACCTGGTAGATTATTTAATGTGAATGACCAAATATTAAGAGAAGTTTTACAGAATTCAAAGGCTTTATTTGTTTAAAATTGTGAAATACTCATACAGAAAAGTAAAGTATATATGTACAGTTCAAAGAATAATAAATTCTCATGTGTCCGTCACCTAGCTTAAGAAATAAAACATTATCAGCACCTTAGAAACCTGTTTGTCTCTCCTCGAGAGCATCTCTGTTTCCCACACTGGTATTGAATTGCATGATAATCAGTGCCTGGCTTTTCTTTATTGTTTTACCACTTGTGCATGTATACATTAAAAATACATTATTTAGCTTTGCCTGTTTTTGAACACTATTATTAATGGAATTATACAGGATTCAGTCTTCTGTGCTTATTTCTTTCTCTAAGTATTTTTCAGATTCATGTACTTTTAAATTTATTTTCACTGCTATGCTATATTCTATTACCCAGATACATCACAGTTTGTATATTCTATTGGTGATGCATATTTAGCTTGCTTCTTATTCTTTGCTTTTATAGACATGTGTCTACAAACATTCTTATATGTGTGTTTTGATGCCTATGTGCAGGAGGTTCTCTGTAAAGTAAAATTACCAGGTTGAAGGACACCTGTCTAATTTTATTAGGTGATGCCTTACAGTTTTCCAAATAATCTTCCCTGTTTCCTTGTTAATACCTGTTAATGTCTGGCTTCCTATATTTTGTCAACATGATGGATGTGAAATATGATACTTCACTGTAATTTAAATTTTATGTATCTTAAATTGGAAACCTTTTCATATCTTTATGGGCTGTTTGTGTTTCCTCCTTAGGGAAAAGCATATTAATGTCTTTTGCCTATCAAAAAGTTTTGGGAAACAGTTAGTGACACTTTAATAGAAAACTAAGCAAACAAAATTAAAAAGACAATTATTCTGGAAAAAAGCAAAAAGTTGTACAAGAAGTACAATTGGTATACCATGTGGCTCAACTATAAACAGTGTTTCTATAATGACTAACAGGAAGTACTTACTAATAATCACTTTGCAAAGCTTACAGTTGAAGAAATTGAGACAGATTAATTTGCCAACAGTCACATAGCTTGTAATTATTGGAAATGAAATTTAGACTAAAAGAATCTGACTTCAGAGCCCATGTTCTTATCCATGAAACTATGCTTATTTCTCTCTGTATGTAGCCATAGTATGAAAATGGCATATAGTTTAATGAAAAGGATTTTATTTTAATGAAGTTCAAGTCCTGTGTCTTTTTTATCACTTCTGCTTTGGGTGTTGTATCTAAGAAATTGTTGCCTAACCTAAGATCACAGAGTTTTACTCGTTTTTTACTTCTCAGAGTTTTATAGTTTTAGCTCTTGTATTTAGGTTTATGATACACTTTGAGTTAATTATGTATATGGTGTGAGGAAGGGGTCTGGATTTGTACTTTTGCATGTGGATATCCAGTTGTCCCAATATCATATCCCCCATTGAATTTATCTTGGCCCCTTTGTTGAAAATCAGTTTGTTACAGGAAAGGGGTCCCAATCCAGACCTGAAGAGAGGGTTCTTGGATCTCACTCAAGAAAGAATTCAGGGCGAGTCCACAGTGCAAAGTAAAAGCAAGTTTACTAAGAAAGTAAAGTGAAAGAACAGCTACTCCATAGACAGAGTAGGACGTTCCCGAAAGTAAGAGGAGGAACATATCCACTCTAAGTATAATGCTTGTATATATGGGGAGATGTGTTCTGCTACAAGGGTTTGTGATAAAGGATTAATTTCTTAATTAACTATTTTTGCAAGAATGGATATTATAAACTTTAAAGCAAAATTAGGAATGCCTTTGTTCTCCAGATATCAGGATAGCTGGAAGCTCCCAAGTGTGGGTCTGTTTAGTAAACATTATTAATTTGTTCCCTTAACCATAAACACCTAGAGGCTAGGAATGCCTAACTTTCTGAGAATGCAGCCCGGCAAGTCCCAGCCTCATTTTCCTAGCCCTCAGTCAAAATGGAGTGGCCTGGTTCAAATGCCTCTGACAAATTGACTATAAATACTAGTTTATTTCTGGACTTTTGATTGTATTTAGGTGATCTCTATGTCTGTTCTTATACCTGTACCACAGTCTTGATTGGTGTAGTATCCCATTCGCTTTTACTAGAAAGTTTATAAGGATTAAGTAAGGATTATTAGCCTCAAAGCTATTTAATAATAGTAATAAATATTTATTGAGAAACCCAGCTAAGTGCTTTATGCACATTAATTCACTTCAGACTGTCAACAGATATTAGTCATTGATGTGTATCAGGCTCTGGGCTGGGAATACATCAGTGAACTAATGGAGAACCTTCTTGCTCTAATGGATCTCACATTAGTGGTGAATTAATTGGGGTGACTGGAGGATAATAACAAATATGGGAATAAGATAATTTTAGAAAATGATTAGTTTTATGATAAATAGAACTGACTAATTTGAGAGTAACCAAGAGATGAAAGGGCATCTTTGATCCTCATAATAACGCCTATAAAATTGGTACTATAATCCCCTAACATGAAGAAACTCAGGCTTACAGAACTGAAGTGACTGCCCAAAGTCCCATAGTTTAATAAAGGCAGAACTGGGTTGTGAAAATAAACCTTTAGTTGGTAGCAAATGGAAAATGAATTCAGGTTCAGGAACTGATAAGAATGCAGTATCTCCTAATTCCTTTTCTCTTTCTGCTGGAAATAGGTTGTTAAGGTCAAATTATAGGCTAAGGGTTCTTAATTTGGGATTCGTAGATAGGTTTCTTGAAACCAGTGGAATTATAGCAAAATACATGTGCATGCATGAACCCTCTGGATTGAGGGTTCATAGCTTTCATCAAATTCTGAACATGGTCTGTGATAATAGCAAAAGATCCATAAACACATTTGATTCATGTGACTCAGGCAGATACCATATTTTCTTTGTGTCTTTCACAGCACCACTTTGTCTCCTCTCTGTCAAACTTCTTCCTTTGGCAATAGGAGGGGGGAGGAAATTATTTATTTATTTTGTTAGGTTTGAAATAAATTGTATTCTAACGTAAAAAAATTATACAGTTACCTACCAGAGTAGATTTTTATTTATAAACTGTAGGACTTAATTATTAATTTCTCTGTTCAAAACTTTAAAATTGACTTTGATTCTGCTGTCAATCATCTTTCATATCTTGAACATTCCCAAGATTTGTTCATTGCCTTTGAAAGGTCATTCTATGTTTTCTTGCTTTTAATTCCATTGCCAGTTAAGTCTCCCATTTTTTTCTCTTTTTTCTTTGTCAACCCTATTAACTGATCCCATCCTTTTCTAGCCAGGTTATTGCAACATATTTTTTCCCAGAATCAAGTCCATCTTGTGCCTGTAACCAGATTGATCTTTCTGAAATACTTTTATCTTTACATTTTATCGACTCTTCATTTTCTTTTCTTGTTTGTTTGATTTTTGGAGACAGGGTTTCGCCTTGTCCCCCAGGCTGGAATGCAGTGGTGTGTTCACAACTCACTGCATCCTTGATCTCCTGGTCTCAAATGATCCTCCTGCCTCAGCCTCCTGAGTAGCTAGAGCCACAGGTGCACTACCTAATTTTTTTTTGTTTTTAGTAGAGACGAGGTCTTGTTGTGTTGCCCAGGCTGGCCTCGTTCTCCTGAGCTCAAGCAATCCTCCCCCCTTGACCTCCAAAGTGCTGGGATTGCAGGCATCAGCCACCACGTCCAGCCTGGCTCTTCATTTTCTCCCATCCAAGTACTAACCAGGCCTGACCCTGCTTAGCTTCCGAGATCAGATGAGATCGGGTGCATTCAGGGTGTTACGGCCATAGACTGGCTCTTCATTTTCTAGGATATCATCCATGACTGTTGGGCCACTCCAAAAAATCACACACATACAAATAACCGGAAAAAGAACATATATTCCCCATTTTATTAAGCTAACATTCTTTCTCCACTATCTAATTGTGTCAGCTTCTTTTAGCTTTTCAAAAATACTGTACTATTCCCACCTCATTCCAGTTAGCTATTTTGTTGTTGTTTGTTTTCAGTGTTCCCTATGACAGGCAGCAGGCTGGGTCCTTATCTGCCTGAAATGTCTTATCCCTCTCTCCATCCCTATTTCTATCAGCGCAAATTCTTTCTGTCCTTCAATGCCTAGCTTAAGTGTGTCTGTGTGTGTTTTTTTAAGCCTGTCTTTCTTCTCCAAGCTGGAAGTAATCTTTCTTTCCTCCTTTGAACATTCACTGCACTTCAGCTGTACTTCTTAGGGTATTTAACTCTTTGTACATTTTGTTAGATATTTATGTACTTAATACTAACTTCTTGACAGCAGATGCATTGTCTCTCTAGTTTTATAATTGTCCCAGCATCCCCCATTATCCTATGTCAGTTCCAGCCTTATACACGTAATAGGTTCTTAGTAAATATTTTTTGAATGAATTAATCCTTTTTTTTGGGAGAGACAGGGTCTCACGGTTTTGTCCAGGTTAGAGTACAGTGGCTATTCACGAGTGTGATAATAGTGCACTACAGCCTTGAACTCCAGGGCTCAAGTGATCATCCTGTCTCAGTCTCCCAAGTAGCTGGGACTACAGGGGTACACCACCACAACCAACAATAAATTCTTCCTTTTAAAATGTAACTATATTAGTCTGTTTTACGCTACTGATAAAGACATATCCAAGACTGGGTAATTTATAAAGAAAAAGAGGTTTAATGGATTCACAGTTCCACATGGCTGGGGAGGCATCACAATCATGGTGGAAGGAAATAGGCATGTCTTACATGGTGGCAGACAAGAGAGAATTGAGACCCAAGTGAAAGGGGTTTCCCCTTATAAAGCCATCAGATCTCCTGAGACTCATTCACTACCATGAGAACAGTATAGGGGAAACTGCCCCCATGATTCAATTATCTCCAACCAGGTCCCCCCACAACACATGGAATTATGGGAGCTACAATTCAAGATGAGATTTGGGTAAGGACATAGCCAAACCATATCAGTAACTTAAACTTGTTATGCTTTTGAAAGTTCTTTCACTACTTTAAAATTCTTTCATTACGACCCCTTGAGGGGGGGAAGTTAGTAATTAATCTAAAAATTATAATTAAAAAAGGCCTACACAAACTATAATGACTATAAAGTATCTAGGCATAAAATAAGAAACTAAAGCTATTTTTTAAAATCAATCTAAACTATATCCCTAAAATTCACAATATTCTGTTCTGACTAAAATACAAAAATAATGTAAGATTCTTGCCACTTATGTAATGTCTAATAATACTAGTTACAAAATTAATTGAAGTCTTCTAGTTTATAAACAGTCATGTGTTTTGTGTGTGTGTGTGTGTGTGTGTGTGTGTGTGTGTGTGTGTGTGGACGAAGTCTCGCTCTGTCACCCAGGCTGGAGGGCAGTGGCACGATTTTGACTCACTGCAACCTCCGCCTTCTGGGTTCAAGCGATTCTCCTGCTTCAGCCTTCCCGAGTAGCTGGGACTACAGGTGCGTGCCACCATGCCTGGCTAATTTTTGTATTTTTAGTAGAGACAGGGTTTTGCAGTGTTGAGCAGGCTGGTCTCGAACTCCTGACCTCAGCTGATCTGCCCACCTCGGTCTCCCAAAGTGCTGGGATTATAGGCATGAGCCACCGTGCCTGGCCCAATTATGTGTTTAAAAGAAGGTGTTAGGGGTGTGCTAGAAAATCTCTGTGGGAGTAGGAGCAACCTTTGGAGATGGAGAATTATTGATTCCTTAAATAAATGGGAATTACTCATTTGGTGGAAATAAGTTGGGTAGTCCCTGGAACCTGTTTTTTTGTTTATTTTTATTTTTATTATTGTTTTTTGAGAGATGAGACCTCACTTGTTGCCCAGGCTGGATTAGAACTCCTGGGCTCAATTTATCTTCCCACCTCAGTCTCTCCCGAGTGGCAGGAACTACAGGCCTTTTTTTTCTTTTTTCTTTTTTTTTGAGATGGAGTCTCGCTCTGTAACCCAAGCTGGAGTACAGTGGCGCTATCTCGGCTCACTGCAAGCTCCGCCTCCCGGGTTCATGCCATTCTCCTGCCTCAGCCTCCTGAGTAGCTGGGATTACAGGCGCCCGCCACCACACCCGGCTAATTTTTTGTATTTTTAGTAGAGACGGGGTTTCACCGTGTTAGCCAGGATGGTCTCGATCTCCTGACCTCGTGATCTGCCCGCCTCGGCCTCCCAAAGTGCTGGGATTACAGGCGTGAGCCACCGCGCCCGGCTACAGGCCTTTTTTGTTTTTTGTTTTTTTTAAATGAAGGAAATTAGAAGTGGAGGGTGTTCTCCTGTGAATAATTTCTACTTATAGGAAGTAAGTTTTAACTGGTACCTGGCTAACTTGTAAAGGTTCTTTGGCATTGGCAGAATCAGCTATATTTAGACTACAAAAAGAAAACCTCTAATAATGTGCACTTAAGCCTTATTACTTTTCAGAAGCATAAATGACAGCATGAGAAGATAAAAGGATGAAAGGAGTGATACAGCATTGGGGTAAAGAGCAGAGGCTTTGGAGAGTGGCAGAACTGGATTTGAATTTTGTCACTACCATTTAGTAGTTGTGTGGCCTTGGCAAGTTACTTTTATGTCTAAATCTGTTTTTTCATCTGTTAAATGGGCATAAAAAGTTTTGTGAGGGTTAAATGGAATCACGTCTGTGAAGTATTTGGCACAGTGACTCGTTTGTGCATAGTGAATATTATGTACTATTACTATGATGATATCCTAGGTCCAGATATCAAAATTCATCCATGGATCGTTAGAATCCATTATAACATGTTTGGCATGCCATGTTATCGTTATAATCAAATTAGTGTAGGATAGGTAGATTTGTGAGTAACTTGTGAGTAAGTAGAATTCTAAGTTCTGCTTTTAGTTTTCCCATAGGATTTCAAGTGCAACCAGAAAAGCAAAAAAAGCAGGTCGAGGCTGAAGTTGCTGTTTACTTCACAATGTCATTTTTATTTCAGAAGATAGGATTATCCATCTACTGAGCAATTATCAAATGCTAGATGTATTAGATTCTTTAAAGGTAATTTTATTCAGTCTCTGCAATCCAAGGCAGAATAATTTGACCAAGTTCATAATGTGTCAGGAACTTGTAGAGAAATGGTAGGACTTATAAGGAATTTGAACTCCTCTGTCATTCCAAATCATGTACTCTATCTTTATATTTATAGTGCCTCTCTCAACATGGGGAACTTTAAAAATCCTCAGGGCTCAGGCCATAACACAGACCACTTAAATATGTTTCTAGAGGTGAGACCCAAGCATGAGTATAAAGTTCTCCAGGTGATTTCATTGTTAGATTCAGAAATACTGACCTGGTTCAATGCCTAGAACAGAGTAGACATTCAATAAATGTTTCACTTTTGAAAGAATATATCCCTTCCTACCCAGCCGCTGTGTTGTAATTTTTCCAGTATTATAGTCAACTAGGAGTGCTTTTATATTAAGTTTTTAGAAAGAGCTTTGTATCATACTTTGTAGATATTCTCCATAGCATATACAGGAAGATGTCTGGCAAGAGGTAATGTTTTGCTGCTGATAGAATTCTGAATTTCCTCCATTACTAGGAAGAAGAATAGGTTGGAAATTGGGACAGCTTGGAATTTCTTTCTTGTATTCCATCCAAGGTTGAAGACGTAAATTGTGAATAGACACTTACTGATTTATTTTGTTTTAGAATAATTTTATATTTTTTAATAATACATGATCAAAAATCAAAAGATAGTAAGGAACAGAGATTGAAAATTTTTCCTCTCATTTCCCAATCATACTTTCCTTTCCAAGATACCATAAATGTTGTATCAGTATCCTTCCAGAGATGTTGAAAACATACATAAACACTTACATGTATTTCACAATTTTACCCAAGTGATAGCACGCATATCGTGTTCATCTTGGAGTTATATATATGAATCTTGGAATTATATATTCATATATAAAGAT
Organism: Homo sapiens; assembly: GCF_000001405.40. Classification (NCBI taxonomy): domain Eukaryota; kingdom Metazoa; phylum Chordata; class Mammalia; order Primates; family Hominidae; genus Homo; species Homo sapiens. The sequence continues at coordinate 74,203,000 of NC_000011.10, forward strand.
TTTTATTAATATATTTGTTCATTTTTACAGTTAACTAGTATTTTTCTATATACTACAATTTATTTTCATCGGTCCCCTATTGATGGATATTAGATTTTTTCCAACTTTTCTCTATTACAAACGATGTTTCATTGAATACTTAAGTCATTTCACTTCTGTGTGAGCAATTCTTCAGATAAATTCCTGTAAGTTGAAGGTATTGATATTGCCAGTTTGCCTTCCATGGAGGTTGTATATTGATTGTTTGGGAATGACAAGGAAGCATGAAAGAGTATGGAGAATTAAATGTGTAAAGGAGTGATAGTGACCAAGACTATTGACTGTTGACTGAGGTAGGAATGATATTAAAGTCAGTTGGGAGGATGGAAATGAGCCTACAGCCAAGAGCAAGGTGAAAAACTAGCAGGTTTTGTGTGTATATGAACACAGAATTTATTTGTGATTAAAATATACTAATGAATTTTGAAAAATCCTAAAATTTTTACTCTTAAATCTATGTTTGGATTTAAATACATTTTAAAATACTTATTTAAATGCATTTACATTATTATGTAATACAATACATTAAATACATTTTTAATATGATACTTTGTGATGAACTCTTTATATCTTTAAGAGAAAATACCTTTGCTGTTTTCATTACTGACTTACATTTAGCATTTATTGACCAAGATTTTATCTCTTTATGCATAATTTTTCTGAAATGTCTCTCTCTTTTTTTTCCTCAGCCCTGGAAGAAAGCGGGACTTTTCCCCTGTTCCTTGGAGTCAGTATTTTGAGTCCATGGAAGATGTAGAAGTAGAGAATGAAACTGGCAAGGATATATCCTTTGCAAAATGGCTTATTCTTTAGTGAGCTTATGATGTTGTCTAAGTTAAAAGACTTGTGTAGTTTCTAAAATGTTCTTTATTCCTGCTACTTATTTCACCTTATTCCTCACTTGTTCTTTATGGAATATTGCCTGGAAGTCCATGCCAATATCTTTCTTGGCTGTAATTCTCTAATGCATGGAGAAGGGATTAAGAATTAAATTCTTGAAACTGATATACTGTCTTAGGGGCCCAGGGGAAGGTTTCATGAGTCAAGTGAGTTGAACTAGTTTCATTTCTAGAATCCAGGGGTTATGTCCTCATGAGGGCAAAGGGAATTTTTTTTTTTTTTTCATTGAACAAAATGGTCACACAGGCTTCATGCTTCAAACAGAGGGTTAGTGTCTCAGAAAAGTCTGCTTACATCTCTTACATTTGGCAGTCTGCAGTTTTGCATGTAAGTTTCTAGCGGTATTACTATGATTAAATAATGAAAAACTTTAGTGAGCAAAAACATAGATGTTTTATCTTTAACTATTCATACACTTTTCGAGTCTACAAGAGTGGTTCAGAGGGTCCAGTCCTGCTCCTTCTGCATGGAGGAGGTCATTCTGCCCTTTCTTGGGCTGTGTTCACGGTAAGTAGGTTGTTGATAGTACAAGTTAATGTTAGCACTTTTGAACTAATGAAAGTATAGGGACAAATCTTGGAAGTTAACACATTCTATTTGGGAAGCAGGAATTGCTATTCCAGGCATACACACAGACTGGGTGGTATGTTCTTCAGTATGTCTGAAGAACAAAGAGAAGGTTGGAGGTTTTATAAAAAGGAGAAATGTTATGTATTGTTCTTTGAGAAAGTTAATTGGCACTAGTAAAGGTTTGGGGAGAAAAAGAAAAGATAATAGGGAGTGATGGAAAATGTGAAAGAAAAATTTAAAAATGTTAAAAAAGGGTTTGGAAGCTGGCAAGTTCTGATTGATAAGTAACTGCGGTGAGTAAAACTAGTCTTAGAGTCACAGCAGCTTGTTTCAGTAGCTATTAGATAAAACTGGTTTCATATTTTAGCAGGGAGTTTCAGCAGCCAGGCTTGCAGAGAATTACTTACATTCTTGCAGCAATGTTATGTGCCCTGAGTGCTTTTTCTCTCTGGCCTCTCAACTCTGTTTTAATGGGATATGACAAGAATAACCCAATTTGTGTAAACTTCCATAGTGCAATTATTGTTTACTTCTTTGACTAGCCTAACTCTTCATTTTGTGTAGAGAACCAGACATTTTATTTAGGTGCTTTAGATAATGTCTATCACTTTGTCTCCCATATAGAGCCTATGTAATACTTTGCACATGGAGATATCTCATAAGAACTTGGAAAATGTTTCTTCCTTTTTGAAATGATTCTTTATATTTTAATGGTGCTTGTTAGCTACAAGGAAGTAAATAATATTTGGCTAATGATACTGTGGTCTAGAGTAGAAGATATGTGTCTGTGTGAATGCTGTCAATTATAGATCTTCCTAATACCTTTGACTCTGGGGTGGGACAGCCCATGTGCAAGGAGAGATACTGCTAAGGAAGATACTAGCAACATCTGTGTTTAAAATGAAGTTGTCATCTCATGTGTGTGTCAAGCAGATATGCATCCTCTATTTACCACTAGAGAGCCTGAAGGACAGAAAATGAGAGCAAGTGGGAATGCAGCACTAGGTACCTGGAGCCAGATGGCTGTGGAGTTGAGGAAGTCCCTGAACATAGCACTTTGTTCCTGGCAGCGGGGATTATTGGGGTTAAGTTTAAATCTCATCTTGTCTCTTCTTTTAGATCATGAATTCCTTGAAAATAAGGATAATGTGTTACACTTTTTTGTTTCCCAAATGGCTTGAAATAGTTCTTTAAACATAGGCACATATTCAACCACTATTAAATGATTTGGCCCTTGTCTTGTTTGCTACTTTTTTCTCTTACTCTAGGATAAATTGTGTGACTTGTCCATAAGTACCAGGCTCTGTCATGTCTCTGGACCAGTACTGTCCAATAGAAATAGAGTGCAAACCACGTATGTCATTTTAAATTTCTTAGTAGACACTTTAAATAGATAAAAAGAAACAATAAATTAATTTTAATGTATATGTATTTAACTATTGTATCCACAATATCACTTCAACATGTTGAAGTAATTATATTGATTACCTAATCAATATAAAAATTATTATTGAGATATTTACATCTATTTTTATACTGTAAATTTAAAAATTTTATACTTACAGCACATCTCCGTTTGGGCTAGCCACATTTCAAATCGTAGCTTTAGTCATTTACTTCGCAAATAGATTGCAAAATTTTTTGGAGGCAAATTCCATGGCTTATTATGCCTAGCACATATTGTATGCTTGAAGAATTTTATGTATGTATTTATTTTTTAAGAGATGGAATCTTGCTATGTTGCCCAGGCTGGACATGAACTCCTAGGCTTATGAGTAATTTTCTTCCATCTTTCTATTTTCTAGGTTTTCAGTTAAATGTTTATTACTTTCATAATTTAAAGACTGTTTTTTTCTTTTACTGGAAACTATTTTCAAGGAAAAAGGTCATATTCACTTCTGGATCTGACAAGTTTGGCAAACTGAAACTTGTCTAGAGAAGAGCAATCAAGATTAGAATACTTTAAACAATAGCATTTAAGGAACAATTAAAGGAACTGAAAGGGGTTTGCCTGAAGAAAAGAAAGACTTGGGAGACATAATATTTGTTTTCAGTTGTATTTTATTTATGTATTTTTAAGACAGGATCTCAGTCTATCACCCAGATTAGTGTACAGTGGCACAATCATAGCTCACTACAACCTCAACTCCTGGGCTCAAGTGATCCTCCCACCTCAGCCTCCCAAGTAGCTAGGACTACAGGTGTGCACCACCACTCCCAGCTAATTTTTAATTTTTTTGTAGAGACAGGGTCTCACTGTGTTCCCCAGGGTGGTGTCAAACTCCTGGCCTCAAGCAGTCTTCCTCCCTCAGCCTTGCAAAGTGCTGAGAATACAGGCGTGAGCCACCAAGCCTGCCCTTCAATAAGAAAAAAACCAGCCACATCTTTTAAACATTTACTCTGTGCCAGGTACTATGCTAAGTGCTTAAGTGGATTATCCCATTTAATTTTTCTGTAATACTATGAGATTAGCCAGATAAGGACTGAAATTTAGAGAAGTTAGAGAGCCAATGACAGCATGAAAACTCATACTTGTTCTGACTCCAGTGTGCATATTTCTTTGAAGACTGCTTTTATGCCACCTAAGAGGAAAGATTCAGGGCAGAAACTAGAGACCTATTTTGACACACATAGGCAGAAATTCTAAAGATTAGGACTATTACAAAGCAACCCAGGTCCTCTGCAGAGGAAAAGCAAGCATCATTTCACTGAAAGGATTTAATTGTGAATGTATTCTTCCAAGTTCCTTCTTGTCCATAATTCTATAAAATCCTTGATCCTGAGTAGAACTCCTTTTCCATCTAAATGTTTTGTGGTTTGGGAGGGAAAATCCCCCAAATCCAGATTCACCAGAAGTTCTATTATGTATGAAGAGAAACCATTTATACCTTGGCTTTAGTAACAAAAACAAACAAACAAACAACCATAAAGCACTTGGGAAACTTTTATCTGTAACCACTTTTGTGGAACTATCAAAGGGATATAACTATTAGAAGAAAATTATGTTGTTTTAAAGGATAGTCTTTAAATATCTAGAAAATTAATTTTTGAACCTTTTATTCCTTGTTTATATTCAATAAGTTAGTGATTGTAGTTGCTGCTACAGTAGTCAAGTTTATCATATATAATGGGTAATAATGTATGGCTTCTGTAGCCTTCTCCCATCAGCAAGTACTAGGTATAACAGACCACCTAGCTGCTGTGGGAGAATCCAGAATGAAGCAGAAACTGAAGTTTGGCTGAGCCAGAAGAGAGATGAGAGGAACAGTGGGATCTCATTAGCACATGCAGCTGCAGCAGGCTAGATTTTGCCAGCCTCCAATGGTTTTCAGCTTTGGTACCTCTGAAGAATCTGGGACCAGATAAGTGTGTGTTGATTGAAGCCAAGAATTGAACCTGAGTGTCTGCTGATTCCCATTTCTTCTTCTAGTTAATTCAGTTGATTTCAGCAAATATTTACTGAGTATATTCTATATCCCAAGCTTTGTGCTGAGTCACTAAGATTCAAAAAATTAAACTTCAGGGTCCGGCATGGTGGCTCATGCCTGTAATCCCAGCACTTTGGGAGGCCGAAGCGGGCAGATCACAAGGTCAGGAGATCGAGACAATCCTGGCCAACATGGTGAAACCCCGTCTTTACTAAAAATACAAAAATTAGCTGGGCATGGTGGCACACACCAGTAGTCCCAGCTACTAGGGAAGCTGAGGCAGGAGAAACGCTTGAACACGGGGGGCAGAGGTTGCAGTGAGTCGAGATCGTGCCACTGCACTCCATGCTGGCGACAGAGTGAGACTCTGTCTCAAGAAAAAAAAAAAAAAAGAGACTTTACTCTTTAATAAGATCAGCCAATCAGCAAATACTTACTAAACCCCTGCTGTGTACCAGGCATCGTACAGGTGCTGTGGATACAGTGGAGAATTAAACATATGTTCCATCTTCCTGTTCTTACGATGTTTAAATCTAATAGGGAAGGTAAGAAAAATGGAAATGGCACATGTATACAAAAAATACAGCAAACATTTTAAGAAATTTTTATCTCAGACTAGGTTTTGAATGTCAAAGCAGCTTAATTTATCTGAATTTTAGATAGATGGGTATAATACCTCCTAGTTAATAGAGTGGTTGTGAAAATTCAACAAAAGATGTAAGGTTCTTGGTAAAGTACTTGACTCATAAGCACTCAGTTGTTAAATGAGTTTGCAGCAAGATACAAAGGTAATGCAGAGGAAGGAATGATTAACTTGTGGTAGATGAGGGGACTACAAGGAAAGTTTCATAAGAGAGGACATCTGAAATGGTTTTTAAGACCAAATAGAAGTTGGATTAGTAGGGAAGGCATGCCAAGAAAAGGTAAGCACAAAGGCATTGAAGAGTGTAACAGTGAAATATGTTTTGGAAATTATAAGTAGCTTGGCTATAGTTTGAATAGAGTTGAGGTTGTAGTTGTATAATATATGATGAGGGTGGAGAGCAGGGAAAGAAGTGACTAGAGAGATCACTGGAGCAAAATTATAGAAGGGGCTTGTATACCTAGCTAGGTAATTGTACCTTTAGTTTCCTTTTACTTCTGGGTAACAGTAGAGGGGGCTATTTTTGTTTGTTTGCTTTTGTTTTTGATACAGGGTCTCACTCTGTCACCCAGGCTGGAGTACAGTGATGCAATCCTGGCTCACTGCAACCTTGACCTCCTGGGCTCAAGTGATCTTCCCACTTCAGCCTCCTGAGTAGCTGGGACCACAGGTGCGCGCTGCCACACTAGCTATTTTTATTTTTTATAGAGAGGGAATCCCGCTATATTGCCCAGGTTGGTCTTGAACACCTGGCCTCAAGCAATCCTCCTGCCTCAGCCTCTCAAAGTGCTGGGTTTACAGGCATGAGCTACTGTGTCTGGCCATGGGAGCTATTTTTAAACACAACATTTACCCCACGCACATCCACATTAAGCATATTTTAGGCATGTCAAAATTAGGGAGTATGGAAAGCATGTTTTGCTTGACACACATTCACACTGTAAAGTTCTGGTGAGTTAAGTATCTTGATACACATTTACCTGATTGTAATTGAGTACCACTGTTTCAGGCAATAGGAAGCTATTGAAGAGCTTTAGAAAAATCAAAATACTAGTATAGATGATTGATTGGGCAGGAAACCACAGTGGAGGCAGGGAGACTAGTTAGAAGGCTATTCTTATATTACTCAATTCTAAATATTTGACATCTTATGGAGTATTAATTTCTCTCAAAAAGGAAGAAGTTCATTTACATTTTCTACCATGTAAAAAACTACTTAGGATAATACTGTTTGAAGCTATTTGATTTATGAAGGTATTATTAGTCTGATACCAAAACCAGGCAATGATAATATAGGAAAACTAAGCCAGTGTCTCTTATAAAATAGATACAGAAGTGGGGCATAGTGGCACATAACCTATAGTCTCAGTTACTTGGGGAGCTAAGGTGGGAGGAGTGCTTGAGCCCAGGAGTTCGAGGTTGTAGTGAGCCAAGATCGTGCTACTGCACTCCAGCCTGGGTGACAGAGCAAGACCCCATCTCATTTATACATACATACGTAAATATTCACTTGCTCATTCACCTAATCCTAAGGAAAATAACAGCAGATTGATAGTGTGGTAAAATAATAATACACTGTGACCAGGTAGGTTTTGTTCAAGGAATGCAAGAATGTCTCAGCATTAGAAAATATTATCAGTATGATTCACCTCTTACCTCACTTGATGCCCCAAAAAGGACTTGATAAACTATAATGTCCCTTCATGTTGAAAACTCTTGGCCACTAGGAATAGATGAAAAACTTCCTAAAGATTATAAAATTCATACAGAAACTAGAAAATTGCATGAATATCATACTTAGTGGTAAAACAGACACATTGACACATTCCTTTTAAACTCAGGGATAAGACAAGTGCTGTGTTTTGGATATTTGGCCACTCTAAATCTCAGTTGAAATTTGATCCCTAATGTTGGAGGTGAGGCCTAATGGGAAGTGTTTAGGTCATGGGAGTGGATCCTTCATGAATGGCTTGGTGCCGTTCTCATGGTAATGAGTGAGTTCTTACTCTCCTACTTCCAAGAGTTATTTAATAAGATCTGACATCTCCCTCCCCTCTTTCTGCTTCCACTTTTATCACATGACCTTTGCACCTGCCAGCTACCCTTAGCCTTCCACCATGAGTGGAAGCAGCCTGATGCACTCAGCAGCAGGACCAGATGCTGGTGCCGTACTTCTTATACAGCTTGCAGAACTGTGACCCAAATAAACTTCTTTTCCTTATAAATTACTCAGGCTCCGATATTTCTTTATAGCAGCATAAATGGACTAAGACAGTAAGGGTGCAATTTTCAGTGTTATACTGGAGTTTCTAGTCAAACAATACAAAAAAACAAGTTTTAAATATTTGAAAAAAGTAGCTAGAACAATTATTATGTGAAGATATTCTCTCTCTACAAAATCAACTGACAAACTACTAGTTAAGCAGTTTACAAAGTTGATGTTTAAAAATCTGTTTTTTCTAAAATTAGCACTTTGCAGATCTGGAAATGTAATAGGAAAAATCCTATTCATAAAAGCAACAAAATGTAAAATACGTGGGAATAGACCTTATTTTTTAAATGTAAGACATTTATGAAGAAAACAATAAAATGTCACAGAAGGATTTAAAGGAAAATCTGAATATGGAAATAAGTTATGTTCCTGTATGAATCTAGCTAAACTGGCTAAGATCCCAGTGGGATTTTTTCATGAGAGTTAATTAAACAAACTGAAATTCACACAGAATAATAAATGCCTAGGAATAACCAAGATAATTTTGAAAAAGAGCAAAAAAAAAGAGCAATCTGGTCTTTCAGATACCAAAACATAATCTAAAAGTCTATCAGTTAATAGTATGGTATTGGTAGAAAGAATAAAGAAATAAGCCCATGTATAAAAAGGAATTTAATACACAATGAAAATAACAATGCAAATGGATTAAACAACACAAATGAATTTAAATAACAAATCGTAAGAAAATTCAGATACGACCTTAAAGCAGGCCTTCTTAAACTTAGCCAAAAGAAGTGAAAGCCATAAATAAAAGATTAATTTGAGTTTACCAAAACAAAAACTTCTAGACAAAATACCGTAAAGTTAAAACACAAGCTATGTGCTAGATAAAAAATATTTCATATATGTGCAAAACAAACTATAGGCAAAGGGTTAATATTTTCGTTATATTAAAAAGAAGAAAAAACTACAAAGCGGTAAGAAGAAAGACAATCCAGAAGAAAAATGGGCAAGAGATAAGAAGTGTTAGTTGACAGAAGAAGAAATATAGATAATGGATAAATTTATAAAAATGGGACTACCTTACTATTAATTAGCAAAATATAAAGTGAAATAAAAGAATAACACTTTTGAGAGGGGCGGCAGAGCAAGATGGTGAAATAGAAGCCTCCACTTGTCGTCCTCCCCACAGGAACACCAAATTGAACAAATGTCCACACAAAAAAGAACCTTCATAAGAACCAAAAATCAGGTGAATGATCACAGTACCTAGATTTATCTTCATATCACTTAAAGAGACACTGAAGAGGATAGAAACGACAGTCTTGAATTACTGACATCACCCCTTCCCCATCTGCTGGCAGTGGTTGCGTGGAACGGAGAGAGAATCTGTGTGCTTGTGGGAGGGAGAGCACAGTGATTGTGTGACTTTGCATTGGAACTCAGTGCTGCCCTGTCACAGTGGAAAGCAACACTGGGCAGGACTCAGTAAGTTTCCACAGAGGGAGGATTTAGACCAGCCTTAGCCAGAGGTGAATTACCCATTCCAGTGTTCTGAATTTGAGTTCTGGAAAGCCTTGCCACCCAAGCTAAAGGGTCCTGGGGTCCTAAATAAACTTGAAAAGCAGACTAGGCCACAAGGACTGCAATTCTTGGGCAAGTCCTGGTGCTGTGCTGGTGTTGGAGCCAGTGGACTTGAGCAGCACATAACCTTGTGAGACACCAGGGGCAGCCAGGGGAGTGCTTACGCCACCTCTCCCCCAACCTCAGGTGGAGCAGCTTGCAGCTCTGGGAGAGACTCCTTCTTTCTGCTTGAAGAGAGGAGAGGAAAGAGTAAAGAGGACTTTATCTTGCAACTTGGATACCAGCTCAGCTATAGTAGGATAAGGCACCAGGCAGAGTACCAAGGCCCATTCCAGGCCCTAATTCCCAGACAGCATGACACATACTGAGCTAGAAGGGAGCCTGCTTCCCTGAAGGGAAGGACCCAGTCCTGGCAGGATTCATCCCCTGCTGACTAAAGAGCCTTTGGGTCCTGAATAATCAGCAACAGTATTCAGACAGTATTTGCCGTGGTCCTGAGGTAAGACTCAGAGATGTGCTGGCTTCAAGTGTGACCCAACACATTCCCAGCTGTGGTGGCTATGAGGAAGGACTCTTTCTGATTGAGAAAAGGAGAGGGAAGAGTAAAGACTTCATGTTGCAGTTAGGTGCCAGTGGGGTAGAGCACCAGGTGGACTCTTGGGGTTCCCAATTCCAGGCCTTGGCTCTTGGACAGCATTTCTGGACCTACCCTGGGCCAGAGGGGACCACTGCCCTGAAGAGGCAGTCCCAGGCCTGACAGCATTCACCATAAGCTGACTGAAGAGCCCTTAGGCCATGAATAAACACTGGTGGTAGCCAGGCAGTACTTGCCATGGGCCTGGGGTAGTTGTAGCCATGGGGAGAGACTATGCTTGTGGAAAGGATAGGGAAGAGTAGGAAGGACTTTGTCTTGTGACTTGGATGCCAGCTCAGCTGCAGTATAGTAGAGCACCAGGTAGATTCCTAAGGTTTCCAATTCCAAGCCCTGGCTCCTGGATGGCATCTCTGGACTCACCTGGGACCAGGGGCAACCCACTGCCCTGAAGGGAAGGACAGAAGCCTGGCTGGCTTTGCTACCTGCTGATTATGGAGCCCTAGGGCCTTGAGTGAACACAGATAGCCAGGCAGTGGTTACTGTAGGCCTTGGGTGAGTCCCAGTGTTGTGATGGCTTCAGGTCTGACCCAGCACAGTCCTAGTGCTGGTGGCCACAGGGGTACTTGTGTCACTCCACCCCCAGCTCCAGGAAGCTCAGCACAGAGAGAGACCCCATTTATTTGGGAGAAAATAAAGGAAGAGTGTAAGAATCTCTGTCTGGTAATCCAGAGAATTCTTCTGGATCTTATCCAACACCACCAAAATAGTACCTCTGTGAGTCTGCAAGAGCTAGGTGCTTGGGGTGCCCCCTAATGCAGCTATGGCTGCAGTGACCAAAAACTTAGATGACAATACCCAAGTTTCTTTGAATACCTGGAAAGCTTTCGCAGGAAGAATGGGTACAAACAAGCCCAGACTACAAAGACTACAATAAATACCTAACTCTTCAATGCCCAGTCACTGATCAATATTCACAAACTCAAGACTGTCTAGGAAAACATGACTTCACCACATGAACTAAATAAGGCACCAGTGACCAATCCCAGAGAGACAGAGATATGTGACCTTTCAGACAGAATTCAAAATAGCTGTTTTGAGGAAATTCAACAAAATTTGAGATAACAGAGAAGGAATTCAGAAAATTTATCTATAGATAAATTTAACAAAGCAATTGAAATAATTAAAAAGAACAGAAATTCTGGAGTTGAAAAATGCAATTGACATAATAAAGAATGCATCAGAGTCTCTTAACATATTTGATGAGGCAGAAGTAAGAATTAGCTTGAAGACAGGTTATTTGAATATACACAAAGGAGACAAAAGAAAAAGAATACAAAAACAATGCAGCACACCTACAATAGAAAATAGCCTCAAAAGGGCAAATTTAAGAGTTAGTGGTCTTAAAGAGGAGGTAGAGAGATTGGCATAGAAAATTTATTGAAAGAGTTAATAACAGAACTTCCCAAACCTAGAGAAACATATCAGTATTCAAATAAAAGAAGGTTATAGAACACCAAGCAGATTTAACCCAAATAAGACTACCTCAAGGCATTTAATAATCAAACTCCCAGAGGTCAAAGATAAAGAATTCTAAAAGCAGAAAGAGAAAAGAAACAAATAATATACAATGGAACTCCAGTACATCTGGAAGCAGACTTCTCAGTGAAAACCTTACAGGCCAGGGGAGAGTGGCATAACATATTTAAAATGCTGAAGGGAAAAAAAAAAAAACTTTTATGCTAAAATAGTATATCCAGTCAAAATATCCTTCAAACATGTAAAAGAATAAAGACTTTCCCAGACACACAAAAGCTGGAGGATTTCATCAACACCAGACTTACAAGAAATGCTAAAGGTAGTTCTTGCATCTGAAAGAAAAGGACATTAATGAACACTAAGAAATCATCTGAAGGTACAAAACTCATTGATAAGTACACAGAAAAACACAGAATAACATTGTAATTGTTGTGTGTAAACAACTCATATCTTGAGTAGAAAGACTAAAAGAGGAACCAATCAAAAATATTAACTATGACAACTTTTCAAGACATAAACAGTACAATAATATATAAATAGAAACAATAGCTATAAATAGGTTGGGCATGGTGGCTCACACCTGTAATCCCGCACTTTGGGAGGCCGAGGTGGACAGATTGCTTGAGCCCAGGAATTTGAGACCAGCCTGGACAACACGGTGAGACCACATCTCTACAACAAAAAATTGACTAAGTGTAGTGGTGTGTGCCTGTAGACCCAGCTACTTGGGAGGCTGATGTGGGAGGATTGCTTGAGCTGGGAGGCAGTGGTTGTAGTGAGCTGAGATCACACCACTGCACTCAAGCCTAGGCAACTTGAGACCCTGTCTTAGAAAAAAGAAAAGAAGTAGAGACAACAAAAATTAAAAAGTGGAGTGCTGAAGTTAAAATGTAGAGTTTTTATTGGTTTTCTCTATGCTTGTTTGTTTGTTTATGAAATCAGTTTTAAATTGTCACCACTTTACAATAATGGGTTATGATACTATTTGCAAGCAAACTCAAACCAAAAACATAACAACAGATACACAAAAAATAAAAAGCAAGATATTTAAACATACCACCAGAGAAAATCACCTGCACTAAAGAAAGACAGGAAAGAAGAGAAGACCACAAAACAACCAGAAAACAAAGTTGCAGGAATAAGTCCTTATTAATAATAACATTGAATGTAAATAGACTAAACTCGCCAATCAAAAGACGTGGAGTGGCTGAATGAATACAAAAACAAGACCCACTGACCTGTTGCCTACTAGAAACACTCTTTATCTGTAAAGACACATATAGACTGAAAATAAAGTGAGGGACAAAGATATTCCATGCTGATGCAAACTAAAAAGTGGGAGTAGCTATATGTATATCAGACAAAATAGATTTCAAGACAAAAACTATAAAAAGAGGCAAAAGTCATTATATAATGATAAGGGGGTCAATTCAGCAAGAGGATATAACAGTTATACATATATATGCACCCAACACTGGAGCACCCAAATAGGTAAAGCAAATATTATTAGAGCTGAAGAGGGAGAGATGGGCCCCACCCAATACAATAAGAGCTGGAGACTTCAATACCCCACTTTCAGTGTTGGACAGATAATCGAGATAGAAAAATTTACGTAATCTGCACTATATATCAAATGGACTTAATAATTACCTACAGAACACTTCATCCAACAGCTGCAGAATACACATTCTTCTCCTCAAGACATGGATCATTCTCAAGGATGGACCATGTTAGGTCACAAAACAAGTCTTGGATAACATTCAAAAAACTGAAATTATATCAAGTATATTTTCTGACCACAATGAAATAAAACTAGTAATCAATAAGAGGAGGAATTTTGGATACTATACAAACACATAGAAAATAAACACTATGCTCCTAAATGACCAGTGGGCCAATGAAATTAAGATGGAAATTTTAAAATTTCTTGCAACAAATGATAATGGAAACACAACATACCAAAGCCTGTGAGATACAGTGAAAGCCATACTAAAAGGAAAGTTTATAGCTATAAGAGCCTACATCAAGAATGTAGAAAACTCTCAAATAACCAACCCAACGATGCATCCTAAAGAATTAGAAGAGCAAGAACAAACCAAACGCAAAATTAGTAGGAGACAAGAAAAATAAAGATCAGAGCAGAAATAAATGAAATCAAAACAAAAAAGTAGAAAAGATCAACAAAATAAAAAGTTGGTTTTTGAAACATGAAATTGGCAAACCTTTAGCTAGACTAAGAAAAAAGAAAGAAGACCCAAATAAAATCAGATGAAAAAGGAGACATTGCACCTGATACTGCAGAAATTCAAAGGATTACTAGAGGATACTATGAGCAACTATATGCCAATAAGTTGGAAAATCTAGAAGAAATGGATAAATTTCTAGACACGTACAACCTACGAAGGTTGAACCATGAAGAAATCCAAAACCTGAACAGACCAATAACAAGTAATGAAATCCAAGCTGTAATAAAAGTCTCCCAGTAAAGAAAAATGGGACCTGATGGCTTCACTGCTGAATTTTACCAAACATTTAAAAAAGAAATAACACCAGTCCTACTCAAACTATTCTGAAAAATAGAGGAGGAGGGAATACTTTCAGACTCCTTCTACGAGGCTAGTTACCCTAATACCAAAACCAGACAGACAAAAACAAAAAAACTACAGGCCAATATCCCTGATGAACATTGATGCAGAAATCATCAGCAAAATACTAGCAAACCAAATTCAGCAACACATTACAAAGATTATTCAGGCTGGGCACAGTGGCTCGTGCCTGTAATCCCAGCACTTTGAGAGGCTGAGGCGGGTGGATCACTTGAGATCAGGAGTTCAAGATCAGCCTGGCCAACATGGTGAAACCCCGTCTCTTCTAAAAATACAAAAATTAGCCAGACATGGTGGCGCGCACTTCTTATTCCAGCTACTCAAGAGGCAGAGGTGGGAGGATTGCCTGAACCTGGGAAATGGAGGTTGCAGTAAGCCAGGATCATGCCGCTGCCCTCTATCCTGGGTGACACAGCAAGACTCCGTCTCAAAAAAAAAAAAAAAAAAAAAAGGAAAAAGATTATTCATTATGATCAAGTGGGATTTATTCTAGGATGTGAGGATGGTTCAGCATATGCAAATCAATCAGTGTGATACATCATATCAACAGAATGAAGGACAAAAACCATATGATCATTTCAATTGATGCTGGAAAAGCATTTGATAAAATTCAACATCCCTTCATGATAAAAAAAAAAAACTTAAACTGAGTATAGAAGGAATGTAACACAATAAAAGCCATATACAATAGACCCACAGCTTGTATAATACTAAAAGGATGATAAATGAAAAGTTGAAACCTTTCTTGTAAGATCTGGAAAATGGCAAGGATACTCACTTTCATCACTGTTATTCAACATATTATTGGAAGTCTTAGCTAGAGCAATCAGACAAGAGAAAGAAAGGGCATCCAAATTGGAAAGGAAAAAGTAAATTATCCTGTTTTGCAGATGATATGAACTTATATTTAGAAAATCCTAAAGACTCCACCAAAAAACTGTTAGAACTGATCAATTTAATAAAGTTACAGGATACAAAATTGATGTACAAAAATTAGCAGCATTCTTATATGCCAACAGCAAACAATCTGAAAAATCAAGAAAGTAACCCTATTTACAGTAGCTACAAATAAAATACCTAGGAATTAACCAAAGAAGTGAAATACAATGAAATGTATAAAACACTGATGAAAGAAATTGAAGAGGACACGAAAAAGAGAAAGATATTCCATGTTCAGGGATTGGAAGAATCAACATTGTTAAAGTGTCCGTAGCACCCAAAACAATCTACAGATGCAACACAATCCTATCAAAAATACCAATGATATTCTTCAAAAAAATGGAACAATTGTGAAATTTCTATAGAACCACAGAAGACCCAGAATAGCCAAAGCTATCCTGATAGAAAAGAACAAAACTGGAGGAATAACATTACCTGACTTCAGATTATACCACAGGGTTATAACAACCAGAGCAGCATGGTACTGCTATAAAGACAGACACATAGACCAATGGAACAGAATAGAGAACCCAGAAACAAATCCATACATCTACAGTGAACTCATTTTCAACAGAGGTGCTAAGAACACATGTTGGGGCAAGGACAGTTTCTTCAATAAATCATGCTGGGAAAACTGGATATCCATATACAGAAGAATGAAACTAAACCCCTATCTCTTGCCATATACAAAAATCAATAAAAATGAATTAAAGACTCAAACTATGAAAGTACTAAAAGAAAACATTGAGAAAACTCTCCAGGACATTGGACTGTGGAAAGATTTTTTTTGAGTAATACCCAACAAGCACAGGTAACCAAAGCAAAAATGGACAAATGGGATCATGTCAAGTTAAAAGGCTTCTGCACAGCAAAGGAAACAACAAAGTGAAGAAACAACCCACAGAATGGGAGAAAATATTTGCAAACTATCCATCTGACAAGGGATTAATAACCAGAATATATAAGGAGCTCAACAACTCTATAGGAAAAAATCTAATAATCTAATTTTAAAATGGGCAAAAGATCTGAATAGATATTTCTCAAAGGAATATATTCATATGGCAGACACGCATATGAAAAGGTGCTCAACATCACTGATCACCAGAGAAATGGAAATGAAAACTATAATGAGGTATCATCTCACCCCAGTTAAAATGGCTTTTATGCAAAAGACAGGCAATAACAAATGCTGGTGAGGATGTGGAGGAAAGGGAACCTTCATACACTGTTGGTGAGAATGTAAATTAGTAAAGCCACTATGGAGAACAGTTTGTTGATTCCTTAAAAAAAAAAAAAAAACTAAAAATAGAACTACCGTATAATGCAGCAATCCCGCTACTATGTATATAGCCAAAGGAAAGGAAATCAGTACATCGAAGAGATATTACACTCCCATGTTTATTACAGCACTATTTACAATAGCCAAGATTTGGAAGCAACCAGTGTCTATCAGTAGATGAATGGATAAGGAAAATGTGGTACATATACACAAAGGAGTACTATTTGGTTATAAAAAAGACTGAGATCTCTGTCATTTGCAACAACATGGATGGAACTGGAGGTCATTACGGTAAGTGAAATAAGCCAGGCACAGAAAAAATTCACATGTTCTCACTTACTTATGGGAGCTAAAAATTAAAACAATTGAACTCATGGAGAGTAGAAGGATGGTTACCAGAGGCTGGGAACAGTAGTGGATGGGGAGAGGGAGGTGGGAGGTGGAGGATAATTGGGGATGGTTAATGAGTACAAAAATATTTAAATAGAATGAATAAGATCTTGTATTTGATGGCACAACAGGGTGACTACAGTCAACAATAGTTTACTGTGTATTTTAAAATAGCTAAAAGGGTATAGTTAGATTGTTTTCAACACGAAGAAAGGATAAATGCTTAAAGTGATGGCTACCTCATTTGCCCGATGTGATGGTTATGCATTGTTTGCCTGTATCAGAATATCTAATGTACTCCACAAATGTATACCCTTACTATGTACCCACCAAATTTTTTAAAAAACAATACCATTTTTTACTTATCAAATTAGCCAAAATTAAGTTTGAGGATATCATATATTTGTGGGGATACCTATTTCTCCACACTTTCACCAATACCTGATAAACCTCTAAGAACCTGTTTTGTTCGCCAAAAAAACTGTGCTAATATTTTCCCAGCCGACTTCTTAAGAAGATAATATGAGATTATCTGAGATAATCTGGTGAAATTATAAAGTGATACAGAAGCATATTATTACTACCCAGTTCTTCCAATCTTGTCTCTGTTCTCTAGTCTCGGGTTAGGATAGTGGGCCTTCATTTTGGGTATACATTAGAATCACCTGGAGAAGTCGAAAATGTGTAAATAACTTGAATCAGAATTTCTGGTGGGTTTGCCCCTGGGCAGTAGTATTTAGGTGATTGATTCTGTTATGTAGCCAGGGTTGAAAACCACCTGGAACCAGGCAGCTTGGATTTGAAAATTGGCTCTGTCACTTATTAGCTATTTAGCCTTGGGCAAGTTACTTAATCTCTCTGTAAAATGCCCTTATCTGTAAAATGCTGAAAATTATGTCTAAGTAGTAAAGAGTTGTGAGGAGAAAGTTAGGTAATTCATCTGAAGCACTTAGATTGCTGACTGGCACATAGATTTAGTAGACATTAGCTCCTACTGCTATTGTTGCAGTTATTGCTAAACACCATAATATTCTAGTGAGAAAATGGTTGGTTAAGTCTAGTTCTTAAATAGCTGCTTTCCACTCATCCATTTCAGAAGTAGCAAAGTTGTACTATTTGTGACAAGATCTGGAGTAGCTACCATAGATCTGCTCTGACTTTTTGATTATCTTTAAAGCATGTGTTAGTCTGTGAATTTACTTTGCTCATTTATTTTTTTCTAGTCTTCTTCCACCATAGTAGAATGTAGATATCATGAGAGCAGGAGTATTGCCAGTATTTTTCCCTCCTGTAACCCAATTACTCCATTGGTGCCAGATTTTTATTAGAAAGATTTGTTAAATAAATAAATGAAAATTTTGTTTTTAATATTTGTAGTGATTTTCTGACAGGCACCTATGATTGTAAATCATTGCTTTCAAGTTAAAGGTTGGAATTTCAAATATATATTTTGTTTCTGTTTTGTAAACCTGGTTCTATTATCTAGAGCAATCAAGCAAATTCATACTATCTTTTCCACTTAATTTTATTTCTAACATAGGGATTTGTTTTTGTCATTGAAGGCTTTACTGTCACTAAATAACTCCTGTAAATTAGCAAATAGCTTTCAGGAACAAACAGCAAAGTATAGTAGAATTTCATTCCATTGTTGCCTTTAAAAGGTATTCATTAGAATAATAGAAATAGAATCAGACTTGATTTTCTAGGGGATTTTAAAAATATGACTTAAGAATCTGACTTGTTTTGTGATTTACGTTGACTTTTATATTGGTAACTTACCTTGGGTCTAGTTCTGTTTTTACTCCTAATTTGTTATGTGACCCTGGGCAAATAATTTTCTTTCTCTTGGCCTCAGTTTTCTCATTCATAAAATGTGACGGCTAGACTAGACAGTTCTCTTATTTTATTCTTAAAAGTTAAAATTTGGTGACATTTGCTAGCCCTAATTGTGATATATTATTGTCAAAGAATCCAGTTTAGTTTAGGAAGAAGATCCCCAATTATTTCAGATTTTTTTCACCCTCTAAAATTGTACCTCCCCCATGATATTATGATTTTTTTCAATAAATTTTTAATAGGTACACAAGCTGGTATGTTCTGCAGTATCTGTCTTAAGTGAATCTTTAGTAGATTCCATGACTTCTGCTACTTTCAGCAAATTTCATGATTTGATTGTCATGTTTCTGTGATGTCCTGAGCCAAGATATAAACTGACTCACCGTCCTTATCTAAGGGATTCTCTCTCCAGAGTAAGGAAAAGATATCCAAGGAATATAGATGAAAACCAGAGCTCAGAGGGTCATTGTCTAAAGGCTCTTAACTGTGTGTGTCAAGAAAGGATAGGAAGAATTAAGATTGAAAGAGGGATTTAGGTAGAGAAAGCCATATTTTGAAGTTGGGACAGAACCACAATATATGGCAAAACTAGTAGAAAATCATCATTCTTTCATTTTGCTTAAAACTAGAAAGTCTTTTGATTCTCTTGGGTCCTTTGAATTTTGATGGCAGTTCATTTTACAAAGTTATCATTGGGAATTGGGTGAAATTTGTTATCCTAGATGTGTCTTAACTACTTTTCCTTTTTCTCCTAGGCAGCGATTATTAGTAGAGTTCAGTGTAGGATTGTAGCTTTGGATCTGCGAAGTCATGGTGAGTAAAGTTCTTAATTAGCCATTAACTGGATTATAGTCATCAAGCCCCTTTGAATAGTTGTAACTATTAGAAATTTCAACGTGGCCATAAAATAACCTGGTCTATTCCATTTGAGCTTTTTGTTGTTGTCGTTGGAGATGGAGTCTCATTCTGTCGCCCAGGCTGGGGTGCAGTGGCACAATCTCAGCTCACTGCAACCTCTGCCTCCTGGGTTCAAGCAATTATCCTGCCTCAGTCTCCCCAGTAGCTGGGATTACAGGTATGCGCCACCATGCCCAGCTAATTTTTGTATTTTTAGTAGAGACCGGGTTTCACCATGTTGGCCAGGCTGATATCAAACTCTTGACCTCAAGTGATCCATCCACCTCAGCCTCCCAGAGTGCTAGCATCACAGGTGTGAGCCACTGCGCCCAGCTCGATTTGGGCATTTTGAAGGAAGTCCTAGCTTCTAGTCTTTACAAATGTATGTGTGTGTATATATATTAAAGTTTTATGTATAATATTTATTTTTGTATTTTATGTGTGTTAAGCTAAGAAAATGTCCTTTAAAGTCAAATTCTTTTTTTTTTTAATTTTTTTTTATTATACTTTTAAGTTTTAGGGTACATGTGCACATTGTGCAGGTTAGTTACATATGTATACATGTGCCATGCTGGTGCGCTGCACCCACCAACTCGTCATCTAGCATTAGGTATATCTCCCAATGCTATCCCTCCCCCCTTCCCCCACCCCACCACAGTCCCCAGAGTGTGATATTCCCCTTCCTGTGTCCATGTGATCTCATTGTTCAGTTCCCACCTATGAGTGAGAATATGCGGTGTTTGGTTTTTTGTGCTTGCGATAGTTTACTGAGAATGATGATTTCCAATTTCATCCATGTCCCTACAAAGGACATGAACTCATCATTTTTTATGGCTGCATAGTATTCCATGGTGTATATGTGCCACATTTTCTTAATCCAGTCTATCATTCTTGGACATTTGGGTTGGTTCCAAGTCTTTGCTATTGTGAATAATGCCGCAATAAACATACGTGTGCCTGTGTCTTTATAGCAGCAAGATTTATAGTCCTTTGGGTATATACCCAGTAGTGGGATGGCTGGGTCAAATGGTATTTCTAGTTCTAGATCCCTGAGGAATCGCCACACTGACTTCCGCAATGGTTGAACTAGTTTACAGTCCCACCAACAGTGTAAAAGTGTTCCTATTTCTCCACATCCTCTCCAGCACCTGTTGTTTCCTGACTTTTTAATGATTGCCATTCTAACTGGTGTGAGATGGTATCTCATTGTGGTTTTGATTTGCATTTCTCTGATGGCCAGTGATGATGAGCATTTTTTCATGTGTTTTTTGGCTGCATAAATGTCTTCTTTTGAGAAGTGTCTGTTCATGTCCTTCGCCCACTTTTTGATGGGGTTGTTTGTTTTTTTCTTGTAAATTTGTTTGAGTTCATTGTAGATTCTGGATATTAGCCCTTTGTCAGATGAGTAAGTTGCGAAAATTTTCTCCCATTTTGTAGGTTGCCTGTTCACTCTGATGGTAGTTTCTTTTGCTGTGCAGAAGCTCTTTAGTTTAATTAGATCCCATTTGTCAATTTTGTCTTTTGTTGCCATTGCTTTTGGTGTTTTAGACATTAAGTCCTTGTCCATGCCTATGTCCTGAATGGTGATGCCTAGGTTTTCTTCTAGGGTTTTTATGGTTTTAGGTCTAACATTTAAGTCTTTAATCCATCTTGAATTGATTTTTGTATAAGGTGTAAGGAAGGGATCCAGTGTCAGCTTTCTACATATGGCTAGCCAGTTTTCCCAGCACCATTTATTAAATAGGGAATCCTTTCCCCATTGCTTGTTTTTCTCAGGTTTGTCAAAGATCAGATAGTTGTAGATATGTGGCGATATTTCTGAGGGCTCTGTTCTGTTCCATTGATCTATATCTCTGTTTTGGTACCAGTACCATGCTGTTTTGGTTACTGTAGCCTTGTAGTATAGTTTGAAGTCAGGTAGTGTGATGCCTCCAGCTTTGTTCTTTTGGCTTAGGATTGACTTGGCGATGCGGGCTCTTTTTTGGTTCCATATGAACTTTAAAGTAGTTTTTTCCAATTCTGTGAAGAAAGTCATTGGTAGCTTGATGGGGATGGCATTGAATCTGTAAATTACCTTGGGCAGTATGGCCATTTTCACGATATTGATTCTTCCTACCCATGGGCATGGAATGTTCTTCCATTTGTTTGTATCCTCTTTTATTTCCTTGAGCAGTGGTTTGTAGTTCTCCTTGAAGAGGTCCTTCACATCCCTTGTAAGTTGGATTCCTAGGTATTTTATTCTCTTTGAAGCAATTGTGAATGGGAGTTCACTCATGATTTGGTTCTCTGTTTGTCTGTTATTGGTGTATAAGAATGCTTGTGATTTTTGTACATTGATTTTGTATCCTGAGACTTTGCTGAAGTTGCTTATCAGCTTAAGGAGATTTTGGGCTGAGACAATGGGGTTTTCTAGATATACAATCATGTCGTCTGCAAACAGGGACAATTTGACTTCCTCTTTTCCTAATTGAATACCCTTTATTTCCTTCTCCTGCCTAATTGCCCTGGCCAGAACTTCAAATTCTTATGCTGATGTATAAGGAATGTGGATAAATCTTTGCTAGGCTACTGTAATTATCCTTCTTAGGATAACTATAAAGATTTTTCTGAAGAAAATCCTTGCTAAACTCATTGTGTAAAATTGTGAAGTCCCTAATCCATTGTCCAAAGATGATATTTTTAAAAGAGAATACTTCTGCTTTTATAATTCCTGTCTGTGGGAATTTTATTTTTAAAATATTTTCATTTTAGGTGAAACAAAGGTCAAGAATCCTGAAGATCTGTCTGCAGAAACAATGGCAAAGTAAGTAACCAAATATTTCTTATACATTGCCTGTCTCCCATCACTATTATAAATAGTACTATAACTTTATCACTTTCCTGATGAGATTGTTGGGGAATAATTACCACAAGGAAAATTTTACTTCTGTTCTCTCTCCTCTACTTCTGGTTTCTCCTTACTATTTAATCTTGAAAGAAACCTGCGTCTTTCTTGGTGTGTCCAATGCAATGGTCATCATATAAAGCACATGAAAATTCTTCAAGGCACAGTTTAGTTTGTGAAGGCTTTTGAAAAGTTTTCTTCTGTTGATGGAATTGCGTTGAATCTGGGTACTTATCATGGACTCACGCTTGGAAAAGTAGTTGTATGCAAGAGGCCTTGAGAGTATCTCCTTCAGGTATCCTGCGTACATTCTTCGTCTTATGTCATAGAAAGATGAGATCATGATATTAAAAAATGACAGTTACACCCTGGGCCTAAAGTAAAAAATGAATGTAACATGTACAGTGGCTCTTAAAACTGCTCACTCATCAGAATCACTTGAGAAGTTACTAGACATACAGATGACTTGACCCTACCCCAGACCTACTTCTAGCAGTGGAGTCTGGGCATTTATATTTTGGTAAAGCTCTGTGTAGGAATCTGATGGAGCCAGTTCAATGACTGTTGTTTGGGAATCACTGACCTATAGCATAAATAGGATTCTTCTAGCCACTCTGCTTTAATACGTACTCTCTCAGGTATTTGGTCACTTTGGCCAAAAATATCTTGCCCTCTTTTACTTTAGCAGCTTTAATTTAAGAATAAACATTTTCCTTCAGAGCCCAAACTGATGTAGGCAACAATTTTAATATTATTATTTTTTCACTGTCTACCTGGAGATAATTGTTTTATTATTATGGTAGGTGTTATTTGTGTACTTTTTATCTGCCAACTTTCATTAAAGTATAAACTAAGCATTTATTAATAATAAATCATTAACTTATTTTGTGTAATCATTTATTGAAATTAATCCTCATTATTAACTCTGTAATACAGATATACCCTTTTACAGATGAGGAAACTGGCTCATATAGGTTGAATAACTGTATGAAGTCACACAGTCAGTAGATTGAATTTATGATCATTCAACTATAGTCCTTGGCAGAGAGAGAGAGAAAGAAATAATGTGTATAGTATGAATGTCATTCCACTCAATGAACATATGCCTTAAAAAGTATGAAAAGAGAGGTAAGAATCTGTTCCTCCAATTATTCCTACTGCCTTCATTAATATGAGAGCAATATATCCTCAAACAGTCAAGGCTGTTAGTGATACCTATAGGAAGATTTGTGAATGATTTTTAAGGAAGTAAAGGGTTTCTTAACTTTTAACAAAAAAGTGAAATACATCATCTGAGTGTCCAGGCAGTCAGACAAATTGATGATGATAGCTTGGTTGACATTCTAGAGGAAATTGAAGAATTGATTGAGAACCTTAAGGAAACATGGACTAAATAATAATGTTTCAGTCTGGGGCTCATCAGGAAAGAGAAACCATGTAGTAATTTGAATAAGTAAAGTTGAATATAAAGAATTATTCACTATAACAGGGGATTGGAATGAGCGATTGGTAGTAAGAAGTAACAAAAACTCTTAATAATATAGGAATAGCAGATATAAGGAGCAGCCACTACTCCCTTGGGCTGAGGGAGTACACCCAGGGTTGAGATCCAGACCTTGTTGGAGAATGCACGACCATGGTTTACTGAAGGTTAGAACTTGCTGAAAATCTGCCCTTTTGGAACCTGACAGAATTCTGCCCTCTAGGGTATAGGGAAAGCTATTCGTGGGGAGGATCTCACCAGAGGCACTTGGCTACAAAAACACTGGGTTGGGGAGGGCTAGAGTACTGGAGAAGCCACTTGTGCTGGAGGAATTGTGCAGGAATTGGCAGGAGTTGGATACTGGGGGAAGTTCTGTGTTTCTCTAGCACCCTCCATTAACATAGCTTAATATCATGCCTACTGGCAAGGGTAAAATATTTACAGGCCTCACATCTATTTTTGTAGAGTAGGCAATGAAGGATGAATTGGAGTTGAGGTAGTAAGTTGATAACTGGCACCAAAAAAATTTTTTAATGGTAAAAATCATCCACAGTAGATGATGACCAAGAATCAAAAGGGCGAACAAATTGGATTCTTGCTGAAATTATCCAAGCAGTAAAACATTTGTGTGATTTCTGAATTCAGTTACTGTGGAAAAAAAAAAACCTCAAAATGGGCATACTTATTATCAACTGCAGAACCTAAATACTACCTAAGAAAGTATGTGAAAAAGCCAGAATTTGAGCTTGGGTCATTCTGATATTCCAATTTCTGTGATACACAGTAATGCTTCTCAGAAAATTAACCTAGCATTAAAATATGACAGAATCCCTTTAAAAAGCATCCACCAAAATTGTAATACATCCAGTTACAGTCTAGATTTGTAGGTAACCCTTGCTACTTCATCTTTATTGTATTTCTCTGGATTTTCAGGACTTATCTCAAGTAAGGTACTTGTTGACTGAATGCTCTGCTTGATTTTAATAACAATAAATTTCTCTTGGTGGTAGATGATCAAGTGATTGATCGTAACTACCTTCTACCTGGGTAAATATGCCTTTCTTAAGCTCAGACACGATGTTCAGTTGGTGTGTTTCAGACCTCTCTACCTTTGTGCATGAGGCAGATACTGCAGAACCCCTTCAATTCAGTTAATGTGTATTTTAAGGTGACTTGGACTTAGATAATCGTCCATAGCATCCTTTTATTTTACTCATTATTTGTCTGTTACCAACCGAAAGTTTCTTGGAATTGTTCAAGAATTATTCTGGAAATTACATGTTGATATTTAATATAAACATGTTTTAAACTTTAGTCTTTTCTTTAAAAAAAAAAAAACAGTTTGCCCCCAAAATTGTATCCAATATTGTTTTAGATTAATTAATTGAGCATATAATTTTTTCTGGTCTGTTATTTTAATATGCAGAATTAGCTTTGGAATACTACCTGTTTTATTTTTTAGAAACTGTATGTGTAATAATTTCCTCTGTGTTACTACTCTAAAGACCACATATTATCGAATCTTTGTTCCTGATATTTTCCAGTGGCCTCTGAGCAAAGGCATCATGGTTTTGACTTCATGAAATTACTCTGAATTCACACTACCCTATGCCAAGGGGAGATGGCTTTACCATTTATGCCTGAGGTTGCAATTTTTTGAATTTTTGCAATCAGAACTTGGTGATGACCTTGGGCAGTAGGATATAAATAACTCCCACATGCTTAGTGTTCCAGTAGTGGAACACTAGCATAAATTGGTTAACTCGTTGAAACATTGAAAATATGTTTCAGTGAGGTAACAAGAATCTGCAGCTCTTTTTACTTGGTAGAAATGCAATAATATTTTTATAGACCCAGTGAGAAAATGCAATAATATTTTTATAGACCCAGTGAGATTAATTGATTAATACAGAACCTTCTAGACAGGGCTGCTGAAGGATTACGTTAGGTGATGTTATAAGAAAGTTTAGAGCACAACTGAAAAAGAAGCACTGAATAAGTATTAGTTCTCTTTTCTTTCCTTCATATCATTTTGTCTCCCAGAGAGAATTTTGTGTTACTATAGAAGCAGCACTGGTGTCAAAGAAGCTTGGACTTTTCGTCTTAACTATTTGTTATCGCTTTGGATGACTGCCTGAACTGCTTCACTTTCTGTCTTAATCTTAAATTTAAGTCGAACGAATATTAAACTATTTGTTTTCACTTACAAAGTTTGGTGGCCTCCCTATCTCCCATTCAGATTGTCTACAATTGCCGAGGCTACCCTATTCACTCCTGCAGTTGTTGTATGAGATTTTAAAAATCAGTTCCTACAGAACTAATAACATTTGCCTTTGCCATTATAAATACTGTAGAGACTATATATGAAAGTCTGTGTTCCTACCTTGACACTTGCTATATTTGGTTAACACTGTGTGAGTGCTTAAGGTATGCAGTGACACTCAACAAGACAAAACTTTCTTTTGAAGTTGAACCAGCCACTCCCAAAAGAAGGGGGTAGAACTAGCCTAAAAATATATATATATAATAAGGCAGTAGAGCCAGTGGGTCTCCAGAAACACACCTTACTGTTCTTATCCACCTATTGCTATAGCAAGGAAGGCCTACATGCAATTAAAAACCAAACTTCATACTTCAGTTCTAATTTTCAAAGCTTTAAAATTAGACTTTGTTAAATAGGTCCATTAATAATTGAAGATTAGAACCAAAGCCAATAAAATGAGCTCTGAACACCTTTCTAGTTTCTCAGAGCACTGTACTTACATTTATGTTCATCCTTCAAACAAATGAGAAATTGTAAATAATAATTAACATTTGTGAAGCATTTTACTCTTTCGAGGTGTTTTCTTGTTCCCTTCTCAGTTAATCCTCAAAGCAATCCAGAGCAGTCAGTGATATTTTTATCTTTTTTTATAGATGTCGAAACTCAGTTTCTGAGAGATTAAGTAACTAACCCAAGATCACATAGTGAAAAATAAACTGAGGCTAGGGCTCATCTTGTGATTCTGAGGTTTACTACATTATAATGCTTAATAAATTTTTGTTCTTGTTTTATAGATGGGAAAATTGAAACAGAGCAGTTAAATGATTTTTCCAGTTTCAATCTTAGGTTCAAAATAAAGGTATATGTTTATGTAATTGTACTACATATGTGGAACAGTGAAAGTGTGATGTAAAGGAAAATTCAGTAATTTGGGTTCTTAGTCCTTTACCTGCCATTTATCAGGAGAGCTAGGTGTGTGGCTACACATATTGATGCTGGGGACATGTTAGAAGGTTTACATAGGTATGTTTGTAAGATGGCCCAATAGACTTTTACAGTTTCCCAGCACTGTTACACACCAAAGAAAGGAACTGGGAAAGAAAACCATTTTTACAGTGTTGTCAGAAAGCATTCTTAGATCTTTTTCTCTTCTCTTTGCAGAGACGTTGGCAATGTGGTTGAAGCCATGTATGGGGACCTTCCTCCTCCAATTATGCTGATTGGACATAGCATGGGTGGTGCTATTGCAGTCCACACAGCATCATCCAACCTGGTACCAAGCCTCTTGGGTCTGTGCATGATTGATGTTGTAGAAGGTGAGTTTTCTTAGCACTGACCAAATCAGGATTTCACTTATAAGAGACATCCTTGGTAGATTATTACCTTGTCTTAGTTTATTGTTGATTTCATTCATCTTGAAATATGTCCCTCTGTCTTTATATCTTTTTTAAGTTTATACAAGATAACCATTTTTCCATGTCATCAAAAACTCTTCATTAACATCTTTTTATGGCTGCATAATATTTCAATCCTATGTATGTCCCATAATTGTATTTAATCATATAAAAAGAAGCTGCCATGTCTTTTCTGACCCAGCTTCAGAAGTCACACTGCTGCTTGTGAATACAAGTCATCCTCTTCAGTGTGAGGGCATGACATAAAGAAGTGAATACCCCAGAGGCAAAAATTATTGAGGGCCATCTTTATTTCTCTGCGAGCATCACTAAATTCTGCTGTCATCAAGAGCAGATATATAGTAGTTGACTCAGTAAGTGTAAATGCTCAGAATAAGTTAAATATGTGGTTACAGTTTTTGTTTAACATCCAGGTACAGCTATGGATGCACTTAATAGCATGCAGAATTTCTTACGGGGTCGTCCTAAAACCTTCAAGTCTCTGGAGAATGCTATTGAATGGAGGTAACCAACAAATCTTTGTCGCCTTTATTTAATTAATTTGTTTGTTTGTTTGCTTGCTTATTTATTTATTTAGGAGACAAGGCCTCACTCTGTCACCCAGGCTGGAGTGCAGTGGCATGATCCTAGCTCACTGCAACCTTGAACTCCTAGGTTCAAGCAATCCTCCCACCTCAGCCTCCCAAGTTGCTAAGACTACAGGTACACACCACCAAGCCTGGCTAATTTTTAAATTTTTTGTAGAAACGAGGTCTTGCTATGTTGCCCAGGCTGGCTTCAAGTAATCCTCCTGCTTTAGCCTGGCCTCAAGTAATCAAGTAATCAAATTCCTGGCCTCAAGTAATCCTCCCACTTTAGCCTCCCAAAGTGTTGGGGTTGTGGCGTGAGCCACAGTGCCCAGCCACTGTTGCCTTTATTCTAAATGTTAGATTGTAGCTTTTCTTCTTTTTTAGGTCAAGCACCAAGTTCAAGGAATAGAATTTCAGTTGCCACGCCTTATTGTAATAGCATATGAGGAAACATTATATAAACAGCAGAATTTTTTGAACATTTAAAAATATTTTAGATTTGGCTCAGTTGTCTGAAACCCATTGTTTTCCCAATACACTATAGTACCTCCTGGAATCTTAGTAATTATTGATCATCTGCTGTCTAGCTGTTTCTGCCTCTGAGGTAAGAGGTTAGACTAGGTGGTTTCTAAGGCATCATCCACCTCTGATGCTTCATGGTTTTAGATTTACTTTCTGTGTTTCAGATAAAATGGTGGAGAAATGGAAGATGGCTATAGGTTCCATTCCCTCAAATTTATTTGGATTTTGGGTAAATAAACTCAATGGGTAAATAGTTTTTATAAAAATCAGTGACAGAATTCCATTTAAGCAAAGGAATGAATTTATTCATTAATTCAGTTAATCATTTGATAAAGTATTTATTAAACACTTATTTTGTGCTAATGAGTGAAGATTCAGAGATGAATAAAACACTGTCCCTTCCCACAAGGAGATCAGTCTTTGGATAAATGTCTTCATCATCCTATCTTCCTTCCTATTCTTCTAACTCCATCTCCAGTCTCTTCTTCAGAACATTTTCTCTTAAGTTCTCCAAACCACCCAGATGACGCTTTCAGCAAAATTACAAGAGACCTTTAAGTCTCTATTATATTGCACTGTATACCCTTAAGTTTTCCAATACTCCCTTGAGGGATATGGCTCATATTGTTAATTTTCATTAATGTCTGTCTTAATGCCCTTCCTGCATCATAAGGGAAGAAGCTATTCTGTATTTCTTTTCTACTTTCATATAGCATATGGCATACTGCCCTAGCAGGCAGAATATATCTGTTAACTGAATCAGATATCAAGTGGAAATTTAGGACTTGGTAAATATATCCTAGGCGTTTTCCTAGGACAAATGGTCTTATGCAAGAATATGGCTTGTCAGAATGATGTTTGTGTTGGTGAAGTTTCTACCACTTCCTGTTCACTACTGTGATGCAGGATTCCTGTTCTCACAGAAATATCAAAGATCTATCTTGGGCAGATAGCATCAAGAATGTAGCTGCTGCCAGCTTGGCTTGTATCTCAGGTGCCCTGCCTGCTTCCGCAGTAACAACAAGTGAGAAAGTTATTCTAGACTTGGCTCAGTTGTCTAAAGCCCATCCAACTTTTATCCAAACTTTTTTTTTTTTTTTTTTTGAGACAGGGTGTCACTCTGTTGCCCAGGCTGTGGAGTCCAGTGGCATGATTACAGCTCTCACCGCAGCCTTGACCTTCTGGGCTCAAGCGATCCTCCTGCCTCAGCCACCCAAGTAGCTGGGACTACAGCTGTGCACCACGATGCCCAGCTAATTTTTGTTATTTGATTTTTTTTTTTTTTTTTTTTTTGTAGAGACAGGGTTTTATCATGTTGGCTCGACTGGTCTTGAACTCCTGAGCTCAAGCAGTCTGCCTGCCCGCCTCGGCCTCTCAGAGTCATGGGATAAATGGGTATGAGCCACTACGCCTGGCCCTTTTTCCGAACTCTAAAAATTTATTCAGTAAATTTTTTTTTCTAGTGCCTAAGATGTGTCAGTACCTGATCTAAGAACTGGGGGATGAATCAGGCTCAGTTCCTATCATCAAAAAACTGGGGATGCAAACAAGGAAACACATAAACATAACACAATGAAGGAAGCCAGGGGATATACCTAATGCAGCCTGGGTATCATGGTAGGCCTTCTCTTAAAGTAGTCTTGTTTCTTTTGCCAGATACAGGATAGAATAAGGGTTCTGTTTGTTAAATGTTAAGATGTTCTGGGTTTCATGAGAGTCATTGATCTTTCTGAACCTGAAAATTATTATACTATGAGGTATTTGGTAATTTTGTTTTTTATTCTGCTGGATATCTGAATCAAGTTTATGACTGATGGCCATTTTGGCTATTCTAGATTTTTTTTTATGTTGAAATATAAGGCCAATGATTTACTGCTTTTGCTCTCATAGGTTTCCTAATGAGAGGCAGCAGGGGTATAGTCATTAAGAACCTGGGCTTTAGGCCAGGTGTGGTGGTTCACACCTGTAATCCCAGTGCTTTGGGAGGCTGAGATAGGAATATTACTTGAGGCCAGGAGTTTGAGACCAGCCTGGGCAACATAGCGAGACCCTGTCTCTACAAAAAATATATATATTTTTTTAATTAGCTGGGTGTGGTAGCATGTGCCTATAGTCCCAGCTACTCAGGAGGCTGAGGTGGGAGGATCATTTGAGCCCAGAAGTTCAAGGTTATAGTGAGCTATGATCATGCCACTGCACTTCAGCCTGAACAACAGAGTGAGACCTTGTCTCGAAACAAAACAAAAAAGTTAGGGGAAACCTGGGCTTTGAGGTCAGACAGATACAAATTTGCATCTTGGTTACACCACTCTGGCTGTTCTGAGGAAAATCAAATAGAAGAAGTGGGGAATGAGGTGTGAAGTTGGTTAGGAGACTGTTATAGTAAAGGAGAGTAATAATGGTAAACATAGACGAGGATGGCAACAGAGGAAGAGAGTCATTTTTTAATGTATTTTCGAGGTAGAACTGACAGGACTGGTTTATGGATTGGATGTTGGGAGAGAGACGGGGAAGGGCAGGAAGGGACTTAAGGATGACTTCTAGGTTTTTAGCCCAAGCAATTGGGTGAATGGTAGAAACAGAAAGAGGTAGATATGGGAGCAAATAAGGGGCAGAGAATCAGTTTTGTTTGGATAAACTCAAATGCTTATTACATATGTAAGTAGAAATGTTAAGTAGGCAGTTGTATATACTAGTTAGAAGAGGCTGAACTAGAGATAAATTGGAGAATCGTCATCACATAGTTAATATTTAAAAGTGAAAGATTGAATGTAAAGACCTAGGAACTTGATATTGATAGGAAAAAGATCCAAGACTGAGTCTTGGGATATTCCACAATATTTAGAGCTTGGGAAGAAGAGGAAGATCCAACAAAGAAACTGAAAAGGCACAGTTGATGAGATAAAAGGAAAACCAGGTGAGTATATTAAGTGTTTGTAGAAGGAGGGAGAGAATAACTGTGTCGGATGCTGCAGAGAGATCAAGTAAGATGAGGACCAAGAAATGACCATTGGAATTGGCATGATAGAGGTGACCTTGACAAAATAAATATCTGAAAATAAATGGGATATAAAAATCATATATAAGTTGGGGAAAGGATGAGAGGTGACAAAGTAGAGAAAGCAAGATAACTCTTTTGAGGAGCTTTGCTGTATAGGAGAGCAGAGAAATGGAGTAATAGGTAGTAGTGAATGTGGCATTGGGAATGTTTTTAAAGGCTGGATAATGGAGTATGCTTGTGACATCCACGAGAGAAAAAAAGTGACACAGAAGAGAGACAGGATAACTGAAAGAAAGAGTATCTTTTCAGAAGCAAGAGGGGATGGGAACTAGTGCCCAAGGTTGGCCTTGATAGGAATAGATATTTCATGTATTAAACAGGCATCAAGGCAGAGTATATTATTACAAGTATTGGTGAATTTGTGGATTCATTTGGTAGTTAAAAGATGAGGTAATAGTTCTGATTGCCTCGGTTTACCATTAAAGTAAGAAATCATGTCATTATCTGAGGAGAGGGGCTTTAAAATTTTGAATGATTTTTTAAACTAAGAAATGAGATTTAAAGAAGTGCTTTCTCCTAGTGGCTTGCTTCAGGCAGTGTTTCCAGTTCACCCTGGGAATGCAGTCATTTTGCTCTGCCTTAGTTGTACTTAGGTGGACAAATGTGAGAAGACTAATTTATTCAGATAGCCTAAGCCCTGTAGCACGGCACACAAGGCCCTGGAGAAGCTGGCGCCTGCCTTCCAATCCTATTCTGTCACGCTCCCCTTTTATCTCCTCCCTGCTTCTCCTTGCACCCAGTTCTCTAAAATCATTATCCTGCCGACTTTCACATCACAGCACCTTTGTACATAATGTGCCCTCTGCCTAGAATGCTCTAACCAACCTCTTTTATTTTCTGGTTAAACTTGTTATCTATACTCCTCAGTTTAGCTGTGACCTCTGGGGAGCTTTCTCTGACCTCCTCATTCATGTTCAAGTGCTTTCTTTGAACCTTGCCTCATTATATTAACATTATATGTGTCTTTTTCTCCCTACCGAATTATGTGCTTTTTGAATACAGGCCTGGCACCTAGTATCCTCTTGATAAATATCTGCAGAACTGAAATGGCTATGATGTTTTTACTTAATTTTTACTTATAAAACCATGTAGCCAGGTGAGTAATAGTGGCAATCTCTATAGTAAGAAACACTGGTGATCACTACTTTTTATTAGGTCTCACATAATCTGTAGAATTATTTATTTGATTCCAATGATGTGATACAATAGATACTGAATAACCTTCTCTCTTCCTTTCTTTTCTTTCCCAGTGTGAAGAGTGGCCAGATTCGAAATCTGGAGTCTGCCCGTGTCTCAATGGTTGGCCAAGTCAAACAGTAGGTCTTACTCTTCCCCCTTGGTCTGGTTAGAGGCGGAAACATGGTGAGGGAATTACAGATTGCTTCTTTTGTCTTACACCAATTCTACCATTCCGGTAAATGCCTTTATTATTTTAAATAATTTTAAAGGTGAGTTCAGTTGGGACAGACATAGATTTTCTTTCGCCTGCCTTCCTTTCTCTCCTTCCTTTCCTTCCCTTTCTTTTTTTTCCTCCTCATTTAATACTGGATTACCTTAGCAAAACTCTGCGTGTTAAAAAGCAAATCCCAGAGCATAGACATTACAAATTATGTTAACCTTAGTGATAGCAGCTGAGTTTCATTCTAGTAACAGTCTCCTTCTAAGCCAAACCTGGCTGTGAGGGAATTATAATAAAAAAGCTCTGGCATAGCCTGAGTGAAAGCCAGATTCTAAGAGTGAGCTAAGATTATTTAGCCCAATTGATCTTTCCTGATAGAATTACATGGCATTCTGGGTATTGCTGTATAGTCACAAAATAAACTTTAGATGAATTGAGAAAATGTTGCCCAACAGAACAGACAGAAGTTAGATGAAAATGATAATGGCTTTGAGTGCTTACTATTTGCCAGGCACTGTGCAAGGTATTTTATATGCACTGTCTCATTTTTA
Organism: Homo sapiens; assembly: GCF_000001405.40. NCBI lineage: Eukaryota > Metazoa > Chordata > Mammalia > Primates > Hominidae > Homo > Homo sapiens. Next base: position 74,236,601 of record NC_000011.10, read on the forward strand.
AAACCTTATATTATGGAAAAATTTTGCACATATAAAAGAAGAGTGATACAGTGGATGGACCCCAGTGTTCCCATTGTCCATTTTCAATGGTTATTAACCCATAACCATGTCTCATTTGTTTCATCTGTGCCCCTATGTATTTCCCCTAGTCACAAAATATTTTGAAGCAAATTCCAAACAAATATAATTTCCTCTGCAAGATTTTCATATGATCTAAAAATAAGGGCTCTTTAAACATCATCACGATGACATTATTACACGTAAAAAAATTGGCAATTCTTTAATATCATCAAATATCTAATCAATATTTACATTTCTGATTGTCTCATAAATAATTTTTTACAATTAAAGTCAAAATCAAAATAAGTAGATAGCAATTGGTTGATCCACCTCTCATGCATCTTTTAATCTAAGGTTCCACTTCTGTCTCCCTCTTTTTTTTGATTCCTTGCAATTTATTTCTTGAGGAAACCTTGTTTGCCCCATAGAATTTCCCATGATCTGGATTTGCTGATTGAATTCTCAGGCCATAATTTAACATATTCCTTTGTTCCTTATATTCTGTGTAAATAGTTAAATCTAGAAGCTTCATCGGGTTCAGGTGTTTTGTTTGCAAGAATACTTGATAGGTGATGTTGCGTACTGCCATCAGGAAGTACATAATGTCTGGTTGTCTTTTTTTTTTTTTTTTTTGAGACAGAGTCTCACTCTGTCGCCCAGGCTGGAGTGCAGTGGCGCGATCTCAGCTCACTGCAACCTCTGCCTCCCAGGTTCAAGCAATTCTCCTGCCTCAGCCTCCTGAGTAGCTGGGACTACAGGCATGTGCCACCATGCCCGGCTAATTTTTTATATTTTTAGTAGAGGTGGGGTTTCACTGTGTTAGCCAGGATGGTCTCTATCTCCTGACCTCATGATCCGCCCACCTCGGCCTCTCAAAGTGCTGGGATTACAGACGTGAGCCACCATGCCCAGCCAATTGTCTCTTTTTTTTTAATGTCAGGAGCCGTTGATGTTTATTACCTAGATTCATTAATTCATTTGCACTATCTCATTTAATCCCTACAATACCTCTTTAAGATAAGTATTGCTTTATAGATGAGGAAATAGAAGTTCAGAGAGGTAGTTTCCCAAGATCACATAGCTAGTGGATGACATAGCTGAGATTCAAACTCCTGTGTATTTGACTTCAAGGCCTATCTTATGGTTTTATGCCTAAAAGGGCAATTTCAGTAGAAATATCAGGCAGTCAAAATGCAAGACTTTGAATAACCTGTGAGACTGCCCACTTTTCAATTCCTAAATATTTTGAGACCTCAAATTTGTCTAATCAGTAGTAAAGCATTTTACATGGCATATATGCAGATAGTTGAGTGATTTTAAAATTTTATTTCCAGTGATGTTTTCTCTTAATAAGTAAACCTATGTGTAGGAGAGTGTGTATGTGCATGTGTATTAACTGTCACATAGATAGCTGGAACTTTCCTGCCCCTTATAATCCAGGTGAAATTGCCTTGAACCTCCTAATCCACAGGCTATAGAAATTCAAAGCATATGTTTCTTTGTTACACTGTTTTTTTTTTTTTTATCACATCTATACTGTATACTACATGTGAAACTTGGCACAAGTTTCATATAAAACACCTACTTAACAAAACATTTGTGAACTTACACTTCACTGAAGGTTTGGCAGAGAAGACAGAAAGGGAGAAGTTATCATTCTTAAAAATCTACCGCTGACTTTTGAATTTATCCCAGTCTCTTTTTATCTTGCTTGTTCTCTCTCCTTTTCCTTCTCTGTCTTTGTCAAGGGCAAAATAACAGATTGTTCTCTATCATACAGAGCAAACCTTGGCACTAGCTGTTGCCCAGGCCCTTGGGATTTTTTTACCTTCAGAGCTTGTCAATGTGTTTTTTCCATCAAGTTCTCTCTAAAGGAAGTATGGTACCAGCTGTTGATATAATAATAATTTTTCTACCAAAGAATATAATAAAAAGAGATGCAATTTTTAAGAGAAAAACAACAATGATAATTGGTTGGTTCAGATGGTTTCTGTCAGCTAATTAAAAAGTGAGGCCTTTTATCATTCTGTTTGAGCCTTGTTCTACTATAAGCAGGGTTCAGCAGAAAAGCACCATGTTTTGGAGTTAGTTGAGCCTGGATTTGCATCCCAGCCTTAACCACTTATGAGTTAGGTGATGCTGGACAATTTTCTTAACTCTTCAGGGCTACTTCATAGGATTGTTATGAAGATTATATAAGATTATGCCAATAAAACTCATGCCTGAGGAAGTGGTTGCTCCCTTTCTATGGGTCAGTATTGGTGCAAGAACTGGAAACCAGCCCTTGGAGAATAGTTATACATTGGCCATGATTTTCCACAGCCCTGGAAATGCACAATTCTATCCTCCTACCAGGATGATTGTTAAGTTTTAGCTAACATTTGATTATAAAAGGCCGTAAGTATGAGTATCTCTGAGATAATTTGTGTATTGGAAAGAGGTGTGTAATAGCACTTTTTTAAAAAAACCTAGGTGTGAAGGAATTACAAGTCCAGAAGGCTCAAAATCTATAGTGGAAGGAATCATAGAGGAAGAAGAAGAAGATGAGGAAGGAAGTGAGTCTATAAGCAAGAGGAAAAAGGAAGATGACATGGAGGTGGGTAAAAACATTCATTCTTGAAAAGATGCGGTATGGAATGGTTCAAACTGTGTGTGGGTGGGAAGGGGTGATAACATTGTTCTTTTTGTTTGCCATTAGGTATTTTAGGGAGCCAAGACACTATCATAAGAGATACTTAGCTTAACTATAAGATGTAAAGCACTGTTGATAGCTCTGACCAATTGGAACATAAAACTTACGCTATATACCCTCCCCTAAAACAGACTGCTTTCTCACCTGTTCTTCTGTTCCTGTGTTTCCTCCCATGAGAAAAATTCCATTTCCTACCAGTCTACTCTAAGCTCATCCAGATCTTTTTTTTTTTTTTTTTTTTTGAGACAGAGTCTTGCTCAGTCACCCAGGCTGGAGTACAATGGCGCGATCTCGGCTCACTGCAAGCTCCGCCTCCCGGGTTCACGCCATTCTCCTGCCTCAGCCTCCCATGTAGCTGGGACTACAGGCGCCCGCCACCACACCCAGCTAATTTTTTTTTGTTATTTTTAGTAGAGACGGGGTTTCACCGGGTTAGCCAGGATGGTCTCAATCTCCTGACCTCGTGATCCACCCGCCTTGGCCTCCCAAAGTGCTGGGATTACAGGCGTGAGCCACCATGCCCGGCCTAAGCTCATGCAGATTTTACCCTGTCCATCTGTCTTTCAAAGTTTTTCTCCTTGAGGAAGCTCTTTAATTTTCTTTCCATTTTTTTTTTTTTTTTTTTCGTTTGAGACTGGGTTTTGCTATGTTGCCCAGGCTGAATTCCTTGGCTCACGTGATCATCCCACCTCAGCCTCCCCAGTAGCTGTAGCTGGGACTACAGGTGCGTGCCACCACACCCAACTTCCCTGGGGAAGCTTTCTGACCTCAATTAGTATCACTGTCTTTCCAACACAGCACTGAAAGTCTGTATGACACACCTTAGCACTTTTTTTTTGAAGTTGTACATATTAAGTCATAGAACTGATTTTATAAGTCACACTCAGAAATACTATGGTCCTTTGCTAGTCATCTGTTGACTCATGTTGTCCTCTGTGCAAGAATTGTATTCCAAACAAACAAAAAATGTGTATTTTGTGGCAGAAACTGATGTTCTGCATGAATTTCCCTCTGCATTTAGCTCAGGGTTGTATAAATAGTGTTTTATGAGTACTTGCCAGGCAAGTAGTGGTAACAAGTGCTTTTTTCTTGAAAATGTTTAGTGCTCATGAACAGCAGACTAGGGATGGTTTCGATTATAAACATCTTACTAATGGCAGGTAATGAACATGTAATGACCTACTCCTTTGCATTTGGTGATGCTGCTGTTAGCAAGAAGGAGAATACATTTTTAAACAGTATTTTAAATTTGAGGATCTTCTTGCCATCTTTAAAACAGTGATCAGAAATGTAATACTTTGTACCTCTTTAGAGTTTACAAGGGTTTAAATAACGCATGGTCTGTTTGGTCCTCTGAACACCTTATGAGGTGTGGAGAGATCTTTTCTCCCATATTATGGTGTAGAATCTGAGGCTCAGAAGTTAAGAGACTTGCCCAAGGTAATCAAGAACGCATTTAGTAGATTTGAGACTCTTAATATAATCAATTGCTTTTTACCCATTATGTGCTAAGCACTATGCTGAATGCTTCACATTTATCATCTCTAATTCTCATTTTAGTTCTGCATTGTAGGTATTATCACCATTTTACAACTTAGGTACAGATACTTGCCCATGGTCACACATAAAAGTTAAAGCTAAAACACACCCAGATCCTCGATTTTTAATTCTAACTCATTTTTTCTTTGTATTTTTTTATAAGCCCAATTATGTGGTTTCATAAACTCCAGCAGTTCTGTTGAGAGGGTGAACTGAGGCACATTAAGGAGTGTCCATGAGAATTCACTCCCCATTTCTCCCCAACCCTCCCAGCTTAGGCAACCACTAATCTAATCTCTATAGATTTGCCTAATCTGGACATTAAATATAGATGGAACTATATAATATGTGGTCTTTTGTGACTGGCTTCTTTTCTCTTAAAATAAAATTATCAGGGTTCATCCATATTGTAGCACGTATCAAATACTTCATTTCTCTATATGGTTGAATAATGTGACATTGTATGGCTATACCACAGTTTTTAATCCATTCATCGCTTGATGGACATTTGGGTTGTTTCCACTTTTTGTCTATTATGAATAATACTTCTTTGAACATTTGTGTGCAACTTTTTGTGTGGATATAGGCTTTTATTATTTGTCTTGGGTACACAGCTGGGAGTGGAACTGATCGATCATATGGTAACTATATTTAACCTTTTGAGGAACTGACAGACCGTTTTCCAAAGCAGGTGCACCCTTTTACATTCGCACTTGCAGTGTATGCGTGTTCCAGTTTCTCAGTATCCTTGTCAGCACTTGTTATTTTCTCTCTTTTTGATTATAGCCATCCTAGTGTGTATGAAGTGATATCTGATTGTGGTTTTGATTTTCATTTTCCTAATGACTGCTGATATTGAGTTTCTTTTCATGTGCTTATTGTCCACTTATATATCTTCTTTGGAGAAATGTTTGTTAGATACGTTGCCCATTTTTTACTTGGGTTATTTGATTTTATTACTGAATTTTAAGAGTTCTATATATATTCTAGATACAGATCCCTAATTTGCAAATACTTTCTCCCATTCCATGGGTTGTCTTTTCACTTTCTTGATGGCATTCTTAGAAGTATAGACGTTTTTAATTTTGATGAAATTCAATTTATTTTTCTTTTTGTCCCTTGTACTTTTGGTATTATATCTAAGAAGTCTTTGCCTAAAAGTCATGAAGATTTATACCTATGTTTTCTTCTAAGAATTTTCTTGTTTTAGCTCTTACATTTAGGCCTATGTTCCATTTTGAGTTAATGTTTGTGTATGATATCAGGAATGGAACCAACTTCATTCTTTTGCATGTAGATACCCAATAAACAGCCTGTCCCAGCTCCATTTATTGAAAAGGCTCCTTTTTCCCCATTTAATTGTCTTGGCACCTTTGCTGAAAATCAATTGACTATAAATGTTAGATTTTATTTCTGAACTCTGAATTCTATTCTGTTGATCTATATGTCTGCCCTTATGCAAGTACCACACTGTCTTTGTTATTGTAGCTTTGTTGTATGTCTTGAAATCAGACAGTGTGTAAGTCCTCCAACTTTGTTCTTCTTTTTCAAGGTTATTGACATCCTATATATTTTTTAAAAATTTTAATACTTGTTTATGTGCCAGACCACGCTCCTGTTGTTTTACATACATGAGTATCTTTAGCTCATCCTTACAATTCTTTCAGATCTTGTGTTGCCAATTTCACAGCTAAGAAAACAGTCTGGGGTTGGGTGCAGTGGCTCATGTCTGTAATCTCAGCGCTTTGGGAGGCCGAGGTGGGTGGATCACGAGGTCAGGAGATTGAGACCATCCTGGCCAACATGGTGAAACCCCGTCTCTACTAAAAATACAAAAATTAGCTGGGCGTGGTGGCGTGCGTCTGTAGTCCCAGCTACTCGGGAGGCTGAGGCAGGAGAATCGCTTGAACCCGGGAGGCAGAGGTTGCAGTGAGCCGAGATTGTGCCACTGCACCCCAGCCTGGGCGACAGAGTGAGACTCTGTCTCAAAAAAAAAAAAAAAAAAAAAAAAACAGGCTGGAAGAAATTAAGTAACTTTCCCAAGGGACCCACAGTGATTAGTTAAGAATGGCTTTGGGACTTGCATTCAGTCAGATCTGACTGACACAAAGCGTTATGTTTTTAAACACTTTTCCAGTGAAACAATGGGAGATAATGCAAGGCCTGTGGTGGATGCCCTTGTGTGGAGAACTGCATCTCGCCCAGGTAAACATCCCAGGAAGATTGTTAGCCAACTTTCTGTTTCTCCCACCCAACAACAAGTGGATCTCATTATATCAGCCTGCTTTATTACCATTTTCACAGCATCTAATAGGCATCTAAACTAAACTTCATGATCCAGCTCTTTGGAGAAAGGATTTATTTCCAATAACCTAAATACAGAAGAAATCCTAATTCTGTCCAGAATTTTTTTTTTTGGTTTTGCAAATTTTAAGATTTGAGATGAACTGTTATATATATATATATTATAATGTTACTTTTTGGAGGTTTTCTTACCTTAAATTTGTCATTTCCCTGTGAAGTTCAGTGTGCATGTAGGAGGGGCTTGTGAGATTATGCCTTGTCTCTGACGGTGGAGCTGATCTCTTAGAAATGGCTCATAGTGTTGTGGGGAATAGGACAGGCTGAGGTTCCAGGTTGAAATGGCAGTAAGTGTTTCCTTTAAAGTGTCCTATCCCTGGTAAATATTAACAGTGGAGAATAGAATTAGTTCTTTAGTGAGAATATTTGAATCATAAGGTACCTTTGTATCTCCTTTTACTGATGGAAGACCAAGGCCCAAAGAAGGGAAGGGATCTGAGAAAATCAGTGGCAAAGATAGGACTAGAAGACCCAAGTTTCTTGATTTCCCATCTGGCGATCTTTTTCTTTTTCTTTTCCTTTCTTTCTTTCTTTTTTTTTTTTTTACTGTGATAAAAAACAAAAACAAAACAAAAAACAACCCATAAAATATGCCATCTTGGTAATTTTTAAGTGTACAGTTAATATTCACATTGTTGTGAAACATCTGAGATTTTATGCCTATTAAACAACAACTCCCCTTTTCTAAAACTCTTCCAAAGGCCCCTGGTTGCCACCATTCTACTTTCTATGAATTTGACTATTTTAGATACCTCATATAAGTGGGATCATATATTATATGTCTTTTTGTGACTGGCTTATGTCACTTGGCATAATGTCCTCAAAGTTCAGTCCCTATGCAGCATGTGATAGCATTTCTTTCCTTTTTATGGCTGAATTATATATGTATATACCACATTTCGTTTATTCATTCATCCATCAGTGGCCATTTGAGTTGCTTCCACCTCTTGGCTGTTATCCATAGTGCTGCTATGAACATGGGTTTGCAGATCCCTCTTTGAGATTCTGTTTTCAATTCTTTGGATATGTACCCAGAAGTGGGATTCCTGGATCATACAGTAGTTCTGTTTTTAATATTTTGAGGAACTGCCTTGATGTTTTTCTTATTGGTTGAACTATTTTACAACTCAGTACACAAGGGTTCCTTCCGAATTCTCCACATCCTCACCAACACTTATTTTTCTCTTTTTTGATAGTAGTCATCCTAATGGGGGTGAGGTGGTATCTCATTGTGGTGTTGCTGTGCATTTATTTATTGATTAGTGATGTTAAGCATCGTTTCATATGCTTATTGGCCACTTCTGTATCACCTCTAGAGAAATGTCTATTCAAGCCCTTTGACCATTTTTTAATCAGGTTACTCGATGTTTTTAGTTGCTGAATTGTAGGAGTCCTTTATATATTCTGAATATTAATCCATTATAAGATATATGATTTGCAAAGATTTTCTCCCATTCCATACACATAGTACCATTTGTCTATTTTTGCTTTTGTTCACTGCTTTTTGGTGTCATATCCAAGAAATCATTACCAAGTCTACTGTCCAGCTTTTCCTCCATGTTTTCTTCTAGGAGTTTTATAGTCTTAGTCTTACTAGGTCTTTAATCCATTTGAGTTAATTTTTGGATATGGGATAAGGCCCCAGCTTCACTTTGGAATATGCATATCTGTTTGGTTATCCCAGTACTGTTTGTTGAAGAGACTGTTCTTTCCCCATTGAGTGGTCTTGGCAGTCTTGTCAAAAATCATTTGACTATTTATGTGAAGGTTTATTTTTGGGCTCTCTATTCTATTCCACTGGTCTATTTGTCTTTACGGCAGTACTAAGCTGTTTCAATTACTGCAGCTTTGTAATTGGGGAGTGTGAGTTCTCCAATTTTGTTCTTCTTCAAAATTGTTTTGGCTAGTCAGTGTCTATGAGATTCCATATGAATTTTAAGGTGATTTTTTTTATTTCCTAAAAAAAAAAGCCATGGGAATTTTGATAGAGATTATATTGAATCTGTGGATTACTTTGGGTAGTATGGACATCTTAAGCATCCAGTGATCTTTAAGATAATATGTTACTATCTCATGTTCACTTTTAGATTTTCATATTGTGGTTGATTCAGTATATTTATTTCAATTATAATGTTTCAAATATTTCAATGGTACAGAAAAATATAGAGAATTATTTATTTTTTCAGCCAATATTTGATTGCATACTCTGTGCTTATCTACAATAAAGATTTAATAAATGTTGACATTTTGTCATATTTGTCTCATATTTCCTTTCAAAATTACTATTGCAGGAACATTATATCATTATCATAAAATATAAGAAAAAATGCTCTACTGACAAATCAACCTATTTTCAGTTTTCCTTTTTAGTACTTTACTATACCACATTTTTCCAGTAGTAATCCTAACTTAGATGACATGTTGTAATCTGTTTCTTGCTTATATTATAAGCATTTTTTCATACTGCAGTATGTTCTTTGTAGTTATTCTTTTGATGAAACATCCTTTTGCCAACCAAGTATAAGAAAGGCTTAATCTTGGCACTACCACTTACTAGCTTTGTGATCTTAAGAAAGTTTCCTAAATTCACAGAAACTAATAGCAATAAAAAGTAAACTTGTAATTATCTTAAAATGAATATTAACAGTGACCCATACAACAAGACTGTTGGAAGGATTGAATGTATATTAAAATGTCTAGGACTTAGTAGGTCCTTAATAAGTGCTAGTTTCCTTCCCTTTCCTTTTCCCAGGGATCTAGTTTTTAATCCTGTTCCTCCAGGGGTTGCCCTCGGAGACTCAGAACTTGCTCTTATTCCTCCAGACCAAGAAAGACCATCCATACACCTGGAGAATTGAACTGGCAAAAACAGAAAAATACTGGGACGGCTGGTTCCGAGGCTTATCCAATCTCTTTCTTAGTTGTCCCATTCCTAAATTGCTGCTCTTGGCTGGTAAGTGTATATGTGCATATATTAGTCAGCTCAGGCTGCCATAACCAAATATCATAGACTGAGTGGCTTAAACAACAGAAATTTATTTTCTCACAGTTCTGGAGGCTGGAAGTCTGAGATCAGGGTGCCAGCATGGTCAGGTTGTGGTGAGGGCTGTCTTCCTGGCTTGCCTTCTCTCTGTGCCCTCACATGGCCGAGAAAGAGTGAATGTGAGCTCTCTGGTGTCTCTTCTCTTAAGGATATTAATTAGGGACGTTCATCCTATCATGTCAGAGCTCTGCCCTCATGACCTGAGGTTACGTCCTTATAGGCCCTAGTTCCAAATACAGTCACATTGGGAATTGGGGCTTCAACATGAGTTTTAGGGGGACACAACTCAGTCCATAGCAGTGTTGGTATATTGTCATCTCAATATGACCTCATTAAAACTTCTCACCAAATGAGTAGTGACATCCAAAGTAGAGTACCTTCCTCATTCATCTATGCCTTTTCTCCTCCCCACACCCAGTCTCTAAACCTAACTAAGCATAAGCATTCATCTAAGCATAAAGGATGACCTAATTCTGGCCTGGCCTGTCTACTTGGTCAAGCTCAAGTCCTTCTTAGTCTAGAGCTAGATGCAGTGGTATAAGGATATTCTGATTATTATGAGAATTAAAATAGTAAAACCTTGTTTTCAGAACCAGTTTAACATAGTAATTATAGGGGAATCTCAACCTGAAAAGTTTTATCTGGTGGTGAGAGTATGCTCTGGGAGTTAGGATTGGTATAAACATGAATGGAGAATGTCATCATATTTAAAACTTTGTAACACTTTTTACTTAATACGTGAACAGCAAAATCTGTTTCACAATGAATTCTCTTGTTTTCTAGGTGTTGATAGATTGGATAAAGATCTGACCATTGGCCAGATGCAAGGTAAGTTATCAAGAAATTATACCCCTGGACCCTTTTCTGAAGAAAGGGTGATAGGGCAGTTAACATCCTGAGATAGTGAGGTATAACGGAGAAAGCATGAGCTTTAGAGTCCGACCCAAGTTGGACATCCGCCTCTACTCCTAACACACTATATGATTATGGGCAAGTATTTCCCTTTCCTGAGCTTTAATTTGTTTAAAAAAAAATCCATCCAAAAATGAAGATTATAATACTACTACCTATGTCTCAGTTATAAGAGTTAAAATGAGGCAATGTGTTTAAAAATTATAAAGTACTGTATAGGTGTATGATACTGTGAAAAGAGATATTCTGACTACTGATCAGTTTTTTGTTTGTGGGTTTTTTTTTTTTTTTTTTTTTTGAATTGGAGTCTCACTCTGTTGCCCAGGCTGGAGTGCGGTGGGACCAATCTCGGCTCACTGCAACCTCTACCTCCCAGGTTGAAGCAGTTCCGGGCCTCACCCACCCCAGTAGTGGGATTACAGGCATGCACCACCACGCCCAGCTAATTTTTGTATTTTTAGTAGAGATGGAGTTTCACCATTTTGGCCAGGCTGGTCTCAAGCTCCTGACCTCAAGTGATCCACCTGCCTTGGCCTCCCAGAGTGCGAAGATTATAGGTGTGAGCCACTGCAGCTGGCCAGTATTTTTCTTATTGTTAGAAGTTTTAGGAAAGGGAAAGGCTCAAGATAATCCAGATATAAAAAGGTATAAATACCTGTTTAGAAGACAGCATGGTAAGATGGTAAAAGTAAGGTCTCTGAAGTTCGGAAAACTGAGTTTTGAATACTGCTTTTCCAGTAATTTTTTGACTCTGGGCAAGTTATCTGACTTGCCTCAGCTTTAGTCTTCTTAATCTGGAAAATGAAAAAACTGATGGCAGCCTCAAACAGATCGTGGGGTATAATGAGTAGGAAAGTGACATGCTGAGCACTGTATACAGATGCATGTATGTTAGCTAGATAACAGTGGAGGCAGCGGGTCCAATTTTGTGGGGGCTCTTGCTTTAGTACGGGTAAAAGACTCAGTGAAGGTGAAGCCAGTAGGCATACAACTTTTGGGTTATGGGAAGAAGAGGTGCCAACTCCAAGACCAAAGTTTCAGGCTCAGGCAGAATCTGTTCTAGACCTTTCTTCCCTACTTACTCTCCCTGGACAATTTCATGGCTTCCATTTATATATTGATGACTCCCAAAGCTAAACATCCACCTCACCCCTCTCTCCTGAGATCCAGTCCTAGCCTATGTAGCAAACCTGCTGGATATCTCATGGGCCTCTCAAACTGTTCTTTTAGCTATCCTCAAGCTTTCCACAGCAAAAGGAGCTATATTCTCTCATAATAGTTGTTCAAAGGCTCTCACATATAAAACTCTGGTCCCAGACCTTCATGGCTTTGCCTTCCTTTAACTACATTGTATCCTGAGGCCTAGAATAGGACTATGAGCTGGGACTGTGTGATTTTTTTTCCATGGCACTGATGTTGGTAATTATGGGCTTAGACACTTATTTAAGTAGATGCTTATAAATGTCTAAGCCCGTAATTACCAACATGAGTGCCATGAAATTGAATCTAAGACACTTAAGTTCAATTCAAGAAACCTTTCCTAGGCACCCTTTCTGTGCAAGACCTATGCATGATGCTGGGCAGACAGAAGAATCAGATATGGCCCCTGAGACTGCCTGAAGGCAGTTGACATGGACTGGGATAGCATTTGAAATCATTGTTGATCACCAGCCTTGGAATCAGACAATCCTGGGTTTGAATCACTGTTAATAGTTTTGCGGTATGAGTGAATTCCTAACTTATTTAATTTTGAGTTTCTTCATCTGTGAAATGGAGATAATGATATATCTCAGTACAGTTACATGAAGTTTAAATGAAAAAAATGCGGGTAGTCTAACAAATGATGCCTTTCATTATATTCAGGAAGTAATCACGATTCCTTATGAGATGTCCTCCTGTTTCCTCAATATGGATTATATCAAGACCACCTTCTGGTTTAAAGAAAGCCTCCTATGAGTATAGAGAGTAAATGGCGAGGATAAGGAACATTCCACAGAACAAAGGGAAATGGCTAAGGCTGCATAGATTCCAAACCACAGCTTTGCCAGCACTGTGTTCAAACCAACTGACTTAGTTATGAAATCCTGGAAAACTACCACCTATTCATAGTACCCCTTGGGTAAATAATTTAGGCTCTCTGAACCTAAGGCTCCTAATCTGTGCAATGGGAGAGAAGAGTTTGGAAATATTCCCACCTCATAGAATAATCATGAGGATTACCCATGAACATGTTATTTTATGTGTACCTGGCACAGTGTTGTTGGTGTATGTGAGTTCTCTCTGATTATACCTACTCTTCCAAAGAGGAAGGACAAATGCGTCCCTAGTCATCAGAGCTGATCTAACAGAAAGAACAGGGAGATTGGAGTTGTAAGTTTTGGATCTAGTCATTTGTTCATCATTCATTCGCTAAAGACTTAAGCATCTACTCAGTGCCCTACCCTGTGTTAGGTCTTATTAGGGATATAGAGCAAGTAATAACACCATTGTCCCCTGTTCTTATGGAAATGACACACTCCTGGGGAGGCAAGCACCAGTGGCATGTAAAATGTAAACTTACTTGAAACTTACAAGAGGGCCATGTGCTGCTCTGTGTTTGGATCCAAGTGCATTAACAACTTTAGGAGCTAGAAGGGAGAGGTGACTAGGCTTGAGCACCCAGAGAGAGGCAGCTTACTGCAGGAGGAGGGGCACAGGATGGACTTTACTAAATGGGATCATCTTATTCCTCCACTAATTAATGAAGTGGCCTTGGGCAGGTTACTTCACTAATCATGGCCTCAGTTTCATCATCTCAGAAAAGAATTTCAGTATTTTTGTGCTTAATTGTATAGGGTAGATTTTGAGAATCAACTTTAAAAATGGATAGAAGAATACACTGAAAACTTTTGAATCCTGCGTAACTGGGGTAAGAACCACAGGATGTAATGACCAGAAGAACTTTCAAGCCCATTCCTTTATTTTATAAATAGAGAATCTGAGGCTGAGAAAATCTGCTGTCTCTACTTATGGGGGCTCTGGGTCTCATATCCTTTAGTCTCCTTAGGGATCTTCTTTATCAGTCATCGCTGTTCATTCTCAATCATTGTCGCATTAGTTACGAGCTTACAGTGTTCTGTAAGACAGTATGAGAAAGTGCTTAGTACAATGCCTGGCACATGCTTAAGTGCTCAGATGGTAACTTATTATTGTAATAATACATTTTGAATCCTTAACATAGCTTACAAAATCCTTAATGGTTTGGCCCCTGCTTACCTCTCCAGCCTTATTGTTAACCACTCTCATAAGCACCATGCCAAGCTTCTTGTATTCCAAGCCATTTCAAGCCTTCCTTCCTTCCTGGTTCCCTCTTGGATTGTGAAGTTCCCTTTCTTATGCTCTTACAGCCCCATGTAGCCAGTTTTATCATAGGAATGACATGCTGCATTAAAATGTTGGTTTTTGTGTTTTACTCCCCTACTGGACTGTAAATCCCCTGAGGACAAGAACTGTTTCTTCTATGTGTCTCTGGCCCACAGTAAATGTACACTAAATAGGACAGAAGGAAAAAGTGAAGGGAAATGATTGGCGCAAGGTTACAATTACTTGTATTACCATCCTCAGCAAGACTTGATAATTGGGTCCAGAGTATTGAGGTGAGGTTGGAAATGGGGAGGTAGGTCCTGGGCTCCTGGAATGACCTATGAGGCTGCATAAGAGAGGGCTCTTTTAGTCGCTGAAGTTGCCTTGCTTTGATTCCTCTCCAGGGAAGTTCCAGATGCAGGTCCTACCCCAGTGTGGCCATGCAGTCCATGAGGATGCCCCTGACAAGGTGAGTCTGGTGCTCAGTGACTGTAAAAGGACAACTGTGAGAATAACCCTGGATGTCACAGAAGACAAGTCTCTGAGTCTCAGCCTGCATTGCCTGCAGCAGCTGCTGTGGAGCCTATGCAGATGCAGTTCCACCAGCTCTCCAACTTCTCCCTGGCAGCTGCTTATGGTATTGGTTTTGTGTATATGTGCTGAGGAGCTACTGACACTCTGCTATTTCATCCCAGGGCCCTGTGGTTAAGATCTTAAGCTCTACTTCTCCAATACCCCCAAAAGCCAGAGATGGAAGAGGGATGATTAGGGTAGAAACTGCTCCCTAAACCACAGGCACAGTTAGGAATTAATATGGGCTCCTCCTGTGAGAAAACACCATTCTGTAACTCTGAGGGCACACATAAGCCCTTCACGTCATTCCTCTTGAGCTCTATGGAGCTATCCCTGGCAAGGATAGTGGGGAGGAGTCTTCTAGCTCTGCTAGGGAGGGCCTAGGTCCTTTTAATTTCAAGCCACTCAGACCTGTGGGTGGGATGAGGGCACCGTAGAGCCTAACCATCTAACAGTAGCTCACAGCCCAAGGCTAAGCCCCATCACTAACCTTTATATGGCCTGGAATATCTCTCCCATTTCCAGGTAGCTGAAGCTGTTGCCACTTTCCTGATCCGGCACAGGTTTGCAGAACCCATCGGTGGATTCCAGTGGTAAGGCGGGTACAAGGGTTTAAGAACCCAGCAGTGCTGGCCGAATCTGACAAGCAGACACTTGTAGGACTGTAAATATCTCTGCCTTACCCCTGCCTGGTTTGGTCACCATGCCTTTCTTCCTCCTCCTCAGTGAAGAGCCTGGCATGTCTGTTTCTACAAAGCCATGGTTGGTTGTTTCTTTGTGCTGTGCTCCCACGGGTTGATGCTGAGGCTGTGATTAAATTGTGCCTAGTCTCACTCCCCACTGTGATGTGCATTTCTTCTTGAGGTGCCCCTTTGAGGAGGCTGGGATAGGAATCAGTCCTTTTCCAGGCTCCTAGAGAAGTTTTCTTTGGCTTCTCCTGCCCTGCTGCCAAGGAAAGCTGGGCAGGCCATGGAGCAGGGCTTTTTTTTTTTTTTTTTTTTCTTGGCACAGTCTTGGTTCACTGCAACCTCTGCCACCTGGGCTCAAGTGATCCAGTGCCTCAGTCTCCCGAGTAGCTGGGATCACAGGCGTACGCCACCGTACCCGGCTAATTTTGTTTTTTTTTTTGTTTTTTTTTTTTTTTAGTAAAGATGGTGGTTTCTCCATGTTGGCCAGGCTGGTCTTGAACTCCTGGCCTCAAGTGATCCACCCGCATCGGCCTCCTAAAGTGTTGGGATTATAGGGATTATAGGCACAAGCCACCGCGCCTGGCCTAGAGCAGGGTTTTCTACAGTGTTGCACAGTGTCTTCCCATGGCCAGCTACTAAGCAAGCTGGGAATGGAATGGGTGCCTCTGCCAGGCTTGCTTCCCCTCCCTTTCCGAAGCTGGCAGAATATTAGCCACTCTGCAGGGGTGATCCTGGAAGCTCTAGAGCAGGGTTTTCAACCTCAGCTTTATTGACATTTTGAGGTGGATAATTCTTCATTGTGGGGACTGTCCTGTGCATTGTAGGATGCTTAGCAGTATCCCTGGCTTTTACCCACCTGATAACAGTAGTACCCCTCCCACACACGGTTTTGACAAACAGAAATGTCTCCAGATTTTACCAAATGCCTCAAGGGAGGCAAAAATTCCCCCTCTATTGGTCTAGAGGAAGAAACAGGGCCAGGTCTCTCATCCTAGGTAGCTCTTCATCTGTTTAGGGAAACACAGTTGGGCTCTTTGTTGAGGAAGAAGAGAGGCATGTTGACCAAACCAGGTGGTATTGACCCACCTCAGCCAGCTCCTAGTCTGTACTGCAGAAGGCCTTTGATCCTCAGAGAGCCCACAACCCTCATGAGGAGTCATTCCTACCATTGAAAAGTCTCTTCTCTGATTTTGGTGAGGGCTTGGGGAAACTTGTTCCCCACTCTCAGAAAGTTTGCAGAAGAAATATTAAGAAAAGGAAATGGCTTCTGCGTTAGAGAACTCTGAATTCCAGGGCCTGGGAGATGAGAGTGACAGGGCAGGGTAAGCACTGGAGATGATGGCAAGACCTTGGGACAGTGAACCACAGAAGCGACACCCCTATGCTGAGCCATCCCTCTAACAACTGACCATTCATGGATCCCAGGAACCAACAATAAAGACTTAATTTCTCTTACTAAACAGTGTTTGGCTGGGGCCCTTCGACCATTTGGAGCCTTGGGCAAATGAGCAGCACACTGAGAGCAGACCCTGGGTCCAGCTCTGGTCAGGGCTGTGAAATGGGTCAGATTTGCCAGGGCCTTGGTGGTCATTAGGGAGGGCTTCCTGGAGGATACAGATAAGCAAGGGAAAGCTATTGATAGTTACATTTGTTTTTCCTTCTCTTTCTGTTCTTCCACAGTGTGTTTCCTGGCTGTTAGTGACCTGCTGTCCACCCCTCCTCAACATCGAGCTCTGTTGTAAATACGTCGCACCAGAGGCCACTGTGATGCCACTGTCTCCTCTCCATCCCGCCCAGCCATGTGACACTGGCTCCCGGTAGACGGGCACCCCGAGATGTACCAACCTTTTCATGTATTCTGCCAAAAGCATTGTTTTCCAGGGCCCTTGACCAACATCGGCTTCCCCAGTCCAGGGCTCCCCTGCTCCTTTCCCTTCCCTGTACTGGGGTAGCTCCTGCCTGCTCTCCCTGCGTTGCCTAGGGTAAAGCCTCCAGATTTGCCATACTGAGCCCCTCTTCCTAGCATCAGGCGATACATCTGAGTTCAAATGTCTTCCCAGGCTCAGGGACCTCCATTCCTTGAGATTGTCTTGGCATGGCCCAGCCCTGCCTCATGGGATGGACAATGCATGGGGTGGTCTTTATTTTTCCCTTTCAAATAAAACACTAGTCAGGTACCGTTTTATCCCAGTCGTACTCTTCCAGGTTTGGAAGACCCAGAGAGGCCAAGATCCCATCCTTAGCCATAGCGAGCGGTGGTGGTGGATAGCATCACAAGAAACGAGCCTGAAAATCAGGTCCAGCCGGTCCAAGCACATGGCCTCCCATCTGGGAGAGCCCACTGTCCCACTCCCACATGTCTGGGCACCTGCCCTGGGCTGAGGCCAGGCTGCTCCAGGGGCCTCCTGCGCCCTCACCTGCCACAGAGCAACCCAGGTTAAATACAGCCCATGCACAAAGCCACAGGCCAAAGCCTATGGAATTGTTTTTAATCATCAAATTTAACCATTTTCATAACTGGTTCCTGGAGGTGTGCAGTGCCCCCTTGCCTCTTCAAACCTACAGCTTCTCTTTGCCATTTGTGGATTTCACATCACTCCACACAGAAACATTACAGCCTGGCATCCCCAGTCTTTGCCTTCTTCCAGCTGCCTCGACACAGCACTGTGGCCTGTCCCTATTGCCCAGGCACGCCATTTCCAAGGGCAGGAAGGGGCAGTGTCCTGAAGCCCATCTTTTCTGTGACTGTCTTAGGTGATGTGTAGCCCCCTCCACCTTTCCACTCAACAACCTCCCACCCCTGTCCTGCTGCATGGTCCGGAGTCTGGGACCTACTTTGTTTTTTGTTATTTATGACCTTGTTTAAAGAAAATAAATATCTCCCAACCTTTATTGGTCTGGTCTTTCTCTGTGGAATTGTCCTTATTTCTGCTGATATGGGGGCAGGGGACAGCTCATTGGACTTAGTTGTCATGGAACTCCAGAAACCCCTTTCCCTATAGCCCTTCAGTGTGTTATGCTCTGCCTGTCCCCTGATCCAGAATGCCCAGTGGGATGGTCAGAGCCACCCTCCTCTGCAGCCAGGATGGGATTCCAGTCCCATCTCTCCTAATTATCGGCTGTGTCGACTTTGGTCCAGAGCAGGACAATCTGTGCACTGTCCACATGATCTCAGTCACCATAGCTTCACTTATGTGAAACTTCATCTACAACCCAAATCATTTCCTGAGCTCTGAACAGGTAGGCCCAGGTTCCTCCTCCTGTCTCTCCCAGATGACCAAAAGCCACTTCATATTGACTGTTTCTAAAGCTGAATCCACCTTCCCCCGGAAACTTGCTCCCCATGAAACTTGCTCTTCCTCCAGCGTTTCCTGGCTCAATAAGTGATAGGTATCACCATCTCTCCAGTTGTCCAAACCAGATACCCACAGTGAATGACTTCTCTTACACCCACCTCAGGTCTACCACCAAATCCTGTTCATCCTCTTTTCCGTGTCCCCCTCTTTTCCATCCCACAGCCAGTGCCCTAGCTTAGGCCTCATCATCTCTCACTTTGATCACTTCAGTACCTTTGCTGCCCTCCTCCCCCCTGGGTGGTCCTCCACACTGTTGGAGGCTTCCTCCTAGCAGGCTCTGGGGCCAGAGTGTCTAAATTAGAACCCAAGCCCCACCCCTTACACTGTATGGTATGGCAACAAACTTTCTCTCTGCTGTAGTTCACTCATCTGAAAAATGGAGATAAACCGTACCTACCCCACAGGGTCTTGAGGATTATACAAGTTAAACTAGGTTAACTGGCTTTCTCACTAACTGGCACATGGTAAGACATTTAATAAGTAGTTCCTGTTATGACACTGTTACATTGTTATAGTTAGGAACTTTATTCAGGGCCGTCTGTGGGCCAATAGCATCAGTATCTCTTGGAAGCTCGTTAGAGAACTGTGTCCCCATGTCAGACCTATTGAATCAGAACTGATCTGCATTTTAACAAGTGCATCAATGTCTGAAAATTTCTTGTCTAGTTGATGATGAAATATTTCAGGGTAGTTCATGAGCTCCCTAGTAGAGGAGAGAAGTTCCTTATGTGTGGTTTGATTTCTCTCACCGGAACACTTTGCGGGTGCCTTTGCTGAGCTATGTGCCCTCTTGTCCACAAGAGGGCAGCATGATCACTTGGTTTTCAGGGGCACTCAGGTTCATCAGGTTCACTCAAATTTTGAATGTCATCTAATTCACTTGACACACATCTCATTTAATCTTCACAGCAACTCTATGAGGTAGGTGCTGTTATGTTCCTTTTACAGGTAGGCAGACAGGTCCAAATTCTACAGCTTGGAAGTGACTGTCAGAATTCAAAACTGGCTTGCTTCCACATCATTCTGTTCCTGCATGCTACAAGGGACCCTGGGCAGAAGTCATTTTGGACCAGATACTTAAAAGAGCAGAAGGAGGATGACCGTGGAGATGAACCCTCTTTACACTTGATGGAGGAGGCTGAGAATGAATGAAATGCTCGTGAGCTTTGTGGTTGGTTGTGTTTTAGGCACTTTCATCTCCATTCATCCTTTGTATCCTTGTGAAGTACAGGCACTATCCCCAATTTAAAGGCAAGGAAGCAAAAGCTCAGACATTTGAAATGGCTTGCCCACAGCCACGGCCAGAGTGGCAGCATCTTTGTCTTCTGATTCCAAGTCTACTGAGCATTCCATTACACCCCAGAAGAGAAGGGACCATTCATGTGTTCACTTAACATGGCTTTAACGAGCACCTACTATGTGTTGGCCATAACAGTGTCCTTGCAGAGCCTACAGATCAGCATGTATGAACTCAGGAAGGGAATAAAGAAGGAGATCCCAGAATCCTTGAATGAAGGATTGCCACAAAGCCAGAAGGAGCATGTTTGGGACAAACCAAAGGCCCTGTCACATAGACACTAGTGAAAGTCCAAGGGAAACTCCTTCCCAAAAAAGGAAGGTAGGCACATTTTGGAGGCAGATGTAGATCTGATGGGGGACAGAATCTTGAGACTGGGAGGACTGAAGACAAAGCCATGAGGGGAATGGGGCATGACTTCATAGCCCCACGCTCTTAACATACTGTTAGGAGCATTTGCTGATTAAGCAAACCCGAGCACCCAATATGTGCCAGGCATCCAATGGACTTTGTAGACAGAGGTAAATAATGAGGCTCTTAAAATGAACTCATTGTCTAGAGAGACAGTGATAGAAATAGTGACCACGTTGTAAGAAGGTTGGGGGTGGGCAGTAACTAAACCTATTTGGAAACAGGCCAGGAATGGTTTCACAAGAGGTAGCATTTTTTCTTTCTTTTTTTTAGACAGTCTCCTCTGTCACCTAGGCTGGAGTGCAGCAGCACAATCTTGGTTCACTGCAACCTCTGCCTCCCAGGTTCAAGCAATTCTCCTGCCTCAGCCTCCCAAGTAGTTGGGGTTTCAGGTGCCTGCCACCACGCCCAGCTAATTTTTGTATTTTTAGTAGAGATGGGGTTTTGCCATGTTGGCCAGGCTAGTCTCAAACTCCTGACCTCGAGTGATCTGCCCGCCTCAGCTTCCCAAAGTGCTGGGATTATAGGAGTGAGCCACCACACCCAGCCAAGAGGTAGCATTTGAGTTGAGCCTTGAAGTATCACAAAGTGGAGGTGGAGGAGGAAGGGCAAGATATCTCAGAAGGAACAGCACAGACAAGCGCTGGAGACTTGAAAGTCAGCCTAGGAAGAAGACTGTGGCTGGAGTATGGGCCGAGATAGGAGAAGAGCCAGGAGAGAAGGTGGGAGTCAGGGCATAAAGGCCTTAAGTGGCAAGAATAAGGAGTTTCCAGAAGTTATTAAATAGGCATGACCCCATATAAAAAGACAAGGTCAGGTCTTTTTTATAAAGGAAAGTCACTCTGGTAGCCTGTGTAGATGGATTGGTGGGTGCCAGACATGAGGCCAAGAGGTCAGTAAAGAGGCAGTTGTAATTGGGCAAGGAAAAGACACAGGTATACTTAATTAGAACAGTGGCCACTGGGCTGAGAGAACAGGATAGTCTCATTATTTTGGAGGTGGAATGAACAAGAAAGAGACTAGTTAGATTTCAAAAGTGAGGGGCCAAGAACCCTTAAGTTGGATGCAGGGGCCTGTCATGAGAAGTGGGGGTTGGAAGTGAAAGGTCAAGATTTTACCAAGGGAAAAGCAAGAAGAGAGCCTACACTAGCAGCAGAGAAAGCAAAACGCAGTCACACTCCTCCCTGCAGTCACTGTTTTGTTTGCAATCTTGGAGCCAACTCTGCTGCTCCAGCTGGCCACCCCATCAGCAGCCAGAATCAACTCATTCTCAGTCTGGGGCCAGGGCTCAGAAAGTTATGTCAACTCAAGAGGCTCCCTTATTCCTCGAGCTGGCTTCCTCTCCCAGCAGTTTGCTAGAAAACTCCAGCCCATAGCCAGGCAAAACCTTGTAACCCAAGACTAGCAGAAAGGCTGGATTCTTCCAGGTGCAGGCAATAGGTGACTGAGGAGTGAATGGAGTGTTGACAGAGACAGTTTCTTCCTGATTAATGAGAATGATGCCATTCCATAATGACTTATAGAATGACTAATCAAACAAGCTTAGAATAACTGACATGATACAGTCTGTATCATTTATAAAGCACGTTTACAACCTTTGAGACCTCCTAACTCCTCTGGAGTGGGGAGGGCAGACAAATCAGCAGTGCCTCCTACAGATGAGGAATTCGAGGGTCTGACAAGGAAAGTGATTTGTCCAGGGTCATACCTTAGCACAATCTGGACTAGAGCTCAGGCCACCTGACTTCCAGACGAGTGCCTTTTTAGTCCCACACCATAGCAGAAGGAGAGGAGGGGTGGGGCAGGGGCATGGAGGACTAGGACCTGATAATGAGAGGAATGCTCCAAGCTCAGTTCAGCCTCCTACTAGCTGGGTGACCTCTGGCACATCACTTCCTTCAGAACTTCAGGTTCTGCATCCCAAAATGGGGGGATAATCCTTAATTCACTAGGTGTTATGAGGGTTAAATGAGACCTAAGTATCCAAGTATAGTAAAAGCTGCTGCCTGCAGTAATAAGGTGAAAAACAGTAAATGCCATGGTGCTAAGAAGATAAGGGGATTCATTCATCCTGACTGGGAATCCCCACAGGGCGGGGAGACCAAGGCACAGCAATTCTACCCCTACTCCTGCTGGGTAGGGCTGCTCAGGCAGAATTAGTGGAAGCCGGTGTGCCCCTGGGGCCTGAGAGCAGTGGCCCATGCTGCATCCTCCCTGGGACGTCCTTCTCAAAAAACTTTTGGCTGGGCACGGTGGCTCACGCCTGTAATCCCAGCACTTTGGGAAGCCAAGGTGGGCAGATAGTGAGGCTTGGCCAACATGGCGAAACCCCGTCTCTACTAAAAATACAAAAATTAGCCGGGTGTGGTGGTGGGTGCCTGTAATCCCAGCTACTCAGGAGGCTGACGCAGGAGAATTGCTTGAACCCAGGAGGCAAAGGTTGCAGTGAGTGGAGATCATGCATGCCACTGCACTCCAGCCTGGGCGACAAGAGCAAGATTCTGTCTCAAACAAAACAAAACAAAACAAACAAAAAACTTTTAACCAGGATTTTTTAAAAAAATAGTAAACTCTACCTAACACAGTATTTCTCATTTTAACCATGTGGAAATGAACAGTTCAGTGGCATTAATTACATTCACAAGGCTGTGGACCACACCACTATCTATACCCCAACTTTTTCATCATCCCCAGCAAGAACTCTGTACCCATTAAGCAATAACTCCTGCCTGCGTCCCCAAGCTCTATTCTGCTTTTGGTCTCTGAATTTGCCTATTTTAGGTAGCTCATAGGTGGAATCCTACAATATTTATTTTGTGTCTGGCTTATTTCATTTAGCATAATGCTTTCAAGTCCATCCATGTTGTAGTGTGTATCAAAATTCTGTTCCATTTTATGGCTGAATATTTTATTAAATGCATATTCCATATTTTGTTTAGCCATTCTCTTGACGGACATCTGGGTTTGCTTCCACCTTTTGACGATTGTGAATAAAGCTGCTATGACCATGGGTGTACAGCTATCATTCCATTCTTTCAGATACATACCTGGGAGTGGAATAACTGGGTCAGATGACAGTTCTATGTTTATCTTTCTGAGAAATCACCAATCTGTTTTCCACAGTGGCTGCACCATTTCACATTCCCACCAGCAACGCATGAGAGTTCCAGTTTCTTCACATCCGTAGTGACACTTATTTTCTGTTTTTTAATTGTATCCATCCTAGGAAGTGTGAAGTGGTTCCTTATTTGCATTTCAAGACTGCAAATGTGGAGGGAGAAGGAGGGCTTTAGGGTCAGAAATGTGGGCTGATGCTGGCTGGCCCAGGGACTTGGGGCTTGCCCTACCTGTCCCACCCCAACATCATAAGAGACAGAGGGACCCAGGGAGCTGGATAGGGAGGGAGGGTGTCTCTAGCCCCAGGCCCTGGAGGGTTCACAAGGCTTAGCAGCTCACACAGTGGCAGCAGGATAAAACCATTCATTCAGGGTGAGCCCGCTGACAATTCCTGTTCCCCTTTTTGTTGCAAGAGAGTAAAAAACAGAGATTCTAGAACCCCAGAATCTGGAGAGAATTGTGAGAGTTTCTCACAATTGGGAGGGGGGCCCCTTAGGGGACCATGTACAATTTTTAAAAGAAGATTTAATGTAATTTTTTATTTGGTAAATGGAAAAATAATGTTTTTCCAAAAAACAGATTACAGATCATAAAGTTAGACAAAATCTTTTCTCCTAGAGTGATATATCTGCATTTGTAAGACTAAAGAAAGCTTTAGGTTTATCAAAAGAGCACAAATGGTTTTATTAGGTTGGTGCAAAAGTAATTGTGTTTTTTTACCATTAAAAGTAATGGCAAAAATTGCAGTTACTTTTGCATCAACCTAAATAAGAGTTGGACAAATGTTAATCTAAGGACCTGTGAGTTAGGGTGATAAGCCTTCACACCTCCATATGCACATATGGACCTCCTTATCCTTCAATATGCAAACCAAAACTCACATGACCCCCATCACATGAAAGACATAATCATGTCTCACGACTTTGGTAATGACACAGGATTTTTCCCAGCTACTTGCCAACTGGGGACCTCCATGGCCAGCGATGCCCCCTGCCCAGGCCTCACGTGGCCACAGACCTGCCTCTAGAGGTGCCATGCCCACTGACCCACCTGTGCTATAGCTTGTACCCGCATTCAGGGGTTCTTGAGCTCTTGCCCCATGTCCAAGAAGAATGAGGATATGTGACAATTTGAAGAGTGAGGATGGGCAGAGAAGAATTTAAATGAGTGATGGAAAAGCTCTCAGTGGAGATGGGATGTGAGGGGTGGTCCCCAACCCCTGCAGACAGGTGGTTTCTCTATCTCTCTCTGCCTGGGTCTGGGGCTTTTTATGGACTCAGAATGGGGAGCGTGTGCTGACTGGCTTGTGAGTATGCAAAAAAGGTTAAAGCAAAGACACCATTCACAGTATAAAAAAAAATTAGGAAAGGGTAGGTATATGTAAAATAGGTGAAAGGTGGGGAGCAATCAGAGGAAAGCACACTGAATGGGAAAACAGGTTCTTAATCTGGTCCATGGGTTTACCTGGGACTTGTAGCTAGACTTTACACTGTCTTTGGCTTGAAGGTTGGGTTTCACTGGGGACCTGACCCTATCTGCCTAGGCATTTGTCTGCTTCCTGCCGTTATCAATAACATGTTATATGTTCCTCTTTCACTAGTATTTTGCTGGGATTGTAACTATTTTCACATATGTCAGTATTTTCACTAGTATTTCACTAGTATAGTCACTGTGGGTTCTCTTTTCTGGGAGCTCTTCAAGGTCAGAGACTCAATCAGTCATCCCAGCATCCTCAGCCCCAGCAAAGGTCCTGACCCAGAGGCAACATCAGGAATGCTTAGCTGAATGAATAAATGACAGGCCACACATGCAGTCTGTGCTCATTAAAATACCATCAAATATTGGTACCATTATTTGCCCACTGTGCAACTGTTCCAAGAAGCACCTATGGCGCTTTGGAAAAAGCATGGGTCTCTGAGCCAGGAAACCTTGCTTCTAGTCTTGAGCTGACACTGACACACAGCGTAATTATGGGCAAGTTGCTTTACTTTTCTGGGGCAGGGGAACTAACTACTGCCCTCCAGTCCCATAACGTGATAAGCAGATGAACAGGAGACATGGTGGTCATTATTTTTTAGTTATGCTCCATCTGAAAATGTGGTGGGCTTTAAAGATGGTAGAGATGTCATTATCTATGGGGCTCCATCTGAGCGATGCCCTTGAACCCTTAACCAAAAACACTGTCACCACGCAGGCATCTAGTGCCTAGAATCCACTCCTAGTACCTCATTCCTTTGAGATAATCCTTGATTACACCAGGCTACCCATTTCTAATGCAAACATGCCCCTGTCAAGGACAGGGAAACTCTGTCACTCAAACCTTAGGGAGAATGGGCAGATCAAGCACTTGATAGGAGGGGTCCTGTGACCAATGAAGTGAATATAAAGAGGGATGTGGCAGAGAGAAAGAAGGGAAAGAGGCAGGCTCTGATTCCAAAGGGGGAGAAAATTGTGGGGGTCCACAGTGGGGAAGAGAGAAAAGTCCAGAAAGAGGTTAGAAGCAGTTAGGGGAACGGGGAGACTTTCCCCCAAGCTCCAGATCCTGGTTCTGCCCCTGGCTGTGTGAACTCAGTGATGTCTTTTCTTTAAACCCCATTTTCCTCCTTTGCCAAAAGAGATGATAACTGTTGTGAATATGATACAGGAGAGTGATCCATGGCAAAGAGTAGGCACATATGTTTGTTTCCTCCCCCTAGCCCTTAGCCGATTTCATAGTTCTACTGAGTACACAGCAATCTGCAGGTAAATGTCCCTCTCTCCCCACCCCAGCTCCTACACTCAGGCTCCTTTGGCTTCTCCCAGCTTGAGCAGCCAAGGCCCCCAACAGGAGACTCTTTCAGTGGTTCCATGAAAGGGCAGTTTGTGCTGCCGTTGGCATTACTGGACAAGAGTCCCCCAGAATCAACACCCTCTTGCTTCCTCCTCCCAGACAGCTCTCTCTGCTCCCCTGTTGTGTGTGAAAGAGGGACAAGCAGGGTGGCCGCTGCACCTTGTGCTCTACAGGCATGCATTCTTACTCTTTCCATGTGTTCCTGGGGCTCCAACATGGATACCCTCAGCATATTCTGGCCATAGGGCCCTACCCTCTCTCCAAGCTCCCACAATCCTTAGGATGAGCAGCACACAGCTTCCCACTTGATTCTATCCAATTCTCACTTACATTTGGGCATGGACCCGCTCTGCCTTAAGGGCAGTGAGCAGGTCGTCTTCTTTTCTTGGATTCTCATGGAGCAGCTAGCATGGGCAGATCACTCGACAAGTGTTCACCGTTCATTTGTGGAACTGATTCATTCCTATATTCAACAGATATCTACATCTGACAAGAGTTCTTAACCATTAGGCATCAGTGGCACAAGGGATAGACCTTTTCAATACCTGGGAAAATGTTGGAGACCCCCCCTGCCCTAAAATTATTGGCTCCAAAAGATTATTGCCAATGGAAGCACAGAAGTGACAGCAAAATAACATGGAATGCAGACAACAGAGGGTTAGTTAAGGTCTTTGGTGACAGATTGACATGGATTTGAATCCTGCCTCTGCTATTTTATACTTGGATGACTTCAGGCAAGTTATATGTTCTCTGACTCAGTTTCCCTCATCTATAAAATGGGCATAATAGAACTCATCTCATTTTGAGGCTTGAAGGAGACAAATACACCTAAGTTCTCAGCACAGTGCCTGGCCTATCATAAATGATGTGGTTACAAATGATAATGATAATAGACTTTAATGTAAAGAATATTATCTGGAATGAGGCTTGCAAGTGATAAGTAGTGCAGTGCCAGAAACCCCGGTTGGACAAGGCTGTTGGAAAACAGCTCACAGAACAGTGCAAGAAAGAAAGAAACAGGCTGGGTACTGTGGCTCATGCCTGTAATCCTAGCACTTTGGAGGCTGAGGCGGGAGGATCACTTGAGCTTAGGAGTTCGAGAAAGAAAGAAACAAAATTATAAAAAAATCAATGCCCCAAGCCACAGTTGACCCTACTTAGAATTAGATATCTATCTATCTACTAAGTGGGGCCCAAGGCCATGCCACTTTATCAGGACTAGTCAGATTCAGGGGGTATGGAGACTAGTGCAAATACAGAATTAGGCAAACATAATAATTAGTGCAAATATAAGAATTAGGCCTTTCCACTCTAGGAGTGATGTGGCTTTGAAAGCCATCTGGTGGAAAGAAGACTGGTAAGGGAGACAGACCAGTCCCAGCTCATGAAGCCCCAGGAAGCCACTAACCATTCCTACCTCACTTTCCACAGTACCTGCTATGCTCTCCTCCCTGGGGAGGTGAAGTTCAAGTGGAGTGGTAAAGCGTTTTGAAAATGAACATGCTGGCCAAAAGTAAGGTGTTGCTATCCCTACAGCATGCCCCCTAATACATGCAAAGCCTGGTCTCTCCTTCTCAGCCTCTAGGGACCCTGCTCATCTTCAAGATTTGCTCAAGTCCCTCCTTCCCATGAAACTTCCAGGGGTGAGGGGAGCCTCTTAATGCAGCCTGTTCATGTCTCCACTCGTGGCCACATGGTTTCATGATGATTTGAGGGTCTGCTCCATTTCTAGGGGCAGGGTCAGCATCTAATTCTCCTTTCCCTCCCTAGTGCCAGCAACGGCCTGGCACTGAGTATGCACCTTGTCAGTGTGACTTGAATAAACAAATGAGGCTTTCTCAACTATCCCAAATCCCAAGGCTCCCCTACCTCTTGATGGCAGCATTCAGTGGTAGTTCACCTCTTTCTGCATGCAACATTTTCACATTGTGCTTCAATGACACTGAATGCAGGATGCATTTTGTCTTATCCTCCTACTGGCCCAGCTTCCAGGGCTCTATCCTCTGTATCCCCACAGCACCCACTGAGCCCAGGGCCTGCGCCTGAGGATTACTCATTAAGCAGTTATTAATTTGCAGCCAGACTTTCCTGTGTCTCAGTCGCCTGGTCAAGATGTTTGATAACTGCCCCATCTCAGACATTAAAAGCACAAGATTTGGGGCCAGTCTGTGGCACTCTCAACAAGTGACTTAACTCTATAAAACTGCCTCCTTATCTGTAAAATGGGGATAACTGTATTGACCTCAAAGGGTTGGAATGAGCATTAAATATTTAATGCATGAAGCTCTTAGAATGGTGCCATTGCTCTGATTAGCTCAGACCCATCCTGTAATTCTGAGAAGTCCAGGTTCTGTGAAGAAAAGGGAGCAGCCTCCCCTGCAGACAGTCGCTTTCTGTCTCGTCTCAGGCCTGTTCCTCTTGGAACTGGAGGAGGCAGGTTGTGAGTAGTGGCAGTAATTTAGTAAGAGGATTTCCAGAATCCTGGTGTGCTCTGCAGAAATCCTAGGAATGTGACAAGGTGCACTTCAGACTCTGAGGAAGCTGGGTATTAGAACATCAGAGCCTTTCCCTTGGGGCCACAGAGCTCTGGGAAGCTGAGGTCATATGGGCTTGCGGGGAAGGGGCAGAGACAGCAGGCATCCAACCACCCAGTCCTTGCACTATGTGGCTTCCTTATGAGCAATACATGCCCACAGCCCTGTGAAGGATCCTAAGCCAAGTGGCCTTAAATGTTCTCTTGGCACAAGTGCCCAAATATCACAATCACCCATCCATGTAGCCTTAGCCCCTGCTAGACCTACTGCTGGGAAACACTTCTCATCACACTCTGCTTATAAAAAGTCTACCTGTCCTCCAGAGCACAGCTCAAAGGAAGCCTTTGCAGAATTGCTGAATGCCTACTTATGTTGAACCAGACCTTCTTCTGGGGCTACCAAGAGGAATGAAGAGCACAGAGCCTAGTGGGAGCAGCCTGGCAAATATATAAACATTGAAATTCAGTGACCTGAGGGCTGGAATAGAGGCATTTACAAAGTACAGCACAGCCCCAAAGCACTTCCCCTGCAAGGAAGGCAACTGACCAAAATTAAACAAATGAACAAAGTCATTTCAATCCTGATAAGTGTTATGAAGAAAACAAAGTCAGTTCATATGAAAGAAAGTGGCTGGGTGGTGGCATGGTCACGGAAGCTCTGTGAGGTAATATTGAGCCACTGCATTGAGTGGAATGATGAAAAGAGGTCAGCAGTGGAAAGACTGAGGGGATGACAAATGTCAAGGCCTGAGAAGTGGGAGTGAAGGTGGTGGTGATGGGCATGGTGGTGATGGGGACAAGGAAGAATTCCAGCTTCTGGAACGTAGCCGGGGACAGTGGTGGGAGGTGAGCTGCACCGAGATTACAGCATAAATAAAATGCTGTACAGTCATCCCTCAGCATCCATGGGGAGTTTGTTCCTGGACTTCAAGAGGATACCAAAATCTACAGATGTTCAAGTCTCTTGTATAAAATGGTGTAGTATTTGCATATAACCTGTAAACTGCACACATCCTCCCATATACTTTGTCACCTCTAGATTACTTATAACACCTAACACAATGTAAATGCTATGTAAGAAGATGTTATACTGTATTGTTCAGGGAATACAATACAATCTATTGCATCTGTACTGAGCATGTACAGAATAAAGTCTGTTATTATCCATGGTTTTTTTTCAAATATTTTCAATCCGAGGTGGAATCCACAGATGGGGAACACATGGATGTGGAGGGCCAACTGTACTCTCCCTTTTTTCCCACTCAGCATTATAATGTAAGAATATTCTCAGTTGGGAAAAATGATTTATAAACATTTTTAATGACTGTGTTAAAAAACCATCATACAAAAAGAAAAGAAAGTTGTTTTCAACTTAAAAAAAATCCTTATATAATGTACCACTCATCTGGGATATGCTTCTGGGAGGGGGACACTCCCTGCTTGGGCTGCAGCAGAAGGCAGTGGGGAGAAAGTCTTAAAGTTCTGGGAGTCAGGCTAGCCCCTCCTGCAGGTGTCCTCATTGCCACTTCTTGGTCCCTGTGGTCAAGGTTCAAAGTGCCAAAAGACCCACTGATCGAACCTGAGACTGTTGAGATGTCCTGTTCCCAACAGAGAGTATCTGAACTCCAGAAACTTCCCTCTCAGGCCTCCACTCCCCCCTCCTTTGTACTGTGCATCCTACTCTGACTTCCGTGGCTGGGGCAGATCAAATGTACATTCTCAGTGTCCCCTGGTAACAACCTCTCCCTTGCCTCTGATTTGCGAGGCACAGACAAAGCTGACAAGGCCTTCTTCCAGGAGGCTGCTCTGCTTTCTCCTCTCCTACCCCAGCTTTTGGCTCCTGGCTTCTCTGGAAAGCCACAGGACTCCACCAGCTTCTCTCTGCCAACAGTTCAGTCTTCAGGGCTGGAGCTGCAGGGTCTGCGGAATTCCTGTCCATACTCATGTATCCACTTGTTGGCCACTGGGAGAGAACAGGGAAGAAGGAGACAGCAGGCTCAGCAGAACAGACAGCAGCAATGCTGCAGACTGGTGCGCACTCATAGGCGCGTGTGAGTGCCCCCTTAAATTCTGCATCCTAGGTAACTCACTTGCCCAGCCTAGTCCTGGCCTCACTATGGACTACAAGCTGTTTCTTCCAGCAGATAAATAGCAAAGAGGACATTGTCCTCTGGAAAAAAGTCACAGGTCCTGTCTCCTGTAAACTCATTTTCAAACGTTTGGGAACTAAGATCACTCACCCTTCATTTTAGAAGCCCATGTTCCCCATGAAGCCATTCCAGAGTACTGAGAGAAAAACGGGTGGCATCTCCTGGCAGCCTCCACCTCAGCTTATGAGCCCCCTTCCACTTCTCTTTCTGTTTCAGAGCTAAGTGCTCCTGGATGTATATGTGACATAAACACGTCCATCTGCTTATTGATCTCTTCTTTGTTTTCCCACCTCCTCATGGGGAGCACTAAACAGGAGAGACAATGGCTTGACACATCTTTCCTTGGGGTAGAGTGTGGATGGGACACCATATTCCTCTCTGGCAGTGCTCAGGAATCAAGGCCTATCTGGTCAGGTGAATAAACCTTTACTGACTGTCACTCTGTAACAGGAACCCCTGCCTGTTATAGGCTCCCAGTCTGTTGGGGGCACCTCATTCATAATCTGATCTTCTCAATATAATGTGGCACTGTAATGAAGCGTTTGGAATGGGATGGCTGTGGTAGGTCCCACCCATCCCCTGTTTCACTCTACTCTGCACCCTGTACCCCCTTCTCATGCCCAGAAAGGCAAGACTTACCCCACTTATCTCCCACCAGGACAGGACAGCCAGCATGAAGTGTGTCACTGTCCCCTTCACCACTCCTGTGCAGGTTCCACCAAAACAGTGCTGCATTCTGAAACAAGAGGGCCCAGCCCCAGGGAGGGTCAGCCCAGAACCTCAGTCCTCGGGAAGCACATACTAAGGACAAATGCAGGCATGTCATTGAAGAAGCCTTTCCATGCAGTCTGGGGGCAATGCATGCATAAAATGGCACAAAATGGCATAAGTTGCCATTTACTCCTTCATGCATGGGTCACTGACAGAGTCCCCTGCACCCCAGGTCCTGGGGCTGCAGGGACAAATTACGTCCAGTTCTGCTCTCCAGGAGCTCACAAGAAACAGACATAAAACAGACCTGAACAAGACAGCATGGTGAGTTCTGGGAGAAAGGTGAGCACATTTGTCATTGGGTCACTGAGGAGAAACACCGAACAAAACCACAAGGTGGAACAAAATATTCCCATACAGCCAAGCATGTCATTAACTCAGAAGCTTTTCCTCCCTCAGGCACTTATGATTAACACTTTCAGGGAGCAGGCAGTATCATAATCCCCAGTTTCCTAGCAAAGAACTTGAGGCCCAGGGCTTTAAATAATGCAATAAAAGAAGGAGCAAAGTGAGGACTCAAGCCCAGGTGTTCTGACGCTAAATCCTGTATGTTTTTCCCCCATACACGGCTTCTTTGCCGTATCTACTTCCTGTAGTCAAATTACTTTAACCTTGGTCCTCAAAGTAGACAAAACTCCAGGTCATGAAGAGCTTTCCAGGATGCATTGGCAGTCTCTATGTTCCTAAGCCTACAAGAGGCGTCAAGCTCCTGAGTATTCAGAGATACCTGGCATTGATTATCGAATGCTCAGGATGTGCCAGGCACTGTACTACCTGCTTTACAGGAATGATCTCGTTTAGTTATCTTCATTTCATTCCTAAATTAGGTAAGGGCTGCCAGGGAGTTGGACTGATCTGAAATTTGGAGGAAATACTCATTCATGAAGCAAACCTCTTAGACTCAGTTCTCCTCAGCGCCTATCCTTTCCAAATCCCTATTGCAACATCATAATGCCTGCTGACGTCTCTGTAAACTCCTGGATCAAAGGGCTATGAATTTCCCTCTGCACCCTCCGTGCCTCTAGCTCTCAATGTGGACTGAACTAATGATGGAAGGAACTAGATGCTGTAGAGGATCCAAAGTAAATAAAACAGAGCTCTTATCTTGAGGAGCTGTACTGTGACAGGGAAGACAGACATGTAATCATCTACTTGCAATATAAGTGTAAATAAAATAACAAATAGAGGCACAAGTGACGAGCATGTGTGCGGTAGTAAAGAAGACTATGGGATGATCTGTGATTCTGGGAATTGGGGAAGACCTCTTTTTGGCCCTCCTCCCAGGAATGGGCTTGCAAGCACAGACAGCGTGAAGGTTAGAGGGTAAGCGCTGCACTCCCTCAACCCCGTCTTCTGGGACCAGGGCCCCACTCACCCTAACCACAGGCACGCTGAGGTTGGCATAGATGAAGGCTGTGGCTCCTCCAGCTTCCACCGAGCTCAGCTACAAGACCAGAGGAAGAAGCCAGAGTTAAAACTGCCACCGACTTCCCTACCCTGTCATATGATGTCACATCTGCATAGATTCCTTCTCATGGTCTTTTCTTCAACTCTGAGAGAAATACTTGAAAGACAATCATCCAACTCAGGAGGAACTTCGGGAGCCTACTCAATGGCATTGGTGTTTGCCTACAGGGCCACAAGAGGACAATGTTTTGGTATTCTTCCTTTCTTTCCCTTCCAGCTAACATCCTTATTGAGGGCTACAATAAGTAGATTCAAACTTTTTGACTGAGACCCTTAGGAAAAAATACATTTTAAATAATGACCCAAGACACACACACATACACACACACACAGACACATACACACACACACCTCCTGAAATATAATTGTCATAAAACATTCTTAATATCTGAGATAGCTTCTGATCTTCTCTACTTTATTTTATTCTATTCTAGTGTGGTTCTCTTAAATGCTCATCAGAACCACTAAATTAATCTCACAACCTATAATGGATCATGACTTGTGGCTTGAAAACCAGTTTAGACTATGATTCTTCTTGAAAGCTGGGCATCATAGGAACTACTTATTACACCTTTGGCATATTCTCCAGATCACTCTGCTCCTCTCCAGGGAACCCAAGCTAAGGAGTTTCATCACTGGTCTGTTCTAGGACTATGGATATGTTTTCTTAATGTGAAGCTTTTTTTCTGGTTGTCACAGAAATATATAATAATTGTAAACTGTTTTAAAACAGGAAAATATTTTTAAATAACAATAATTATCATTGTACCATCCAGAAAAAAGTTATAGTTTACATAGTGATAGTTGACATTTATTGGGCACTGACTATATGCTAAAAGTTACACTATGTCCTTGCAAATATATTATCTCATTTATTCCTCAGAACAATCCTAGGAGTTACAATCGTTATTATTTTTAACTCTTCACATTTTACAGATAAAGAAACCAAGTCTCAGAGAGCTTAAGCACTTTATAAAAGGTCACATGGCTCTTCCATGATGGAGTCAGGATTTGAGCTGAGCTGGTGCCATGTGACTACAAAGTCCCTGCTCATAACCATCATGCTACACATTTGGAAATTTAGGTCATATCCAAATGTTTACTATTATAAACAACACTGCACTGAACAACTTAATGAAAAAAAATCATTTTGCATTTTGGATTGTTTTCATAGGAAAGAGTCTTGGCACTAGTATTATGGGGTCAAAAGGACATGCATAAGTTTCATACTTCTTATACATTTTGCTAAATTATTTTTTCAGCAGTTGCATCACACAAGAGTGCCAGTTTTACCTCACGCTGCCTAGCATTATCTACCAGAAGGTTCATGCTCTGT
Organism: Homo sapiens; assembly: GCF_000001405.40. Lineage (NCBI taxonomy): Eukaryota > Metazoa > Chordata > Mammalia > Primates > Hominidae > Homo > Homo sapiens. The sequence goes on from NC_000011.10 coordinate 74,271,080, forward strand.
AATCTTATGGCAGTCAGATCCCGGTACATTTACTTGTGTTACAGAGCAAGAGGTATAGGAGGTAGGACGCTGGCCCTTGGTAGATGCAAGTGAACTGACATGGTGATTTGGAACCTGGAAATGGCAGTGGTGACTATTAGCATTCCTTGGCTCTCCCTGTAGCACACTGGGAAAGCCGATGAGAACAACAATTGGCTCCTTGTGTTCAGGTAACAAATTAGATTATTCTATTCTAGCCCTTGTCAGTAAGGGGCAACCTGGACTTTCCTGCATTCTTTTACCTGTGGTTTTACAATATGGTGGAAAGGAATGACATAGCCAACACATTAAAAAGAAAATCGGATTCTGCATGCAATGAAGCTCATGAGCACGGCATGGGCTGTAAGAACAGTGGGAAAGGGAGAGAAATCTTCCGTCTGTATACCTTCTACTATTTTGTACTGGGGCTGATCTTTTTTTTTTAATAGAGACAGGGTCTCACTATGTTACCCAGGCTGGACTCGAACTGCTGGGCTCAAGCGATCTTCTTGCTTGAGCCTGCCAAGTAGCGGGGACTACAGGTGCACACCACCGCACCCAGATTGGGACTGATCTTATGTCCAATCTGAGCAGAAAATCACCAACTGGACTTCAACTCAATCCTCTGTACTTCTTAAAGATTATTTTCTCCCTATAAAATCAGTCTTAGGTTTCCCACAAACCTTAACATTTGTCTTGAGAAATGTTTGTCTTGAAATTGTCTCGAGAAATCCCAACCTGAAGATGAAAGACTTGGGCATAATCTAGCACTTCCCTGGTCCCATGATACTGATTCCCCTTTATGATACCCTTTCCTTTAATTGCTCTGTGGGATACAATGACAGAAACATACAGTATGGAACTTTCCAGAGTGACATCCCTCCTTACATTATCTCATCAGACCCTCACAACAACACTGTGAGGAAGCACAGGGCAAAAAGTGAGCTCACATAATAGATGTAATCTGTGCTGAGGCCACATAGTAAGTGGCAAAATCAGGATTAGGTCAACTGACTCCAAATCCAAAGTGTATTCCATTCCACTCTGTCTCAAATACTTAAAACCCAAATGCACATGCATGCACACACATGTGAAAGTGCATGAGAGTGCATGCACACACATACACACACACACACACACACACATGCATTTGCCATTTAAAATTACTGGGCTCTTATACCCACGCTACCTTCGCTATAGTAACTGGGGCCCTGTAACCAGGGAACCAGCCATAGGAGATATTGAGGGGATAAAGAACAGAGATATATTGTGCCCTAGATGCCCTGTTTTTTGGCAGCAGTTCATTCTTTCGCCGTTTGTGACCTCCCATAACAGCTGGAGTGGTCAACCAGAGATGCAACCAACTGCAGCTCCAAGATGTGTCCCCTGCCTGATAGCTGACCTCAGAATGATCAGAATGAGGCCAGACACCATTGTAAGTGGAAGCCTTCCAGTTCCATAGGAAGTACAGAACTGAGCCACATAGAGAAACACACTGGAATTGCTGGCATTAAAGACTACACAGAATGCTGGCCTCTGACTGCCCTTTCTTGGCTGTCCTGTGGAGACCAGAGACAGTCCTAATAGAAGAGGAAAAGCTGGGGTGAGGGATGTCTGCTATTCTAATGAGGCTGAAACAAGGACTTCATCTTTGGTTGTTATATAGAACCCTTATATATGTTTGTCCCTTCAGTTAACAGTAAGGTATCTCTTCTAATAAGTGATTAATTCTAATATTCTCTTCCAGTGACAGGTGATTGGAAGCTTGTCCATAGAGACGAAAGTAAACCCACATGATCTGAAGGGAAGGGGACAGGTGAGATGATACAGACTGGGGCCGAATCCTGATCAGGCCAGGAATTAGGAGAGAAGTACAATTTATTGGTTTATCTTGAAAGGGGAGTCATGGAGATTTTACTGAAGATTTTATAGAGAGATAAGGAAGAGAATTTTCACTAAACATCAGAGGCAGCACTTGCTGAATTTCTCTCAGTGTCTCTGTTCTTCCCTCTTGTAAATCTGCTGCCTCATTCCTCATCCATCTCCCTCCCCACAGCCCCACAACCTCATCTATGGGTTGTTTTTCAACACTGATTAGTCCATGAGACCTCAAGGACACAGATTCTCAGATCCTCCTCCTGTGTTGTTCAAGTCCCTCTATCTCTTGGCCTTCAGTGGAGCTCCACTTCCCATCCTAATCCACTGCCCATACCAAGGTCATATTTAGATTTACACACTGTCAGCCTCTTTCAGGGTAGAAACCTTGTCTTGTATTTCTTTACATCTCCTACAGTGCCTATCAAAAATGCTGTCTGAAATTCGCAAAATTCCTGGAGATTTTTGCGCTGAGTACCAGATAAAATCAATACGTGAAATTGCTTTGAAAACAATAAAATAAAGTAGAGCTATAGTCAGTCATGAAGTAAGAAGCCCAGAGCAATACTCACATAGATCATAAATGTTGCAACTCGGTTTCCTGACTTCATTCTGTAGAGGGGGCTGCTTGGTGACTGAGAAAAAAAAAAACAGAACATATTATTTTATGCAGATGGCACCAGAGGGACAGGCAGGATTCCACTATTAATACAAATAGAAGTAAAATGGGGGCATCAAAGATGGGATATAGTTCTGATATACACCTACTGGAGTATGTGCCCGTCTTTGCTGGCAGGTACTCAATACAATTTTTTTTTTTACTAATTTATTAGATACTTATATAAAAGAATTGTCTACTACCAAACAGAACTACTTGTCAGTAGTGAAAGTACTATATGAGGGGTTAATTGCACCTTTGAGTTCTCTGTGAAATATAGAAATTAATATATAAAATATTACAGACAATTATTCTGTAGAAATACCAAATCATAAGGCCAGAGTTCCAATTACTTGCTGAAGAGACATACTCTTTTTTTTTTGTCATGGAACAGTTTGAGATATGATTTATATTCCATAAAATTCACCCCTTGTAAGCCTACTGTTCAATGAGTTTTCCCACAATTGAAGTTTAGAACACAGAACACTTCCATCTGCTGAAAAGCTCCTTCATGCCAGTTAGGAGTCAATCCCTGCTCTCACCTCCAACCTCAGGCAACCCACTTATCTGCTTTCTCTCTATAGCATTCCATTGTGCAGATATATCAAAATTTGTTTATCCGTTCACCTGTTGACAGACATCTGGGCTGTTTCCAATTCTTGGTTTTTTTTTTGTTTTTTTTTTTTTGTTTTTGAGATGGAGTCTCACTCTGTTGCCCAGGCTGGAGTGCAGTGGCGTGATCTCAGCTCACTGCAACCTCTGCCTCCCAGGTTCATGCCATTCTCCTGCCTCAGCCTCCCAAGTAGCTGGGACTACAGGCGCCTGCCACCATGCCCAGCTAATTTTTTTTTTTTTTGTATTTTTAGTAGAGACGGGGTTTCACTGTGTTAGCCAGGATGGTCTCGATCTTCTGACCTCGTGATCCGCCTGCCTTGGCCTCCCAAAGTGCTGGGATTACAGGCATGAGCCACCGTGCCCAGCCCCAATTCTTGGTTATTACAAATAAAGCTACTATAAACTTTTCTGTACAAATGTTTGTAGAGACATATTTTCTTTTTCTTTTGGGTAATATACATAGGTGTGAAATGGCTGGATCATAAGTAGGTGAATCTTAAACTTTTTAAGAAACCATCAAACTTTTTTCCAAAGTGTCTGTATAATTTTGCATTCCCACTAGCAGTGTATGAGAGCTTCAGTTCCTCCACATCCTCACCACCACTTGGTATAATCTTATTTTATTGTAGCCATCATAAGAGAGTGCAGTGCTATCTCATTGTGGTTTTAATTTGCATTTCCCTAATGATGTTGAGCATCTTTCCATATGTTTCTTAGCCATTCATTTATCCTTTTTGGAGAGGTGCCTACTCAAATAACTTTCTGTCCATTAAAAAAAATTGAATTATCTTATTACTGAGTTATAAAAGTTCTATAGATATTTTGGATACAAGTTCTTTACCAAATATATGATTTGCAAATATTTTCTCCTAGTTGGTGGCTTGTCTTTTCCTTTTCTAATGATGTTTTTTGAAAAGCAAAGAATTTTAATTTGATAAGGTCCAATTTATCAGTTGTTTTCTTCTTTTATGGATCATACTTTGGTGTCATATCTAAGAAATCTTTGCCTAACCTGTGGTCACAAAAATTTTCTCTTATGTTTTCTTCTAGAAGTTTTATAGTTTTACATTTACATCTATGACCCATTTTGTGTTAATTTTCATATATGGTGTAAGGTAAGGGTGTAAAGTCATTATTATTTTGCAGATAGATATTAAATTGTTCCAATACTGTCTATTGAAAAGATTGTATTTTCTTCATTGAATTTCCTTGGCACCTTTGTCAAAACCAATTGATCATAAATGTGTTGGTTTGTTTCTGGACTCTGTTCTGTTCCATTGACATATGTGTCTCTCCTTACACTGGTACCACACTGCCTTGATTCCTGTAGCTCTATATTAAGTTTTGAGATCAGATAGTGTATGTCCTCCAATTTGTTCTTCTTTTTCAAAATTGTTTTGGCTGCTCTAGGTTTTTTGCATTTCCATATACATTTTAGGATCAGCATGCTAATTTCTACAAAAATAAACCTCCTGGAATTTTTATAAAGCTGGGGTTCAATTTATAGATCAATTTTGGGGAGGTCATTTTAATCCTCAAAAATCACTACTGGGTATCTACCCAAAGGAAAATAAAGTATTATATTACAGAAAAAACACCTGCACCCAGATATTTATTGCAGCACTATTCACAACAGCAAAGTCATGGAACCAACCTAAATGTCCATCGATGGTTGATTTGATAAAGAAAATAAGGTATATATACATAACAGAATACTATCCAGCCATAAAAAGAATGAAATAATTTCCTCTGCAGCAACATGGATGGAGCTGGAGGCCATTATCCTAAGTGAACTAACTCAAAAGCAGAAGATAAGATATTGCATGTCCTCACTTATAAGTGGGGGCTAAACAATGGGTACACATGGACATAAAGATGGAGGTAACAAACACTGGAAACTGCAAAATGGGGGAGGGTGAAAGGGGAGTGAGAGTTCAAAAATTACGTGTCAGGTAAAACATTCAATAGTTGGGTGATGGGTACACTAGAAGTGTGGTCCCCACCATTACACATGCAATACCCATATAACAAGTATGGCTGGGTGCAGTGGCTCACTCCTGTAATGTCAGCACTTTGGGAGACTGAGGTGGGAGGATCGCTTGAGCCCAGGAGCTCAAGACAAGCCTGGGCAACATAGCAGGACCTTGTCTCTACAAAAAAAATTTTTTTAAATTAGCCAGGTGTAGTCCTAGAGCTACTTGGGAGGCTGAGATGGGGGGATCACTTAGCCCAGGAGTTCAAGACTGCAGTGAGCTATGATGGTGCCACTACACTGCAGCCTGGGCAACAGAGCAAGATGCTGCCTATAAAGAAAAAAATAAATACATAAATAAATACGTAAATAAAAAACAAGCACATGTACCCCATGAATCTAAAATTTTAAAAAAATTATTTGCTATTATCAGCAAAGATGGCCAGTTGAGATCATGAGGCTAGAAGAGTTACTGGAGGAAGGACAATCCTCACTAGGAAGTCCCTGAGTGGAGCAGTCCGATGATTCCATGACAAGCCACATTCTTCCCTCACCAGCAAATTTTAGAAGGGAGATGGTGGCAGACAAGAAAATGAGTCAGCAACAATATGCTTGAAACTAAGGCTTTCAGATATTTCTGGAAAAAGAACCTTTGTTCTAAGATTTCACTTAGTATTCCCTGAGAGCCTACAAGAGCTCTGCCTCAGAGAAATAAATAATGCCCTGGCTCCCTACCCCAGGGGATTGGTCATTGACTCCACCATTACCGTAGCATGGTCAAAGTGAGGCTCATAGTGTCCTCCGATGCCATAGTTCACCACCTGCAGATACTCTGCATAGGGAGGCCGGACATCAAGGCCTGTGAGGGCAGCAATGCGGTGGTTGAGGGTCACCAGTTTTGGGTCAACAGTGTCCTTCAGCCAGGCACTAAAACACACCACAGATTGAAGCATCAATGATCTGTTGCCCGAAATGACTAAATGACGTCTCTGAATGAATGAATAAACAAATGAATTATGTTAATTGCCAGAAGGAAGGATGGAAGGAAGGAGGAAAGAGAGGGAGGGAAGACAGACATAAATGCCTAATTACCTATGCATTCCTCATGTTAAGTCTGCCCAGTCCACTTTGTTCTCTACCTCAACAAACTCACAGCATTGAGATACAAAGAGGAATAAGACAAAACCCCTGCCTTCAAAGCTGCTATGGTGTAGAGACATCTGAACAGAGGGACCCGGGTACAGTGGGAAAAGCTTGTGATTTAGAGAAATGTGACGAGTCCCTGATCCTCTGTGATCCTAAGTCAAGTATTTAACCATTAACCTCTCTAAGGGTCAGTGTGTTGTCTATAAAATTGGGATGATAATAATATCTACTTCACAGACTTATAAAGATTGTGAGAGGCAATGCTTATGAAGACACTTTGTGAACTATACATTAGTGTTACTTTTAAACACAGGAAAATCTCTGCTCTACTGCAAGACAAGCCAGGATAGGGCAAAGGCCAAACAGCAGAGTTCAGTCTCTTTTCCTGAATGTCTTGTTGAGGTTCTGACAAAGTGGCAACTTTGGAATCAGAATTTACGTCCCTGGGAAGTGAGAAAGTGCTCCCTAAAGCCAGTGGGTCTCCTGGGGAGACGATAAGGCTCTGAGGGAACAGCCTTGGCATGATATGGAAGACCATTTCTTTGCTCTTTGCTTTTGATGGATTAGTGTGTTCATTCTTTCAAATAGAGTGCAAGCAGAGTGCTATGCCACATGCTCTTAGGTTACAGAGATCCCCAAGACAGAGCTATTGCCTTCTAAGAGCTCATGGATTATGGGGGAAAGGACAAACACAAATATAACTAAGAACAAAGTAAGGTACAGTGAAAAATTGAGAAACAGACTTTAAAGTGCTGGGAAGCACAGAGGAAGGAGAAGTTCATTCCAGTGGGGCACTCAGGTAAGATAGTGACATTTAAGCCAAATTTTGAAGAGTGCATAAAATTTCAATAGATGGAAAAGATGTAGGAGTATTCCAGCCTGAAGAAACAGCATAAGCACAGACATGGAGGTGTGGCAATAAATTATGAATAAGGAGATAGGAAGAAGTAACGGGAGATACAGCTGGAGAAGCAGGCTCAGGGCATGACATAGAAAACTGAAAACACTGTGATATGGAATCTGGACTTTATGGATAATGGGTACTCAGTGAAGGTGTGTGAGCAGGAAAATGATTTGGCAATTAGAAGTTCCCTGGTGACCTTTGGGAGACCAGCTCCAGCGAAGTTGTGAGGACAGAACCAAAAGTCAAAGAGTTGAAGAGTGATGCAAGTGGAGAAAGAAAGTAGTTTCTTGTTCGGAAAAGGGAAGAAAATACCACCTGCTCCCCTGGAAGCAATTAACCCAAGGCTGAATTTTCTCTCTGACACTAGAATATCAGAAAGGTTAGAAAAAGCAATGAGGCTGAGGTCATAGGGACCTTCCATAGGTTAGAGAATAACTACTAATATGAAAGGCCCTTAATGTACCAGACCAAGTAAGTTAAGCCAAATGATTCTGAATCACAGCTTTCATCACTCACCTCCCTTCCCAGACAGCACAAACTGATCTCCATCCTGAGGTCTGGCCTCCCCCCAAGGATGCTGACGTCACTGTCTCACATGTCTTTGGTGGATGTAAGTAAAGGGCTGCAGTGGGGGGTGGGCAGGGCTGGAGGGGTGGGATAAAGCTGGGCTCTCACAGCTGAATCTGCTCCTCTACAGAAGCCATCAGGGCCAGAGTCTATTTGTCCTTCTGGTCTCATTCTTGGCAAGTCATGCTTTCAATATGAGTCAGGAGGTGGGAATGGAATCTTGTAAAGTTAAATTACAAATGTGGACAGGACTGTATCTTCTGGAAAAGCAATCCTGTTTAGGAGAACAACTATAGACATATTTTTTGGTTTAGGGCAGAGGAGCTCTTCCAAGTCTCTCTCGAATGGCCTTCTAGTTAAACCCTCAGATGATCTAACAACCTGGGAAAGGGGAGTGGAAACTTCACCCTCTTAAAAAGAATGTACAGCTATAAACGTGAACTAGGGATTCTCCACCTCTGGAGGTCCCTGAATGGCTGTTGCTGACTGGCAGTCAGCTATGCTACGGCCCGAGGGTGGGCAGCAGGTATGACCAAGGAAGGGCCCTTCTTACCTTTTGCTGATGCGGTACTCCACTTGTAACTGCTTCTCCCCTGATGCCACCACTGACCTCTGTAGCTGGTGGGAAGAATGTAAGACAAAGTCCAAGTGGTTATGATGCAAAAGGAAAGTTTTGTCACTTCCACAGACATATTTCTCTCTTAAGCATCAACATAACAGATGCCAGTTCCTCCTTAATTAGAGGACATTTTGCATGTGGGACTAATTTAGTGACAGCTATCAATCCTGAAAATAAAAGATCATAAGTGACCAAAGATCGTAGAGTTGAAAATAACCTTTAACACTGTGTCTAGTCGACAGTAAGCACTCAATAAAAGTTTGCTGAGTTGAATTTAACTGTTATTTGAATCCCTTTTGTATCTGTAAGACTGTGAGTTAGGTAAGAACAGGGGCTATTTCTCATTCGTCTTTGTTTCCCAGGGTCAGGCACAGGGCCTGACCTATGGTAAGCACTTCGTAAGTGTTTGTCGAATTAAATGAACACCTCCAGCAACAGGAAACTCTCTACACTCAGAGGCAGCCTGCTCCTTTTGAATATTCTAATGAAAGCCTTTCCTTACAGAGAATCAGAGTCTGTTTTTGCTACAACCACTTTTTTAAAAAATTGATATATAATAGTTACAGATGTTGAGGGTACTTGTGAGATTTTCATAGCTGCAACTGCCTTGATTATGAAAAGACAACAACAGTTTTGATAACACTAGTTTAACTAAATGCCTCTCTTTTGTTCTGAATGTCTAGGTATAGCATTTAAATTATTATTATTATTATCTTTAGAGACAGGGTCTTGCTCTGTTGCCCAGGCTGGAGTGCACTAGTACGATCATAGCTCACTACAGCCTCCAACTCCTAGACTCAAGCAATCCTCCCACCTCAGCCTCCCAAATAGCTGGGACCATAGGCACATGCCACCAAACCTGGCTAATTTAAAAAAAAAATGTTTTTGTAGATACGGGGTCTTGTTTTGTTGCCCAGGCTGGTCTTGAACTTCTGGTCTCAAGGGATCCTCCCACCTCGGCCTCCCAAAGTGCTGGGATTACAGGAATGAGCCACCATACCGGGCCTAAATTATTTTTAAATAAAGTGTCTCCTAATTGCAAAATCCAGGGACAGAAAGAGAAATATTATTTATTTATATGAGGGTAAACATGTCTACTTCTGCCTCTGTCATCAGAATGTCAGCTCATGAGGGCAAGGACTTGGCCTTTTTTCAGTGCTGTATCCCCAGGGTCCATTCAACACCTGGTGGTGGAGTAGGTGCTTAGTACTGGTTAAATAAACAAATGAATGAAATAGGGCACTGCCCTTAAAGGTACTCACAGGGCTCAGACCCAGCTCTGGTGCTTCACAGGCAGGCAGAGCAGTGCCTGGGGCAATGAGCTACACAGACAGAAGCTCTTTCCCTTCTCTGAAGCTTCCATAATGTCATTGTCCCTCCTGCTAAACCAGATAGACAGTCTTGGAAAAGCCTCTTCCTTTCCTTGGGCCTGTTTCCCCATCTAAATTCTGCACAGCAAAAGAAACTACCATCAGAGTGAACAGGCAACCTACAAAATGGGAGAAAATTTTTGCAACCTACTCATCTGACAAAGGGCTAATATCCAGAATCTACAATGAACTCAAACAAATTTACAAGAAAAAAACAACCCCATCAAAAAGTGGGCGAAGGACATGAACAGACACTTCTCAAAAGAAGACATTTATGCAGCCAAAAAACACATGAAAAAATGCTCACCATTACTGGCCATCAGAGAAATGCAAATCAAAACCACAATGAGTTACCATCTCACACCAGTTAGAATGGCAATCATTAAAAAGTCAGGAAACAACAGGTGCTGGAGAGGATGTGGAGAAATAGGAACACTTTTACACTGTTGGTGGGACTGTAAACTAGTTCAACCATTGTGGAAGTCAGTGTGGCAATTCCTCAGGGATCTAGAACTAGAAATACCATTTGACCCAGCCATCCCATTACTGGGTATATACCCAAAGGACTACAAATCATGCTGCTATAAAGACACATGCACACGTATGTTTATTGCGGCATTATTCACAATAGCAAAGACTTGGAACCAACCTAAATGTCCAACAATGATAGACTGGATTAAGAAAATGTGGCACATATACACCATGGAATACTATGCAGCCATAAAAAATGATGAGTTCATGTCCTTTGTAGGGACATGGATGAAATTGGAAATCATCATTCTCAGTAAGCTATCACAAGAACAAAAAACCAAACACCACATATTCTCACTCATAGGTGGGAATTGAACAATGAGATCACATGGACACAGGAAGGGGAACATCATACTCTGGGGACTGTTGTGGGGTGGAGGGAGGTGGGAGGGATAGCATTGGGAGATATACCTAATGCTAGATGACGAGTTAGTGGGTGCAGCGCACCAGCATGGCACATGTATACGTATGTAACTAACCTGCACAATGTGCACATGTACCCTAAAACTTAAAGTATAATAATAATAATAATAATAATAATAATAAAAGTTTGGGACAAAAAAATAAAAAATAAATAAAATGCAGCTTATGAACAACATGTGCTTGCGAGTTCCTCTCACATGTGGCTCTACAATCTTAGGAAGCAGGAAATCAGAAGGGGATTGATGTTGCCTCCATCCATTGTCCCTGGTGTCCTGTCCTGAGCCATTTGTAGAGGAGAAACTCATAGAAGAGAGATGCTCCCTTCTGTTCTTTTAGGGCAAAATCAATGGTTTAAAAAAAAAAAACAAAAAAAAACCCTAAGGAATCCCCCCCATCCCAAATTAAGGAGTCACCTTATATTTATTTCCTGTAACAATCATTAATTGTCTACCTACCAGTCACTCGTTTTTTGGAACAAATATTTATTGGTTGTTCTCTGTGCTAAGCACTGTGCTAGGCACTGGAAAAACAATGTTAATCCAGACAATGTCCCTGCCCCTAAGACATCTAATGGGGCCATAATAGGCAAGTATAGAATGCCATGGCAATAGAAAGAGGGACACATAGCCCATTCTTATGAGGGACAGGGAGTCTTTCCAGGATGTCCACAAGACACACTGGAATCATACAGGTGAGAAGTCAAGGGCAGTTCGTTCCAGGCAGACAGAAGAGTGTGCAGCTGGAGCGTCAAGTGCCGGGGGAGATGTGGTAGAAGGGGTTGGCAGCAGCCAGGCCATGGAGACTTGTAAGCACTCAAAGGCAAAAGTGACCCAGTGAAGAGTTTCAGCAAGGGCTTGAGTGGTCAGACCTGACCTTTTAAAGATTTACTCTGGCAGCAATGGGAAGAACATGGGGCAAGGCATTTGCAGAAAGATGATGCCTGCTAGTTTACAGTCTGACTGGGGAGACAGGATGCTGACCCAGGAAACTGTCAGTGATGTCAAACAACACATAAATGGCAGAATACATTTAAAAATTAAGTACCAAACAACCAGTGAGAAAAAGCTTAGAGTTCAGAGGAGGAATAGGTAATTGTATATGGCTCCAAAAAGTGCTCTGAAAAAGAACCAAAGGAGGCCAGAATGATCAGGGCTAGCGGGCCCAGCGAAGGTGCAGGGCTTCAACTGAGTCTTCAAAGATGGGCAGGATGTGGTGAGAGAGAGAAGTGATGAGTGAGTGTGCTTTGGGAAAGGGACAGTGACTAGGAAGCAGAGATATTCAACACAAGCCACTGAGGCATCTGTCTTCAGTTCCCATGGGGAAGCCACTACCATGTCAGTCCAGGGCTGATTCCTGGGAGAGCCACAGACCAGACAGGCATCAGCAGCCCCAGAGAGACACTTCTAGGGGAAGGAAGTGTGCCAAGATCTGTGCATGCTAAATGGACGACATGGCCATGAACATTTAAATCAACGTCTCTGGGTGGGTCACTTCTCCCGTTACCATGGCAACAGGGCTGTTATAAGGAAAAAGCAGCTGCTGGCCAAAAGCTACTACTGCTGGCTCACTGCAAAGCTGAACCTGTTTGCTCCAATTCACCAGTGGGGCTTAATTATCTCAAAAAGCTTCTGTGCAAAGATTCTAGACTTTCCTGGAGGGGCTTTTAGATGAAATGATGATTGCCCCTCTTCTCCCTCCAATCCATGTCTGCTGTTACAGTCTTCCTTAAAAATCAGACATGATCATGCAACTCTCCCATTAAAACTGTCCAACAGCTCTCCTGCTGCCTACAGGATAAAATCCAAACTCCCCGGCATGGCATTTATAGCATCTGCTAATGGTGTCTCACATCTAGCTTCATTTCCTATCACCTCTCGCCCCCATCCCTTGCACACTTCAGCCACCAAGCTTCTGCCCAGTCTCTGAACATACCACATATCAGGCCCTTGCACATACTGTTTTGTCTTTCTGGAATACCCTTTGCTACCTTCTTTCTCTGATAGATGTCACCTCCACAGTGAAGCCTTCCCTGATTCTTCCTCCCTTCCCCATCTCTTCTTCACCCAATTGCCTTTTCTTTAGAGGAAGCCTTGCTTTTTTATGTGCATAGCACAACTCTCTGCCCACACCTCTATGATAGCATGTATCATAGTGTAGTGTAAATATTTGTTTTTCTCCATTGTGCACTAAGTTTCCAAGAGGAAAGAACCAATACTTCATCTCACTGTAAAAGCCCAGCACCCAGGCCAGTGTCTGGCACACAGTGGGCTCTATTCTGTTGACGAATGACTAATGGCTGCCTGGATGAACTGCACATGTTAAGGGCACAATGTCTGGCTTGACAGAAATAATTCTGAGACAATATCTTTAAAGAGGCAACATGCTTATAGAGGTGCATTTTTTCTTGTTAATATTTAGCACACTTCCTAGGGGGAGGATTAAATGTCCTCTTCCCATTGACATCCAGCTTGGCTTGGTGACTTGCAGTGCTTTCCCTGTGGAAGAATTAGAACCTTGCTGTTAACTGCAGTAGTGCCCACATGCTTTGCTCTGACCAGTGAAACATGGGTGGAAGTAACATCTGGCACTTCCATGCAGAAGCTTTATGAACCAGCTCATGTTTGCCATTTGTCTTTTTCCTCTTCCATGAGACTGGCAATGTCCCATACAGAGGCTGCTCTGTCAGGCTGGGTCTCCAAGTGAAGACAGTGGGATGGCTTCAATCAAAATTTAATCTAATCATGATTGTAATTTAATTTAATCATGATTGTAATTTAATTATAATCATAATTACATTATAACTAAATTTTTCCTTAAAACAGCCCTGTTGCCATGGTAATGGGAGAAGTGACCCACCCAGAGATGTCTATTTAGTCATTCATGGCCGTGTCGTCCATTTGGCATGCACAGACCTTGGCACACTTCCTTCCCCTAGAAGCATCTCTCTGGGGCTGCTGATGCCTGTCTGGTTTGTGGCTCTCCCAGGAATCAGCCCTGGGCTCACATGGTAGTGGCTCCCCCATGGAAACTGAAGACAGATGCCTCAGTGGCTTGTGTTGAATATCTGCTTCCTAGTCACTGTCCCTTTCCCAAAGCACACTCACTCAACACTTCTCGCCACATTCTGCCCATCTTTGGAGACTCAGTTGAAGCCCTGCACCTTCGTTGGGCCCGCTAGCCCTGATCATTCTGGCCTCCTTTGGTTCTTTTTATAACGAAATTATAATAATGATTGTAACTGAATTACAAAGTTTAATTTATAATTATATGTTATAATTTATAATTCATAAATGAGGCACAGAGATTAACAATAAAATATAATAATAATAATATACTGTAATAAAATTATGGGAAAATGACCTCTCTCTCTCAAAATATCTTATTGTACTACACTGAGAATAACTGAAACCACAGAAAGTAAAATTGCAAATAAGGGGGACTACTGTACCTCTAAGTTCTAGCTGTGGCTCTAGCTACATGTATGAGCTTAACAAGTCCCTTCCCCTCTCTGGGCCTCGGTTTCCTTTTTAACAAAATAATGAAGTTTAGCTTTCTACTCTAACTCTGTAAATTTGTGCTAGGATTTTACTCCTTGCCGCTGTCATTTCACCCTTTTCCCCACCTCTACCAATTACATAGAATGGTTGACACTTTTGAAGTGTTCTTTTTTATTTGTCTTTTTTTAGGTTAAACTTACATACAATGATATACACAGGTCTCAAGTGGACCATTTGGTGAGTTTTGACAAATGCATACAGCCACATGTACCACGTCCCTAACAAGATATTGAGAGCACATTTTCAATACCCCAGAGAATCCTCTTGTACATCATCCAGTTAATCCTTTCCCTCTAGAGGCAAGCACTATTGTGATTTTTTTCCACCATGGACTAGTTTTATGGAATGGTTGGCATTCTGAACTCCTTGGCTCTTTGAGGTGTCTAGTTGTTCAGGTTGCCTATTCTTACACTCCTGAACTCCAGGCATGTGAAGATGAAAGAGAAATTCTTGGCGGGTTCTCAGGACACTCACCCATGGTTCTGCAAGTTCTCTAATTTTCTGAGCCTCTGAGTCACTGACGAAGTCATGGTAGAGAGCAATGTAGGGCTCCAGGTGGATGACCTCCTTCCGGATGGGCTGGAGCAGCAGGTAGGCGTTGGAATTGGTCTCATAGGAACAGTAGAGGCTAGGGATCTGGTAGAGAGTGGGCTGGAAGGAAAGAATAGGATGAGCATAAGAGAAGAAGGGTCTAGGAGCAAAACTCAACTTAGGGGAACTATGGCATAAAAAAATTGGAATGCAAGAGATACAGAATGTGGTCACTCTGATGCTGCCCAAGTGAGCTTTATTGTTTTTAATGCATCAGCTCTATCCCCTCATGTTATCCCAATTCTAGCTTCTCAAACTCTAGCCAGGCCTCTCCCCCTTTCTCTTTCCCTGAGGAATCCTACCTGGGAACCCAGGGTCTGACATAGCCCCTCGTAGGTGTCTCTGGTCTGCAGGTGGGGTATATTGGGCCTCTGGATGACAGCCTCAGCTACCACGTGGTTGGGGCTCTCTGCCAAGAGCCTTTCATATTTCAAGACATTCCTGGCCATCCTCTTATTATCTGGGCCTGGAAGAAATCAGAGCAGGGAATATAAAATAGGGATTAACAAATACTGGCCCCAGGGAGTGCCACCAAGGTTTCCTCCAGCTTCACTGCTGCACAGGATGGGCAAGTGGATCTCCTGAATAACTCCTCATGTCAACACACAGGAGGATGCAAGGCCCTCACTCCCAGAAGACTACCTGGTATTTTTTTAAAAGACTGACTTGATCCTGGTAGATCTGAAGGTGCAAAGGGTTTTGGGAAGCAAAGTGGAACTTAAAACTCTTAGGCCAAGGGATCATGAAGATGGCTGCTCTGGGATACTGTGATGGTATATATGGCGAAGATGAAGCCTCATTCATTCATTCATTCTTTCACCCATCCATTCAGTAAATCTTCAGTGAACATCTACTATGTACCAGATACTGTGCTACAGGTTGACCTCTCAGAGTTTAGAGTCTAATGGAGAAAAAGGACATTAAATTATCACTTACAACAAAATATGATAAGTGCAATGAAAGAGAAGTCCAGAAAGCCAAAGCCTATTGCAAAAGGACCCAACCTATTCTTCCCCAGAGAATTGGAAGCTAATTCATTCTTGGCTCCACTAGATCTTTCAAATCTCCTAACTGGCCTAGACCCAGAGCAAAGAAGTATGGCGCAGAGGGACTCTAGACTTTGGCTCTAGACTGGATTCCCACAGGGCCCTTGGGAAACCCAATAAATCTTGTGTCTTGTTTGTGCCCACCTGTTTGTACCCACTTTGGCTGCAAGATGCCCCATGCATTGGCAGAGCTACCCGTGGCCTGCTGGCCTCTTTGCATGACTCTCAATGCATCTCAGAAGGAGATGCTGAATTGTTCTAATGCTCCCAAAGCATCTTTCTCTGAGGAGCCCAGTGTGCTTCTAACCACAACCATCACCCTGGCAAAGGAGGAAAGGAAGGGGCAGAAATTACCATTCTGTTTTAACAAGAGAAGAAGTGAAGTTTTGGAGAATGGAAATTATAAGCCCAAACCCCAGTGAAAATATTGCAAAGCCGGAAATAAAACTGGGAATCTCAACTTGCCATGTTCTATTATCCACCTATAAAAGCACAAAATTTGAGTGGATAGCAAAGATTTTAATAGATCAAGTGCAAATAAATAAAGAAGGGTTGGATTATAATTTTGTTTGTACCACTAATTACTCATGTGTTTGTAGATACACAGCTACTTCCTTATCCTATTGTTTGCTAATTATCAGAAGGGAATAATGTTACTAAATGGATTCATTAAAAAGTTTTGTATACATGCAATTATAAAGTCCTACATGAAATACTTTATAAATATTAAAACAAAATAGTGATTTTGTATCTCATTGTAGTATCTAAATACTAAATACTCATGCCTGTAATCCCAGCATTTTGGGAGGCTGAGGCAGGTGGAACACTTGAGGCCAGGAGTTTGAGACCAGCCTGGCCAACATGGCAGAACCCCATCTCTGCTAAAAATATAAAAATTAGCTGGGCATGGTGGCACATGGCTGTAATCCCAGCTACTTGGGAGCTGAGGAACAAGAATCACTTGAACCTGGGAGGCAGAGGCTATAGTGAGCCAAGATTATGCCATTGCACTCCAGCCTGGGTGACAGAATGAGACTCTGTCTCAAAAAACAAAACCAACAAACAAACAAAAAAACCACACCCCTAAAAGCAAAAGCAAAACAAAACAAATAAATACTGTATTAAAGAAAAACCTAGGAAGCTATCTACCACTAAAATGTTAAGCAAATACATACATATAACTTTGAGGCAAACATTTCCAAGCAGATACCTGAGTTAGGAAGCATCTCCCTCCTGTTTAACTCATTTTATTGTCAGCAAGAGACTCCCTGAAGGGGGGTGATGCTGAATTCTGTGACCTACTGGCTGGGCAGGATGCATGCATCACAGAGTGAGACCTGATTTAAGGGGAAAAACTGATATCTCCCTGTGAGCAGCTGAAGTGAGCAATCCTGCTGAGTCACTTTCCTTCTTGCGTACATAGTGCACACTGATTTCATTCATTCTTGGGTCTGCTTCCAAAATCTGGGTCTTTAAAATGTCTCTGAAGAAACTGGCTCCCACTCCTGGACTTTTTCCCATTGAAGCAACACTAATATATCATTGATTGGTTGGAAGAAGGAAGGGACAGGTTGATATCTTCTCAGCATTTTCCAACTAACTTAAAAATTTCCCCCTGATGCATTGAACAGCATGTAAGATTTCACCAAAATTTGAAATGTGACCTGGATTATGAAATTAAGATAATAAAGATAGGGCCAGGCACAGTGGCTCATGCCTGTAATCCTAGCACATTGGGAGCCCGAGGTTGGGGGACCACTTGAGGTTAGGAGTTTGAGACCAGCCTGGCCAACGTGGTGAAACCCAGTCTCTACTAAAAATACAAAAATTAGCCAGGTGTGGTGGTGGGCGCCTGTAATCCCAGCTACTCGGGAGGCTGAGGCAGGAGAATCACTTGAACCCAGGAGGCAGAGGTTGCAGTGAGCAGAGATCGCGCCACTGCACTCCAGCCTGGGTGACAGAGGGAGATGCCATCTCAAAAAAAAAAAAAAAAAAGATAATAAAGATAGATAGCTGTATTTCTCTTGCAGGAATTAAAGGCCAGGAGCAGAAGGGAGTTCCCCGTAAATCAGACCTGTGGCTGGCTTATCTTTTATCCATTACGTACTGTAGAGAAGAAACTCCCGAGAGAGGCTGAGGGCACACGAAACATTTCCTGCCTGTTAAAAAAAAAAAAAAGAAAAGAAAGCATTAACTTCACTGAGGATATCTCTTCTGAACAAACCATTAAATTAAAAAAAAAAAAAGATAAAATATTCTTACCATAAGTAGATAATAAGGCTCACTGAAAGGAACAGCAGACCAGAAATGCAGAGGATCTGTGGCCTCACTGCAAATCAGGTCTCACCAGTCTCCTCATTTACTAATGACTTATGACCACCCTTACCGGGCAAGGTAGGAAAATAAATGAAAATAAACCTTCTTAAAGTGCCCTCAAATCTTTTTTTGTTTTCTGTTGAATTGTTTTTTCTTTTAATTTTATTATTATTATACTTTAAGTTTTAGGGTACATGTGCACAACGTGCAGGTTTGTTACATATGTATACATGTGCCATGTTGGTGTGCTGCACCCATTAACTCGTCATTTAGCATTAGGTATATCTCCTAAAGCTATCCCTCCCCCCTCCCCCCACCCCACAACAGTCCCTGGTGTGTGATGTTCCCCTTCCTGTGTCCATGTGTTCTCATTGTTCAATTCCCACCTATGAGTGAGAACATGGGGTGTTTGGTTTTTTGTCCTTGAGATATTTTTCTGAGAATGACGGTTTCCAGTTTCATCCATGTCCCTACAAAGGACATGAACTCATCATTTTTTATGGCTGCATAGTATTCCCTGGTGTATGTGCCATATTTTATTAATCCAGTCTATCGTTGTTGGACATTTAGGTTGGTTCCAAGTCTTTGCTATTGTGAATAGTGCTGCTATAAACATACATGTGCATGTGTCTTTATAGCAGCATGATTTATAATCCTTTGGGTGTATACCCAGTAATGGGATTGCTGGGTCAAATGGTATTTCTAGTTCTAGATCCTTGAGGAATCGCCACACTGTCTTCCACAATGGTTGAACTAGTTTACAGTCCCACCAACAGTGTAAAAGTGTTCCTATTTCTCCACATCCTCTCCAGCACCTGTTGTTTCCTGACTTTTTAATGATCGCCATTCTAACTGGTGTGAGATGGTATCTCATTGTGGTTTTGATTTGCATTTCTCTGATGGCCAGTGACGATGAGCATTTTTTCATGTGTTTTTTGGCTGCATAAATGTCTTCTTTTGAGAAGTGTCTGTTCATATCCTTTGCCCACTTTTTGATGGGGTTGTTTGTCTTTTCCTTGTAAATTTGTTTGAGTTCATTGTAGATTCTGGATATTAGCCCTTTGTCAGATGAGTAGGTTGCGAAAATTTTCTCCCATTTTGTAGGTTGCCTGTTCACTCTGATGGTAGTTTCTTTTGCTGTGCAGAAGCTCTTTAGTTTAATTAGATCCCATTTGTCAATTTTGTCTTTTGTTGCCATTGCTTTTGGTGTTTTAGACATTAAGTCCTTGCCCATGCCTATGTCCTGAATGGTATTGCCTAGGTTTTCTTCTAGGGTTTTTACGGTTTTAGGTCTAACATTTAAGTCTTTAATCCATCTTGAATTAATTTTTGTATAAGGTGTAAGGAAGGGATCCAGTTTCAGCTTTCTACATATGGCTAGCCAGTTTTCCCAGCACCATTTATTAAATAGGGAATCATTTCCCCATTGCTTGTTTTAGTCAGGTTTGTGAAAGATCAGATAGTTGTAGATATGCGGCATTATTTCTGAGAGCTCTGTTCTGTTCCATTGGTCTATATCTCTGTTTTGGTACCAGTAACAGGCTGTTTTGGTTACCGTAGCCTTGTAGTATAGTTTGAAGTCAGGTAGTGTGATGCCTCCAGCTTTGTTCTTTTGGCTTAGGATTGACTTGGCGATGCGGGCTCTTTTTTGATTCCATATGAATTTTAAAGTAGTTTTTTCCAATTCTGTGAAGAAAGTCATTGGTAGCTTGATGCAGATGGCATTGAATCTATAAATTACTTTGGGCAGTATGGCCATTTTCACGATATTGATTCTTCCTACCCATGAGCATGGAATGTTCTTCCATTTGTTTGTATCCTCTTTTATTTCCTTGAGCAGTGGTTTGTAGTTCTCCTTGAAGAGGTCCTTCCCATCCCTTGTAAGTTGGATTCCTAGGTATTTTATTCTCTTTGAAGCAATTGTGAATGGGAGTTCACCCATGATTTGGCTCTCTGTTTGTCTGTTATTGGTGTATAAGAATGCTTGTGATTTCTGTACACTGATTTTGTATCCTGAGACTTTGCTGAAGTTGCTTATCAGCTTGAGGAGATTTTAGGCTGAGACGATGGGGTTTTCTAGATATACAATCATGTCATCTGCAAACAGGGACAATTTGACTTCCTCTTTTCCTAATTGAATACCCTTTATTTCCTTCTCCTGCCTGATTGCCCTGGCCAGAACTTCCAACACTATGTTGAATAGGAGTAGTGAGAGAGGGCATCCCTGTCTTGTACCCGTTTTCAAAGGGAATGCTTCCAGTTTTTGCCCATTCAGTATGATATTGGCTGTGGATTTGTCATAGACAGCTCTTATTATTTTGAGATACGTCCATCAATACCTAATTTATTGAGAGTTTTTAGCATGAAGGGTTGTTGAATTTTGTCAAAGGACTTTTCTGCATCTATTGAGATAATCATGTGGTTTTTGTCTTTGGTTCTTTTTATATGTTGGATTACATTTACTGATTTGCATATGTTGAATCAGCCTTGCATCCCAGGGATGAAGCCCACTTGGTCATGGTGGATAAGCTTTTTGATGTGCTGCTGGATTCGGTTTGCCAGTATTTTATTGAGGATTTTTGCATCAATGTTCATCAAGGATATTGGTCTAAAATTCTCTTTTTTGGTTGTGTCTCTGCCGGGCTTTGGTATCAGGATGATGCTGGCCTCATAAAATGAGTTAGGGAGGATTCCCTCTTTTTCTATTGATTGGAATAGTTTCAGAAGGAATGGTACCAGCTCCTCTTTGTACCTCTGGTAGAATTCGGCTGTGAATCCATCTGGTCCTGGACTTTTTTTGGTTGGTAAGCTATTGATTATTGCCTCAATTTCAGAGCCTGTTATTGGTCTATTCAGAGATTCAACTTCTTCCTGGTTTAGTCTTGGGAGGATGTATGTGTCAAGGAATTTATCCATTTCCTCTAGATTTGATAGTTTATTTGCGTAGAGGTGTTTATAGTATTCTCTGATGGTAGTTTGTATTTCTGTGGGATCGGTGGTGATATCCCCTTTATCATTTTTTATTGTGTCTATTTGATTCTTCTCTCTTTTCTTCTTTATTATTCTTGCTAGCGGTCTATCAATTTTGTTGATCTTTTCAAAAAACCAGCTCCTGGATTCATTAATTTTTTGAAGGGTTTTTTGTGTCTCTATTTCCTTCAATTCTGCTCTGATCTTAGTTATTTCTTGCCTTCTGCTAGCTTTTGAATGTGTTTGCTGTTGCTTCTCTAGTTCTTTTAATTGTGATGTTAGGGTGTCAATTTTAGATCTTTCCTGCTTTCTCTTGTGGGCATTTAGTGCTATACATTTCCCTCTACACACTGCTTTGAAGCTGTCCCAGAGATTCTGGTATGTTGTGTCTTTGTTCTCGTTGGTTTCAAAGAACATCTTTATTTCTGCCTTCATTTCATTATTTACCCAGTAGTCATTCAGGAGCAGGTTGTTCAGTTTCCATGTAGTTGAGCGGTTTTGAGTGAGTTTCTTAATCCTGAGTTCTAGTTTGACTGCACTGTGGTCTGACAGACAGTTTGTTATAATTTCTGTTCTTTTACATTTGCTGAGGAGTGCTTTACTTCCAACTATGTGGTCAATTTTGGAGTAGGTATGGTGTGGTGCTGAAAAGAATGTATATTCTGTTGATTTGGGGTGCAGAGTTCTGTAGATGTCTATTAGGTCCACTTGGTGCACAGCTGAGTTCAATTCCTGTGTATCCTTGTTAACTTTCTGTCTCATTGATCTGTCTAATGTTGACAGTGGGGTGTTAAAGTCTCCCATTATTATTGTGTGGGAGTCTAAGTCTCTTTGTAGGTCACTCAGGACTTGCTTTATGAATCTGGGTGCTCCTGTATTGGGTGCATATATATTTAGGATAGTTAGCTCTTCTTGTTGAATTGATCCCTTTACCATTATGTAATGGCCTTCTTTGTCTCTTTTGATCTTTGTTGGTTTAAAGTCTGTTTTATCCGAGACTAGGATTGCAACCCCTGCCTTTTTTTGTTTTCCATTTGCTTGGTAGATCTTCCTCCATCCCTTTATTTTGAGCCTATGTGTGTCTCTGCACATGAGATGAGTTTCCTGAATACAGCACACTGATGGGTCATGACTCTTTATCCAATTTGCCAGTCTGTGTCTTTTAATTGGAGCATTTAGCCCATTTACATTTAAGGTTAATATTGTTATGTGTGAATGTGATCCTGTCATTATGACATTAGCTGGTTATTTTGCTCGTTAGTTGATGCAGTTTCTTCATAGCCTCGATGGTCTTTACAATTTGACATGTTTTTGCAGTGGCTGGTACCAGTTGTTCCTTTCCATGTTTAGTGCTTCCTTCAGGAGCTCTTGTAGGGCAGGCCTGGTGGTGACAAAACCTCCCAGCATTTGCTTGTCTGTAAAGGATTTTATTTCTCCTTCACTTATGAAGCTTAGTTTGGCTGGATATGAGATTCTGGGTTGAAAATTCTTTTCTTTAAGAATGTTGAATATTGGTCCCCACTCTCTTCTGGCTTGTAGAGTTTCTGCTGAGAGATCAGCTGTTAGTCTAATGGGCTTCCCTTTGTGGGTAACCCGACCTTTCTCTCTGGCTGCCCTTAACATTTTTTCCTTCATTTCAACTTTGGTGAATCTGACAATTATGTGTCTTGGAGTTGCTCTTCTCGAGGAGTATCTTTGTGGCGTTCTGTGTATTTCCTGAATTTGAATGTTGGCCTGCCTTGCTAGATTGGGGAAGTTCTCCTGGATAATATCCTGCAGAGTGTTTTCCAACTTGGTTCCATTCTCCCTGTCACTTTCAAGTACACCAATCAGACGTAGATTTGGTCTTTTCACATAGTCCCATATTTCTTGGATGCTTTGTTCGTTTCTTTTTATTCTTTTTTCTCTAAACTTCTCTCCTCGCTTCGTTTCATTCATTTCGTCTTCCATCACTGATACCCTTTCTTCCAGTTGATTGCATCGGCTACTGAGGCTTCTGCATTCGTCACGTAGCTCTCGTGCCTTGGTTTTCAGCTCCATCAGGTCCTTTAAGGACTTCTCTGCATTGGTTATTCTAGTTATCCATTCGTCTAATTTTTTTTCAAAGCTTTTAACTTCTTTGCCATTGGTTCGAATTTCCTCCTGTAGCTCGGAGTAGTTTGATCGTCTGAAGCCTTCTTCTCTCAACTCATCAAAGTCATTCTCCATCCAGCTTTGTTCCGTTGCTGGTGAGGAGCTCTGTTCCTTTGGAGGAGGAAAGGCACTCGATTTTTAGAGTTTCCAGTGTTTCTGCTCTGTTTTTTCCCCATCTTTGTGGTTTTATCTACCTTTGGTCTTTGATGATGGTGATGTACAGGTGGGTTTTGGTGTGGATGTCCTTTCTGTTTGTTAGTTTTCCTTCTAACAGACAGGACCCTCAGCTGCAGGTCTGTTGGAGTTTGCTAGAGGTCCACTCCAGACCCTGTTTGCCTGGGTATCAGCAGCAGTGGCTGCAGAACAGCAGATATTGGTGAACTGCAGATGCTGCTGCCTGATCGTTCCTCTGGAAGTTTTGTCTCAGAGGAGTACCCTGCCATGTGAGGTGTCAGTCTGCCCCTACTCGGGGGTGCCTCCTAGTTAGGCTACTCGGGGGTAAGGGACCCACTTGAGGAGGCAGTCTGCCTGTTCTCAGATCTCAAGCTGCATGCTGGAAGAACCACTACTCTCTTCAAAGCTCAGTTGGAAATGCAGAAATCACCCGTCTTTTGTGTCACTCACGCTGGGAGCTGTAGACCGGAGCTGTTCCTATTCGGCCATCTTGGCTCCTCCCCCCGTGCCCTCAAATCTTAAAGCATGCAAAACCATGTAATTGCGGGGCGTTGTTGTTTGTTATATTTAATAATATAACTGAAGTTAAATATATTTAACCCAATGTGGAACTATAAAAACCCTAGTAAAAATATAATTTGTTCTCCAGATTCAGTTCTTCCCGGAGTCCACAAAGTTAGTGGAGGGAAGCAAAGAAAGAACTAAAATGGAAACATTGCCCAGTGCACAGGAATTAACTCTCCCTGCAGCCATTCAACCTTGGGCTCAACATAGTCAAAAGGAAATAGGGCTTTCCAGACAAATCTGGGGAACAGAATCCCGGATGGGTATCTAGCAGTCCTCTTCTGGGTGCTGCCAAATGATGATTAACTGATAGAAATGTATTTCATTCCAATCACTTTACTTTAGCATATTAACAATTCACTTCTAATGATAAAAGCAATAATAAGCACATTATGAAACATATGAGAAATGGAAAAAAATTACTACACCAAAATCCAGGGACTGAAGTACTTTGGATAATATATAGTTTTTACATAGTTATAAGCATATTTTTATACACTTCACATCCTGATTGTTTCACTTTACATTGTTATCAGGAGTACTTTGATGTCATCACATAGTCTTCACAGACAGCATTTTTAATGGCTGCATTTTATTCCATCCAGAAGATAGGCCACAGAGAACCTAACCATTCCACTACTGTTGGACAAATACATTGTTTCTAATTATTTGATATCATGAATTACTCTGTTCTACATTTAACAAGGAATACTTGAGTAATCTATGAATATCTTGTAATGTCAAATATTAACTCAAGGTCATAGCTTTTCAAACTCTTCGTGAGATGAAAAGAACCAAAATACAATTTCACATATTTCTAAAACTTGAGAGTCTTGTAATAAAGTAAAATTATATTTTACAAAGAACAAAGAGTTACTTTCAGTGTCTCAGTTAAGTTTCTTTGGAAATAGGTACACTAAGGAACATTAAATGAAAAGAGAACATATATATGTATGTATCATGTAATAAGAACTGACATTTATCCAGTAAGTAGCATGTGCCACGCACGCATTCTGTTAAGGGCTTTGCCTGTATTAGCTCACTCAATCCTCACAGCAACCCACTTGAGGTGAGCATCATTATTCCTCTTTTACAAATAAGAAAACTGAGGCCCAGGGAAGCTAAATAAGTTGCCTATGTTTTCACAGCATTTGAATCCAGGACTGTCTGATTCCAGAGCCCATAGCTTAACCACTGTACTCTACCATCTCTCATTATTAGCAGTTATTAAAATTTTTTTTACTAAAATATATAATGAAATAAAATACATTAAATTTTATGTGATAATGAAAGGTCCACAGGGACATTTACTTCTAATTTACTAGGGGGTGAGGAGGAACACAAACCATCTATAAGATAATGCCTTATGTGTTCTGTTACTGGGGAATAAAAACATGCTGTAAGACCACCAAGGAGGAAAGCCTGGGGAGTGAGGAGAACTCAGGAAGACTTCACAAAGTAGGTGACATTCGAGGTGTGCCTTGTAACATAAACAGGATTTCACCAGACAAAACAGGATGTGGAAAGCAAGTAGAAGAGAAATCCAAGCCATCAGAGTTAGAGGGAAACAAAACAAAACTAATCAATAATTGGGTACAACATTTGAAACTCCGTCTTTCAGGGTAAGCTGCTTTAGTTTCTCTTCTCTGAGTCTTTCCATGTCGAATCTCCATTTCCTTCCTCTATTAAAACTCAATTACTTCTCACCCCTTCCTACATCACAGTTACTCTGTTTGGCTTTAACACACAGCAATTTAGCAGGAGAGTTAGGAAGAGCACATACACAGTTTTTTTTTTCTTTTTTTCTTTTTTTTTTTTTTTTGAGATGCAGTTTCACTTGTTTCCCAGGCTGGAGGGCAATAGCTCGATCTCTGCTCACCACAACTTCCACCTCTCGGGCTCAAGCGATTCTCCTGCCTCAGCCTCCTGAGTAGCTGGGATTACAGGCATGTGCCACCACACCCGGTTAATTTTGTTTGTTTTTGTTTTTGTTTTGTTTGTTTTTAGTAGAGATGGGGTTTCTCCATGTTGGTCAGGCTGGTCTTGAACTCCTGACCTCAGGTGATCTGCCCGGCTCAGCCTCCCAAAGTGCTGGGATTACAGGCGTGAGCCACCACATCCGGCCAACACATACACAGTTTTACAACAAAGATCCATTCGCCAGGAACTTCCATGAAAGGAACAGGACTGTTTGCTGCACTGAGAGTAAATCTGTTTGGGCAGCAACACATGGGTTTGGAGCACCCACATCCTCCTCCCCTTTCTCAAGAAAATGGGGAAAGGAAAAAAAAGGTAGGGAGCAGAAATGGTTTACTAGTTTTGGAAACTCTAGGGAACTGGTTCCATGGAGATTTTTGCAGCCTACCCTTGAAGACTGTACAACTCGGGTGGGAAATGGGGTTAGCTATACAAAAGCTATACCTTACCCAGTTATTGGTTAGTTTTGTTTATTGGCAGCTGCTTTATTTAGGGAAATGAACTTCTATATAAGGCACAACAGGGAGTAAGTAGATCAACAGTGCCAAGGAAAAATAACACCTGGAGGAGGCACTGTGGCTGGTACTACAGAACAGTGACTCCAGCTCTGTAACCAGACAGGAGTCACATTACAGTTGGACTCAACTGCAGATGGGAAAAGCTCATAATCAAACTTCTTTGTCCATGGCAATATTATGGGTAATATCTGTGATGAATTATGAGTTGCTGAGAGCACAAAAGAGTGATCTACATTTATTATGAACCCATTAACTATTTGTGAATAAAGCAGCTGCTGCTACAGGTGACAAACTGCCTCCTACATGGGAAATAATGATTGTAAAGTAGTCAATGCATTGGAAAGAGCACTGGACTAACAGTCTAATCCTAGGTCTATAAGCTTTGTGACAAGTTAATAGTCTTTTGGAGATTCAGTTTACTCACATGTGATATATGGAAATGATAAAATAACTTCCCTGCTTGGCTCAGTTTGGTCCTATTGGGAAGATGAAACAGATGAAGACATGAAAATACTTAGAAATTGTAAAGCAGCTATAAAGGATTTCACTTAGTATAATAAAAGCAGTGAGCTTCACTTACTCCCTTACCCGGAAATAAGCAAAGGCCAAGTGATCCAAGGCATCTTCTAGACTTGCCTCATCCTCTGTCTTCCACTCTCCGTAAGATCCTCGGAAGAGACTGACAGCCTCCTCCAGCCATGGAATGGCATGGTAATAATCCCCCATGTCATAGGCCACCTACACAGAACACAAGTACCATCGCCAAAGCCTTATTCCACAGGTAGAAAAAGAAAATGACAATTCAAAGAATAAGAGGGACTTTGGAATCCAAGAAGGCAGGTTTTAATTTCAAATTCATTTTAATTCAATTTATTAAGCATCTACTATATACAACGCATTGTACTACGTGGAGAGGAGACATAAGGGTTCTTGCACTTAAGGAATTTATAATCTGAAGGAAAAGAGAACATGACCTCAATTAACTCTAATTTGGGACAGAATATCATGAGTGCTCCAAAGAAAATGTATACTATGCTGTGGTGGCACAGGGAAGGGAGGAGACTTGGGAATCTCAGAAAGCTTCATGCAAGAGGTAGCATCTGAGACAGGCCTTCCTTGAAGAAGGAAAAGGATATCAGTGAGCAGAGACTGGGAAGAAAAGCATTTTAAGATGAGGGAATGGCAGCAACAGAAATCTAAAGCAAGAATGTGTTCAAGTAGTCCATCGTGGCTGTAGCTAGGGTGAAGAGAAACAAAAAGTAAACTTGAAACAGCAGCATGGGCTAAGCAAATTACAGTCTTGAATGTCATATTTTTAGGAAGATATTGCTGGTAGCAATGTGAAGAATGGATTACATTCATTCATTCATTCATTTATTCAATATTTACTAAGTATTTTCTATGTGCCTAGTGGCCCTGTCCTGTAAGAGCTTAAATCAAGACGGGGCACATGAGTAAGCCAATAATTGTAACACAATGCATTAGACACCATAATGAAGGTAGACATGGGAACGCTATGGAAGCTCAATGGATCTGTTCTGTATTAAATGCTGGAATGCTGGCAACATGGCAACACGTACCAGACACAGCTCCTGTCTCCTCATAGTTTACAGTTAACTAGAATACCAGAACTGCAAGTGGAATTTCCTGGAAGTTGATATTGGAGACAACATGGAACTGTAAAGTTACAGACTAGGAAGAACTCTTACAAAATGATCTAATTAGGGTGTAACTTCCTGACAGGGAAAAATCCTAGAGATATTGCAATTCTGCAGCCTAAACAATAAATCATTTTTCCTTCAAGTCTGCCATTAACCTGTTGTTTTATTTTTCTGCACCTCAAGTCCTATTTGTAAAAACGTTGAGCTGAAAAATGCTAAAAATGACTGAACTTTTCATGCCAAGTTAATTTGTTTAATTAAGATTTCCATGAGTAACTTCAAGTCCCAGCAATATGGTAGACTGAAACAACTGGAATCCTTCCGAACACAAATTCGGACACTTTGAATAAACTATAAAAAGCGTTTTATTATATATTTTCAAGAAAAAAAAAAAAAAAACAACAGAAAATATCAGGTACCAGAAACAAAAAAGGGCTAAAAGCCCAAACCATAAGCTTATGAGCAGATGCTGATGTTCCCTAGGATGGGGGTGGGTGTTAATCATAGTAACCTTGGTGTTCAGTAACCTTGGGTTATAATGCCCATATGAGGATAGAAGATGAGCCATCCTTAGACCTGCCCCAAGCCCAGGAACTGGAACTAAGACACCCTCATGAAACTGGATTCTATAAAAAACTATACCTTAGGAGAAAAGGTAGACCAGAAAAAAATTTGCTTGCTATCTTAATGAGACAAGAATATTTGTTTGTTTCTGTCTAGCTCTGTGTAAGAATATTCTCAATTTTGAGCCTCTACTTCTGGTGAGTATAGGGTTTGAATCTGCAATATTCATATGGTCAAGGAACTCCTATGTCAATAAATAAATATAAAAATGATCTAAGGCGAGTGAGAGCACCAGAGTTTCTGGAAGAAGAACACCCAAAACTCTCTGGAGGGATATTCCCACAACTCTGGGCACATGGATTCTCTTAGGGGGAAAATGTCCTGCTGAAAATAAGCTCCCAAACATGAAAACTATATCAGGAAATAATCCATCATGAGCAAGAGTCAACAGACACAATAGCACGATGATGGAATTAGACAATTAAGAATTTCAGAAGATAGGCTGGGTGCAGTGGTTTATGCCTGTAATCCCAGCACTTTGGGAGGCTGAGGCAGGAGGATCACTTGAGGCCAGGAGTTCAAGACCATCCCGGGCAACACAGTGAGACCCTTATTAAAAAATTAGCTGGATATGGTGGGGCACACCTGT
The DNA here is from genome assembly GCF_000001405.40 of Homo sapiens. Classification (NCBI taxonomy): domain Eukaryota; kingdom Metazoa; phylum Chordata; class Mammalia; order Primates; family Hominidae; genus Homo; species Homo sapiens. The sequence goes on from NC_000011.10 coordinate 74,300,498, forward strand.
AGTCCTAGCTACTCGGGAGGCTGAGGTGGGAGGATCACTTGAGCCCCCCCAGGTGGGAGGATCACTTGATCAAGGCTGCAGTGAGCCATGATTGTGTCACTGCACTTACTTGGATGGCAGAGCAAAACCCTAAGAAAACAAAAAGAATTTCATAAACTAGAAATTTCATAATCCATAGAGGAAGGGATCGGGGAAGTGTAGATGAAACAAATTTGGCCACATGTTGATAATTATTGAAGCTTATTCTGTGAGTTGGCGATACCACTCCGAGGTATTCATCCAAGAGAAATGAGAATAAATGTCCATAGAAGGACATAAAAGGATGTTAATAGAAGCTTTATTCACAGTAGCCCAAACTAGAAGCAATCCAAGAATCTGTCAACAGGAGACTGGATCAACAGTTTGTGGTATATTCTTAGAATGGAATACTACTCAGCAATAAAAAGAAATAAACTACTAACAAATGATACAATATGGATGAATTCCACAGATACAATGTGCTGAATGAAAGAAGCTGGACTTAAAAGGGCACATACTATATGGTTCAGGATCGCTGCTACCTGGGCAAGGGTGGAGCAGAAGGGATGGGGGGTGGCGAGGAGGATGAGTGGGGTTTTAGCTGTATGTAACATGTTTTTTTTTCTAATATATATTTTTAAAAATGAAACAAACATAGCAAAATTTGAACATATATTCATTACAATAATAGATATAATTGCTTGTTATATTATTTTATGTTCTTTTCTTATATTTGAAAAGTTTTCTCTCTCAAAATAAGTGAATAAATATAGAAAGAAAGATTGCCAGTAAGACTTCCAGGAAGTGACTTACTAAATTTTCAACATACGGTTTTACTTTCAGAAAGGCCTCACTAATATGTTAGTACCATACATTAAACTACTTTACCTGGCTTAAATTTAAATCAGCCATGAACATGATGATTGAGCTCTGATTCCACTCAGGATCCCAGAAAAGAGAAAACAGTATGTAGAGAGACTCAAGCAGCCTACTCTGCCTTAATTTGGAAGACTGACTCCCAAAACTTGGAATCAGGACACATGAGACCCACTCCCAGATCTGTTGATGAATACTGTAGGAGTCAGGAAAAATACACCTTACTGCAATAAACATCTTCAAAGTTAAAATGGATTTGCTCCATTGCTTTTTATAGCAAAGGCTGGCAAAGAGTATATTACAAAATGATCTCACGTGTGATTACAACTTATAATCAAAGATCAGTTAAATACCTCAGATGGGGGGCGGGGGTGTTCCTGAAGTCTATTTCCTCAAGTAATGTTAAAGTGAATGGCCTTAGATTTTGGACACTACTTTAATTTTGTACTTCCAAATGCTTAGGAAATGTTGCATTGGATTCCAGAAAGTCTCAGGAGGCTGTTTCCGTGATCTTACCTTTCCATCACCATCTCTTATCCTTTTCCCCAACCTTGCGTCCCTGACCCCCTGCTTTCCCTTTCTACCCAGGAGTTCATGCACTGGCAGGGTGCTATAGTTAGGGTGAACAAAGGACCATTTTTCCTAGTTCATGTCTGTTGTTCTAGCATAATTAATAACACCCCTTTCAATCTCAAGAGTGTTCTAAGTATATAAACACCTTAACTACTATGGAAAGGGCCTGAGATTTGGAGTCAAAAGACTGGGTTCAAGCTTTAGTTCTGCCCTTAAAATTGCATAATCTTAGGGCAAGTTATTTACCCTCTCTGAATCTTGTTTTCTTTCTCTGAAAATGGAAATGATATCAAATTTCCAAGTTTACTGTAAGTATTAAAAAGAAGTAAAATCAATCGGTACATAGTTATTTTATCCATAAGAAACCAGAGCCAAGCAATTGGCCCTCTCTTGAATATTGTTACCTTGCCAACTTGGAAGCAGTCATCCCCTGTGAGAGAAAAGAGCCGTTTGGGGCTGTACAGGTCAGTGATGGCAGAGCCAGTGACTCTCTGAAAGACACCTCGGGCCAGGCCTTTCACATTGAGCATGTACACGTCCTGCAGCCGCATCAGGGCCCTTGCTGCTCCCTCAAGGTCCTCAAAGGCTGGAAGGTCTTGCTCCACCTTCTCATAGCCATCCTTCAGAGCTGTAAAAGTAGTAAAAACATCAACCCAGCATTCAAGAAACAGGAGTTGGGCATTTAATACATGTAAGGCATGACCACCTGTTCAAATATTTAATGACATCAAGTTGGATTTGTCTTTGTGTTCCCAGAGGCAAGCACAGTTCCTGGCACAGGGTGGATGCTTAATGCAATTCTGAATGAGGAACATTCAGAATGAGTGAATGAGGAATAAAAATTAAGGCATACAGCTTCATTATATTGTCCTATCCTGTATGTTTACAGGAGTCTCACTCTTTAGGGAGACAACTCTTCTTTTTCTTTTTCTTTTTTTCTTTTTCTTTTCTTTTCTTTTTTTCTCTTCTCTCCTCTTTTCTTTCTTTTCTTTCTTTCTTTTAATAGAGATAGGATCTTGTTCTGTTGCCTAGGCTGGAGCACACTGGCATGATCATAGCTCACTATAATCTTGAATTCCTGGGCTCAAGTGAGCCTCTCACCTCAGCCTTCTGAGTAGGCAGGACTTCAGGCACACGCCATCACATCCATCTAATTTAAATAAATTTTTTTGTAGAGACAGGGTCTTGCTATGTTGCCCAGGCTGGTCTCAAACTTCTGGCCTCAAGTGATCCTTCCAACTCAAGCTCCCAAAGTGTTGAGATTATTGGCATGAGCAACCACACCCAGACTCTTCTCACTGTTAGCTTTCCAAAAATCAACAAACTTCTTTTTTTTTTTTTTTTTTTTGAGACAGGGTCTTGCTCAGTCGCCCAGGCTAGAGAGCAGTGGCGCAATCTCAGCTCACTGCAACCTCCACCTTCTGGGTTCAAGCAATTCTTGTGCCTCAGCTTCCCAAGTCTACAGGCATGCGCCACCATGCCTGGCTAATTTTTGTTATTTTTAATAGGTTTCGCTATATTGCCCAGGCTAGTCTCGAACTCCTGAGCTCAAGCAATCTTAGCCTCCCAAAGTGCTGGGATTACAGGCATGAACCACTGTGCCCAGCCCAAAAGTCAACACTTTTTTTTTTTTTGAGACAAAGTCTCGCTCTGTCACCCCAGGCTGGAGTGCAGTGGTGCGATCTTGGCTCACTGCAACCTCTGCCTCCCGGATTCAAGCAATTCTCCTGCCTCAGCTCCCGAGTAGCTGGGATTACAGGCATGTAATCCCACGACTCCCCGGTAATTTTTGTATTTTTGATAGCGACAGGGTTTCACTATGTTGGTTAGGCTGGTCTGGAACTCCTGACCTCAAGTGATCAGCCCACCTCAGCCTCCCAAAGTGCTGCAATACAGGTGTGAGCCACCGCGCCTGGCCGTCAACAAACTTCTTACAGCACAAAGTAGAATAAATTAGGAAAGTGATCTTGCTATAGATGACACTGTAGTGACAATTTAATGAAACAGAAACTACTAGAAGACCGTTATTTTCTATACATATATAAATGGAAGGCTTGTACTTTGTCACAGGATTGTAGTGAACATCAAATGAGACAATTGATATGAAAGTGCTTTCTAAGGTATAATCATATAAACTGATTAGCAAGCGGGCCTAATTCTTTGTGCTAGCTAGAGCTAAGGATATTAAGTAATACCCACCTACTCCATTACCCTTTGAAATCACATCCCAACAGAATCTCTCTCCTTACCACCGAGTCAGGAGATAGAATCTTCTCTCTTACCCTCCAGCCCTCCTCCTCATTACCTCGGATGTTCTCACTGGCCTCCAGACTATGTACCACATTCCTCCAGTCAGACTGCAGGCGTTTGATGAGAGTAAATGCAAGCAGAGGGTTAGCCACAGGGGTTGTTGAATCCTCATGCAAAGAAAGTACCTTGTCGTAGAATCTGAAAGAAAGGAGTAGAATGATCTCACCTCCTGATACAACCACTACACCTAGGGAAGGCTGGCATGGTGTGTGTACATTAAGAGTAGCTAACACTGACATGCTGAACCTCTTGAGATTCACATAATAGTCCAACCAAAAAGCCATGCAAGCCCAAAGAATATGAAAACTATAGATACAACAAAAGTAGGTCCACTCTTTTGTTCACTGAATGAGTCAGTCTATATTAATCAATTACTGTATTTCAGGCACCATGCTAGAGATATAAAGGCAAGACAGGGTCCAGCTCTCAAAGGGATCACAAAGTCTTTTTCTCCTGTCATCACTGTATATGCAATACTTAGTATCTGGTAGAAACTCAAAAACACTATTGAATTAATTATAACCACTGTGATATGTGCTATATAGTGGTCCCCAACCTTTTTGGCACCAGGGACTAGTTTCATGGAAAACAATTTTTTCCACGGACCGGGGGGTTGGGGGATGGTTTCGGGATGAAACTGTTCCACCTCAGATCATCAGGTACCAGTTAGATTCCTATAAGGAGCACACAACCTAGATCCCTCACATGTGCAGTTCACAATAAGGTTCACGCTCCTATGAGAATCTAATGCCGTGGCTGATCTGACAGGAGGTGGAGCTCAAAGAGTAATGCTCCCTTGCCCACCACTCACCTCCTGCTGGGGGGCCCGCCTCCTAACAGGCCATGGACTGGTACCGGTCCCTGGCCCAGGGGTTGGGGACCTCTCTGCTATGAGAGAAGTGAGCATATAATGCTGCAGCTGTGCAGGCAGGGCAGCTCATCCAGGTGGGAGTTAGAAGGGGGAAGGAAAGGCTTCCAAGAAGAGATGGCATGTGATCTGAATCTTGAATGATTTGTTAAAATACTGAAAGCTATTACTTATTGAGCTCCTACCATGTATTGGCCTGTTGGGTGCTCTAAATAGATTGTCTCATTTAATTACCCCCCACCTTCCAACCGACCCTTAGTGTAGATTTAATTTTACCCATTCCACAGAGAGGAAACTGAAACAAAGCCACACTGTTAGTAAAGGGCAAAGCCAGGATGGAACCCAAGTCTGACTAACTCCAAAACCTGGGTTCGCAGCTGATTATGCTATATGGTTTCTTAAGGAGCTAGAACAAAGAAGAGAAGAAGAGTATTTTTCAAGCCAACAGGAACCATTAGTGTACAAAGGCACAGAGGCTTGAGATATATTTGTAGTAAGTCAATCTACACGAGTTATTTGCTAGATGTCAGACTCCATGCTAGATTCTAGGGATACAAAGGCAAGACGAGGTCTAATACTCAAGGATTTCATGGATAAGAAAATAACTTTTTTTCTCATCATTCTATACCTAAATTCAATACATATTTCTATGAAAGAAAGAATGAAGTATACTCTCCTAGGAGCTAGGGACAAAATTCTGAATAAGGAAATAATCTTGGTCTCAAGGATCCACAGTTTAGTGAGTAAGAAAGACACAAATAATTACATTACAGATGCAATACCAGATTTAAGAACAAGGCTTAGTGGGGAGGACAGAGAGGGGATGATTAATTTGGCCAGAGCAGGTTAGAGAAGGCTTTAAGTGAGAGTGGTACTGTTGAAACTATGACTTGTTCACATATATAAATGTGTGAGAGGGTGGGGAGGAGGCCACTTCAAAACTGCAAGCACAAGACAAGGAGACTCTGAACCACGACAGCGATGGAGAATGGACTGGGTTCAAGGAAGGAGTTTAGGAAGTGGTGATGACTGTAAAGGGGAATAAGAGGTGGGATCGTCCAGCACACTTCCAACCTTTCTAGCTTGGCAACAAATGCAGAAAAGGGCAGAAATGGTAGGGCCTGAAGTGATCATCTTTCCAGTTAATTTCCCTTCTCCAGTGTCCTTCAACAGTGTTTATATAGGCAAAAGATGCTGTTTCCTTTCCTAGTATACTCTGGTTAATTCCATTTCTAAAACACCAATGGAATTTATATTACTGAAATTTATTATCTATAACAGGGCAGATTAAGGTACTATTCCTGCTCTCCAAGAGTTTTCCCGCTCGTTTTAAAATTATCAACTTCAAAAATAGTATAACAAGAATGGAAGTAGAAGAAAAAAAAGTTTGTGCAAAGTGAAAAAAAATGAACGTGTGCAAGAGCACAGGAGACTATGAGTCCTTTGGCAAGAGTGGGCGACTTCTGCGAGGAGACAGAGATGAAAGTGAAAAATAGAGGAAGTGGCAAGGTGGTAGGATTTCAACCCCTTGGAGCAGAGTCTTATCTGAGGATTTCTAAAGAGTGAGGTCCTCAACTATGAAATGAAGCCTGAAATAGAAGACGACTGCCTTGAGGCTTCCAAGGAGCCAAATGTTCAATTCAACATAAACTAAGGAACAAGAACCTGGACCTGGGTCTCCCAGTGGGGAAATGGGAAGCCTGTCAAGTCCCAGGGTGTCTCTGATCCCAAAGACAAGGCAGTCTGTGAGCTGAAGCTCTAGGGTTTTGAAATGAAACCAGCCTCCAGGGTGTGGGATCTTTACTACCCATTGTCTCCTGCTTTGGCTCCGTATGGAACTACTTAGGGAAAGATACTCCACTGCTTGATGAAAAATCTTAACAAGCGGAGACTTGGGCTTGAGTCCAGCTTAAAGAGTAGGTGTCCAGGAACAATTGAGGCTGAGAGGGCAGTGATTTTATAAGACAGCTGGATAGGAAGGAACTGGGACTTATTCTGACCCAGCCTCCAACTATCACTCAGTTTCCTCATCCATAAAATGAAGGAACTGATCTAGTCTAGAAGATTTCTATGGATCTTTTCAGCATGAACATTCTGTTATTTCTTCTCATCACCCCCTCCACAACTGAATAAACAGATTCCTCATTAGCTTGAGGACTAATGTTTAATAGGAATCAGAGGACACTGAGGCACAAAGGTAAAGTGGTAAAGCAGAGAGGTGAATATTTGCCCCAAGTCATGCATCAAATCAAAAGTGCTGTCTACTTCCTTGTTTTCTTAGCACCCCTCTTTGCATTTTGGGGTTGATTTGTTTAGGTCAGGGTTTGATCTCTATTGCAGCACATCAATTCAATCCAGTGTTTAGATATGCCATTTTTCTGTCACACAAAGAAAAAAAATCTCTCAACTGATAACTGAGGTTGGCTTAGAATCCAAAAGTTGGCCCTATGCCCAGCCTCTGAGCACATAGCGGTTTCCAGAGACTGGAAACTGAGTTACTGGATGCTGAATTCAAACCTCAGGGTTTCCTAAATGTCTTTTTGCTTTAACAAATACTGCTGAGAATGGAAAATCAGATCCTTTCCTTCAAGAATCTGCACATAAAATTTGCAACCCAATCCCTGCATTAAACATAGCCTGGGCAGGTTATCCAACCACAATACATGGGCTATTTCACTTCAATATGTTTTGCCTTTGGAATTCAGAAATGGTTTTGTATCAGTTCTTCTGGGACATTATTAATGCTTAATCCTTAGCACAGAAAAAATTGCTGCTGACACTTCTCTCTCACTCTTGGTGGTGTTTTAAACTGCAAAAACAGCAACAACAAAAGCTAGGATAAACTCTTTTTATATATATAACTAGTATATGTACCATACTGGCATATAACTATATATACTATAACAAGTATAATTTTTATTCATTAACTTGGAGTAGGGAGTAGTTTCAACCTCAAGAATACTGCATTTTTCTATCTCAACTGAGAGCCTTGGAAATAGCCTCTCAAGTTACATAAAATCACCAGATTGGGAGTATAGAAAAATTAGCAAGAACTGCCAAAATTCTTGTTTTAAAAGGCAAACATAAAGGCTGGGCACGGTAGCTCATGCTTGCAATCCCAACACTTTGGGAGCCCGAGGAGGGAGGATCACTTCAGGTCAGGAGTTCAAGACCAGTCTGGGCAAGAGAGCAAGACCCCGTCTCTACCAAATCAAACCAAACCAAACAAAAACAAAAACAAAAAAACCCTAGCCAGGCATGGTGGTGTGCACCCGTAGTCCTAGTTACTTGGTAGGCTTAGGCAGAAGGATCACTTGAGCCAGGGGTTTGAGGTTATAGTGAGCTATGATAGAGCCACTGCACTCTAGCCTGGGTGACAGAGCAAGACCCTGTCTCTTAAAAAGCAAACATTTCACTGGGTTTTAGAGCAGTCACTAGAGAACAGAATGACAGAATGACAGTCTTCAAAATATCAAACTAAACTACAAAATTAACTGTTCATAAGTCACCTGAGAAAATAATTGAGAACTTTTCTGATTTGTTTTTTTATCTAGGCTGTCACAATCCTAGTTAATACTTAGAGCCAAAAGTGGGGCCTAGTTTCACTAGATGGTCTTAAAATAAAATAAAATAAAATAATAAGCATAAAGGCTTAGCATTTGTCCATCAATTGTTACATGCCAGGTACAATGATAAAAACTTTTACATGGTACTCTTAATCCTTCCAAAAACCCTATGGTGGTAGGTACTATTTTTATCATCATTTTACAGATTAGGAAACTAAAGCTCAAAGAGGTAAAGTAACTTGTCCAAGATCAGAGCCAACGATTCAAATAGAGGTCTGTTAAACTCCTGAATTCACTGTTAACCACCATGTACTGTGGCCACTAGTAAAACCTCAATTAGTTAGGGGCTTGGTCTATGTCTTGGTATAACAGATAAAAGAAGTGGTAGGGATAACATAGCATAGTAGGAAAAAAGTTGGATAAACAATCAAAACAACTGTGTCCTAGTCCTGGATTTGCTACCTATTAGATTTATTAATACAATCTTGAGTGAGCAACTAGACTTTAGTTTTCTCATGTTTTAACTGATTTCTCAATAGTTAACAAGTGTAATACAAATCTATTTCAAAGCATTGTGTGTGAGAGAGAATCAGATGAGATATGGTTTGTATGAGACCTCCTGCTGTGACAAAGTTGTGATAATGACAGTGGTGGAAAGACAGTGAAGGAGACCAGCATGGTGGAATGGGGTTGGCCAGCTGCTTTGGCCAAAATGCTTCAAGTGCTCTCTTCTGAGAATGTAACCTGAAAGACCAGCAGGGGGATTTTGACCCCCCACTCCCGTCTCCATCTGAGCTACCCAAAGAGATTACTGGTATGAGAACAAGCATGGGTAGCAGGGAGAATGCTGGGCTCTGAAATCAAAGAGAAAAAATTCTGTCCTATTTCCACTAATAAGCTTGGACTCCAATGACTCTGGGCTATGAACAAAAAGAAAACATTTGGCTCGGTCAACATGGACCCATAGAATACTAGACAACTATGCTATTCCAAAGAGTGACAATAATTATTGAAATGATCTTCATTTATTGTTAAAATTAATACATACCTATATTGTATATTGTCACACTATTTCAAGCTGTTTATACGCAAGCCACATACTTAAGGACAAGCACCACATTAGCTCATTCAGTCACTATTAACAAGATCTCTCGCAAATACTTTCCACCCACAAAATGCTTCTCTTCTACATAGCTCTCTCTCACAGTCATGGGGTCACAAAGTTTCGCACAGGGTGACAATGGGTTTGGGGGTCACACTGGACCTCAGAGTCACTCCCCATTCCACATACCTTCTTCTCATGTCACCCCAGAATCAGTATTATTACCACACACACTCACGCAAAGTTTTAAAAGCAGTGCATTGTGCTGTCTTTGCTCAATGATAAGGTCACATGATATAAGTACAATATTAATATATCCAAATAGTGACGTGGTCATAACCACTCTGTCAGTGTTGTAGGCTTCTTGATGTCCCAGGCAGAGAAGGCGCAGCACATATTCATACAGATGGTATCATATACAATCATTTATCTTTCATTTTTGTCAGTTGGACACTGCTAAGTCGATACATGACTATGGTGCCTCAGCATCCCAAGTCTGACAACCTTTTATGCCACAGTGTGTAGCACTAGAGTTTGTTGACTGTACCCCAAAACTATATTAGCTGAGCATCCACTGCTGTGTGCTACACTCAGTATCTTCTGCATCAAGTATGTTTTTTCACAGTGCTTTTTTGATATCAAATATGTTGACACACATATAACATCTCAGTTATCATTTATTTAGTATTTAGAGAGCTTCTACATGTGTAAAGAGAAGGAAGAACTGAAGACGTAGACGGCAGTGGACATCTCTGATTAACAGTCATGGTGCTACAGACCCAAACTCCTCGAGGGCAGAGTTGGCTCTTGATCACCATTTTATCCCCACTGCCTGGAACACTGCCTGGCTCTTAGTAGGCACTCAAAAATATGTGTTGTATGAATTAATGAACTGAAGCATTATTCATATAGCGACCTGTACAGTTACTCAGCATCATTCACATGCAGAGTATGATATCCACAGTGTCGTGCCCATCCAGTCCCAATGACATGTAAACCTCACATATGGTGGAAGACTGTCACCTGACTCCTAACACTAAACATCAGCTCACTAGGTCATGCGGTGTTTCACGATCCCCCCTTGAAAGGTCAATACTTGCGTAGCTAAAGCGTCACCGTATTCTCTCCATGTCACTCTCACAGTGTCTCTGTCACAGCACCGTCCACTGTGTCTGTGTCAGTGTGACACAGGGCCTGGGGCTCACACAGCTTTGCACAGCACATTGTGAGGTCCTAGAGTCACCCCGCCCCGCTCTTCCACAGTGTATCAACTTTGCTGTGTGACGCTGGATATGGGGGGTGCCACTATGTGTGTGATGGAGTCTGCAGTCCCAGTGTGACCCAACCCTCGCCAACACCTCATGCCACGGAGTGTCAGGGTCCCACACAGGGTGACAATGGGTCTAGGGGGTCACACTGGCCCTCAGAGCCACTCCCCACCCCATGCCACAATGTCTCAGTCGCACGGTGCGACAGTGGGTCTGGGGTCCCACGCAGCATGACAATGAGCCTGGGGTCACACTCAACCTGAGTCACCCCACCCTGCGGCACAGTGTATCCCACTGAGGCCCCTCGGTCGCTCCCACTCGTCGTGCCCTCACCTAGTCAGGTCCCGCAGCCGCGCCTCCTCCCCGCGCAGGTACCGCCTCAGCAGCCCCAGCAGCCGGCGCTCGGGCGCCAGGGCGCGCGCCACGCTGGTCAGCGCCGAGAACGTGTCGCCCCGAGCCGCAGCCCTTTCTGGGTCTCCTGTCCCGAGCGCCAGCACCGCCAGCAGCGCCGCCAGCCGCGCCCCAGGACCCATAGCCAGCGCTCGCGAACTTCCCCTCAGACAGTCCTGGCCGCGCGGCGGCAGCCGCTCCCGCCCTCGCCTGCCCCGCCCCTGTCTCCGCCCCCTCCCGGCTCAGGCCCCGCCCTCTGGCCCCGGCCCGGCCCGTCCCGTCCACCGCCCAGTCTCGCTCCACGCCCCCTGACTCCTTCCTTGTTTCGACGCCTCACCTCGCTCTCTATTCCTCAGCTCCTCGGAATGCGTGGGGGCTTCCTGCAACATCAGTCTCCGCCGCCCTCCACTAAATCGCGACCCTGGGAAGGTGTTTCCACTGTGCCCATCACACTAGGGGAAATTGAGGCGGAGGCAGGGTGAGCGATGAATTCACAGGTCTAAGGCTGTGACTATCCCCAAATATTGTTAACACCACGCTCACAGGATCCCCAAAATATCCGCCCCTCTGTACCATGGAGTGGGAATACACAAACACCACTGGATCCCCACAGGGACGTCCAGAAGAGTCAATTATGCGTATGTGAATAGGTGCGCAGGCAAAGAGCGGCAAGAGGACAGCTGGGAGGAAAACCCTCACAGAGAGCGTGACATCTGAGCCATCTGAAGGATAAGTAGGACTGTGTCAGGATGTGAGTATATGACAAATCTAGGACTTACAGAACCTGAAGCTCTGGGGTCCTAAAGTCACTGCTTTACACAATATACTTAGAGTCACTTAAGCAAATAAAAATATTATTATTATTATTATAGCCTACTAGGCTATGTACTCTATTTCCCCCCTCTTATGCATTTCCCAGGCAATGTTCATTCATGCAACAAATATTTATTAGTACCTGTGTTACTGTGCTGCCTACACAGAGAAATAGCAGATCCAATCCTGGACTCAAAGGAGGAGACAGTTATGTAAACAAGTAATCACAATAAAGTGCTGTCAGAGTAACTGAGGGTTGTGCAATATGCAATGGCAACACTGAAGAAGGAACCCTCATGTAGTGGGTGGAGAGGGCATCAGAGAGGAGGTGATGGGTGCTGGTTCAAAAGGATGAAAAAAATTGGAAGTTGACAGGCAAGGGAGGAGTGGGCTTTCCTGGCAGAAGGTACATGGGCGTGACAAGGTTTGGAGGTGGAAAACAGTTTGAGTTCCAGAAATGATGAAAAGTTTCTTGTGCTTGAAACTATCAGATTGTGAAAGGTCTTTGCATGTCATACTAAGAAATTTAGGTGCTTGTCCTCTATGAAAATCCAGTGGAAGTTTTTAAGGTAGCAATAATTGTAATAACAATGGCAACAGTAAACATAGTAGTTAATACTTACCGGGTGTTTCCTGTGTGGCAGTCGCCATCCAGAGTATTTTACATATATTAACTCATTTAATCGCTGTCCAGAGTATTTTACATGTATTAACTCATTTAATTCTCATGCTGACCCTATAGCCTAAGTAATATTAGTATTCTTACAGTATTATTGGCCCCACTTTACCGATGAGAAGACTGAATTGTAGGGACAATCATTAACCTACTCAGTGTTAATCACTTGTGGACCACATTCGAGGTGTGCTGGTAAACCAGCTCTCCAGGAAAAAAATAAAGTTCTGGTTTGTGGCATTTGCCAATTTCTGTGGTGTCAATTCTCCCACAGTGGCTAATTTCGACATGCAAAAATGTCACCACTGACTGTGGTTGGATAAAGATGCCAACAACTCCTGTGAGCTGGGGTGAGCCAGCTCCAGCACACCACTGCTTGTGTAGACATGAGATGTAACATGCAGATCCCCCTTCGAAGAAGGACTTGTTGCACAGCTGCAGGGTATGTGATGAGAAGAGTATCCAGTGGTCAGCTGCTTTAGGGTCTGTCCTATAGCAGAGAGCAGTCTCGCTTAGGGAAATGTCCTTCCTGGAACAGCCCTAATCCAGCAATGGAGCAAGGTGAGGGAATCAAGGCCTAGCCATTTTGGCCCATCGTGAGACAATTCTTACAGGAAATACTAGCTCCAGCGCACCTGCCACCTTGATCAAGGCTTTGTCAAGCCTCTTTGACTTCTTCCTCTGCCTTTTCCTGCTTCCTTTCCCTTTCGTAGATGCTGATCTCTAATAAACATCTTGCACCTCAAACTCCAGCTGTGCCTCTGCTTCTAGAAAACCCAATCTGTAACATCAATTCAATCAACATACATAGTAAGTGGTAGAGAAGGGACTTGAACCCAGGTCATGTGGATCCTGATTCCATATTCTTAATCAATACCAGAGGCAGATTTACCTAGAAGGTTTTGAAGCTTAAGCTTCAAGGCTCCTAGCTTGCACAAACCCTTTCTAACTGAGTAGCCTTCCCATAGAAGGTATTCTGACCATAGAAGATTAGGGACTGTGGTAGGCAGAATCATGCCCTCCCTCCAAAGATGTGCATGTCTTGATTCCCAAAACCCATGACTGTGTTACCTTACATGGCACAAGAGACTTTACAGATGTGATTAAGTTAAGGATCTTGACATTGGAGGATTATGCTGGTTTATCTTGGTAGTCCCGATGCAATCATGAGGGTCCTTAAAAGTCATAGAAGGAAATGTGACAATGGAAGCAAAGTCAGAAAGATTTAAAGATACTTAGTACTATATTGCTGACTTTAAAGATGAAAGAAGAGGCCACCAGTCAAGGATTGTGAACCGCTTCTAGAAGCTGGAAAGGCAAGGAAACAGGTTCTCCTCTAGTGCTTCCAAAAGGAACAGAGACCTGCTGACACGTTGATTTTAGTCCAGTGAAACCCATTTCAGACTTCGGAACTCCAGGGCTGTAAGACAATATATGTGTTGTTTTAAGCCACTGTGTTTGTGGTCATTTGTTTCAGCAACAGTAGGAAACTGATAAAGGAACCCAAAGGTATCTGCTTTGTATTGTCTCTGTCTCTTTAGCCCAAGTGGGCAGTACTTCTATTGATAAAATCATCTTAAAACCTTTGAGGATTTCCTGTAAATCTTATTGGAGTTCTTTCCGTTAGACAAAAACCATATCTATATTTCTTCCCAAGAAGTGCCCTTCTCTAACTTGGGCTGAGACTCAGGGTTGTGGTACAACAGTCTTAAAAGTCTTTTTATTTTTTTAGAGATAGGGTCTTGCTCTGTTGCAAGGCTGGAGTGCAGTGGCACGATCACGACTCTCTATAGCCTTGAACTCCTGGGCTCAAATGATCCTCCTGCTTCAGCCTCCTGAGTAGATGGGACTACAGGCACATGCCACCATGCCCAGCTCATTTTTGTATTTTTTTAGAGACGGTTTCACCATGTTGCCCAGGCTGGTGTCGAACTCCTGGCCTCAAGTGATCCACCTACCTTGACCTCCCAAAGTGCTGGGATTACAGGTGTGAGCCACCATGCCCAGCCAGCCCTAAGATTCTTAGAAGCATTTTTTTTTCCTGGTTGAAATATAAGGTACACCCATAAGATTCTTAGAGACCTTCTACAAAACCACAATATAACCACCAATATTAGGAAACTAACATTGACAAAATACTAATACCTCGAGTCCACATACCTTCTTCAAATTTTCTTGATTGTACCATTTAAATGTGTTGTGAATCTAGGATCCTATCCAGGACTATTGGTGTGCTCAGTTGTCATATCTCTTTAATGTTCTTCAATCTGGTACTGTTCTTCAATCTTTCCTTAGTCTCTGCTATCTTGACATATTTGAAGATAACAGGCCAGTTATTTTTTGGACGATCTCTCAATTTGAGTTTGTCTGACGTTTCTTCATGAGTAGATGCAACTTTGGCAGAAACACAACAGGAATAATTCTTTGTTCTCAGTGCATCATGTCAGGAGGCACAGTATGTTGATTTGTCCCATTGCTGGTGGTGTTAACTTTCAGTCCTTGGTATAAATGATGTATGCCTGGTTCCTCCAGCATAAAGTTAATGAAAAAGTATTTTCTACTTATTAATTAGTAGGTTATTAGTACTTATTGGCATTCTCTGGTCATATAGAGAATATATATATTCTCTATATTCTTCTGTCCCAGTTACTAACTTATTCATTTACTTATATCAATATGTATAAGTTCATACATGTTATTGAATGAATTATAATTAACTATTTATTTGATGTTCAAATTGTCCTGGAGTTGTCCTTGCCAACACAAGTTGACTAACTCCTTCAATATGGCTCTTGTGTCCCTTTGTTATGTCCCCTTTATTCCTCTCATTCTATAAGTTGTTAGTTATAAGCTATTCCAGGTAATCCTGTAGTGTCTTTCCCAGCCCCAGTCCCAGAATCAGGCATTTCTCCAAGGAGTGCTGGTTCCTTTTAATGGAAAAGAGTATTAAGAAACCAAGATTTGGGTGCTGGTGTGCTTACTGTGACTGGGATGCTGCTGCCCCCAGGTTCTTTCAGCAGATAGAGCTACAAAATTGTATATCATAATTTTGTTAAATTTATTCCTAAGTATAGTCTTCTTTATAAAATTGAAGTATAATTCACATAGTATAAAATTTACCTTTAGTGTACAATCAGTTGGTTTTTAGTATTAATATATTCACAAGGTTGCAAAACCATCACAAATATCTGATTCTAGAGTATTTTCTTCACCTCACAAAGAAACCCTGTACCCCTTGGGAGGCTGAGGCAGGAGCATCACCTGAACCTGGGAGGTGGAGGTTGCAGTGAGCAGAGATCACACCACTGTACTCCAGCCTGGGTGACAGAGTGAGACTCCGTCTCAGAAAAAGAAAAAAAAAAAAAAAGAAAGAGACCCTGTATCCATTAGCAGTCACTCCCTCATGGCAACCACTAATCTACTTTCCATCTATATGGATTTTTTTTATTCTTGGCATTTCATATAAATGGCTTTGTGTGGTTTTTTAATACTATTGTAAATGAAATTTTTTCTTAATTTTATTTTCAGATTGTTCATTGCAACTGTATGGAAGTACAATTGATTTTTGTACATTGAGCTTAAATCTTGTAACCTTTTAAACTCATTTAATGGGTCTATAGTGTGTTTTGTGGATGCCTTATGATTTTACATATAGACAATCATAACATCAGAAAATAGATTACTTCTTCCATTCCAGTCTGGATGCTTTTTATTTATTTATTTAGCTAAAATGACTTGGCTAGAATCTCCAGTATAATGTTGAATAGAAGTGGTAAGAGAAGGCATTCTGATCTTATTTCAGATCTTAGGGGCAAAGTTTTCAGTCTTCTTCCATTAAGTATGATGTTAGCTGAAGGTTTTTTGTTAATACCCTAATCAGGTTGAGGAGGTTCCCTTCTGTTCTTAGTTTGTTGAATGTTTTTAATCTGTAGAATGCATTTTCTATCTTTACTGAGATGGTCATGTGGTTTTCACCCCTTATTTTCTTAACATGGTGTGTTATATTGATTGACTTTTGTATGTTGAACCAACCTTGCATTCCTGGGATAAATCTCACTTGCCATGATGTATAGTCTTGTTCATATGTTGCTGGATTTGGTTTGTTAATATTTTGTTGAGGATTTTTGTATCTATATTCATAAGAGATGTTGGTCTGTGGTTTTATTTTTATCTGATATCTTTGTCTGTTTTGGTATCATACTTTTGATCTCACAGAATGAGTGGGAAAGTGTTCCTTCCTTGTCTATATTTTTATGTGAGTTTGTAAAGGACTGGAGTTAGTTTTTCTTTAAACATTTGGAAGAGTATACCATGCAAGTCATTTAAGCCTGGGCTTTTTTTTCTCCTGTGGGAAATGTTTTGATTGCTGAGTCAATATCTTTAGAAATTCTTTTAGAGCAAGTCTGCTGGCAATGAATTCTCTTAATTTTCTTTCATCTAAGAATGTAGTTATTTTACTTTTATCCTGAAGTATATTTTCACTGAATGTAGAATTCTGAGTTGACCTTTTCTTTTTCTTTTTTACCATTTTTTCTTTTCTCCTTCCTTCCTTCCCTCCCTTCCTCCCTCCTTCCTTCTCTTTCTCTTTCTCTCTTCCTCTCTTTCTCTTTTTCTTCTTTTCTTTCTACAAGATCTCACTCTGTTGCTCAGGCTAGAGTGCAGTAGTGGTGCAATCATGGCCCACTGCAGCCTTGATCTCCTGGGCTCTGGCAAAGCTTCCTGAGTAGCTAGACCCACAGGCCCATGCCACCACACCCAGCTAATTTTCTTTTTTGGTAGACACAGGGTCTTACTATGTTGTCCAGGCTGGTCTTGAACTCCTGGGCTCAAGCGATCCTCCCACCTTGGCCTCCTAAAATGTTGAGATTACAGGCATGAGCCACTATATCTGGCCATGTTCATTTTCTAAAAATCTTTTTCTCTTATTTGATTAGACAATTTCTGTGGGTCCATTTTCAAGTTCACTGACTCTTTCCTGTCATCTGTATTCTGCCATTAAGTCCATCAGTGAGTTTTTTATTTTGGTTATTATACTTTCAGCTCTAACATTTCCATTTGGTTTCTCTTTATGTCTTCTATTTGTTTGTTGATACCATTTCCATTCAAGAGTGTTCACCTTTACTTCTTGGAGCATTCTATAATGCCTAGCTTAAAGTCTTTAACAATTTCAACACTTATGTTCTCTCTTCATTGGCATCTGTTGGCTGTTTTTTCTCATGCAGATTAAGATTTTCTCTGTTCTTTGTATGCTGAGTAATTTTGGATTAAATACTAAACATTCTGAATATTATACATGTCTAGATCTTGTTTAAATCTTATGGAGAGTATTCATACTTTCATTTTAGCATGTAAATGACCCAGCTGGATGCAGGCCACAAAATGTGACCTGTCTTTGTGGCTGTGGTTCCAATGTCAGTTCAGTTTTCAAAGCCTTGCAATACTATTCAGACCTCTTTCAGTTGTGCATACTCAGTGGGCAGTCTTGGATCTGGATAGTGGTTTATCCCTTTATCCCATACCTCAGTACTCAAGTCTATGGTATGCTATTTAGTATCAGATCCATGCATGCACAGCTCAGAGGTGAACCCAGGAATTACGGCATTGCTCTCCTGAGCTTGTCTCTCTATGATGTTTGATACTTTCCAGTCCCCTGAGGCTCCCCTTTTAGGTCCTCTCACAGAAAACCTGAGATTTCACTTACCCCATTCTGCTATGTACTTCTCATGACTGCATGTATCCAGGGCCAAGTAGCAGGAAGACAGAGTCCTCAAATGCCTGTTCTGTGTATTCTGTCCAGGTTTTACAATTGCCAGGGTAGAATATATCTATTTCATCTTCCCCACAATCAGAACCTCCTAACTATAATATTTTGTTTTACTTCTGGATCAGAGAGGAATTTTTGAAGTCACTTTGAGTAATAGCAGTGTTCCAAGTTTAACTAAAACAAACTAAAATTTAATGAAATTATGCTACAAGTGTAAATAATTACATGACGACATTAGAATAGGTATTTTCCGAACACTGGTAAGTTTGTGAGGGCTCAACTTACATTCCTGTTTGGAACAACTTGCTAAATAGCAAGTTTTTTTTCAACCTGTATTACTAGACCATCCCTATTTCTGAATGTCAAAATAGTGAAAAATTTGTATTAGTTTTGAGGAAATGTTACTATAATAAGGCTTTTGAGTTTTAAAATGGAAAAAAATTGACAGAAAAGAGTTGAGGAAAAGATCAAGATTTTCAAATAATTATTAAGTCAGGAAAAGAGAAAGGCTTCTCTGGAAATAATAACCACCCTCAGCTTCAGCTTGTGCCACTCTCCTCTGCTCTCTCCACTCCAGCCATGCTGGCCTTTTGTCTTTTCATTTCTTGCTCTTGGCAAGCTCTTTCCTGATTCATGCGGAATTTCTGACAGACTAAATCCTACTCATCCTTTGAGTCATTTCCTCAGGGACATTTTATTTGTCTGCAGACTAGGTTCAAGTCTTCATATTATTCAAAACACACCCTGTATTTTCCCTTGGTAGCATTTATGACAATTATAATTTTTTATTTGGGCCAGGCACAGTGGCTCACGCCTGTAAACCCAGCACTTTGGGAAGCTGAGGCAGGAGGATCACTTGAAGCCAGGAGTTCGAGACCAGCCTGGGCAACAGTGAGACCCCGTTTCCACAGAAAAGTTAAAAATTATCTGATTGTGGAGATGTGTGCCTGTAGTCCCAGCTAGGAGGCTGAGGTGGGAGGATTGCTTGAGTCCAGGAGGTTGAGGCTACAGTGAGCCAGAATTGCGCTACTGCACTCCAGTTTAGGTAACAGAGTGAAAGCTTGTCTCAGAATAATAATGATAATAATAATAATAACTATTATTATTACTTCTTATTTGTATAATTAATGGCTGTCTGCTACACTAGATCATATACTTCATATAGGTGAGATGGTTCCTAGCTGAGTGCCTGGCAATTGCAAGTACTCGTTTAAAAATATAGAATAGACTAGGCATGGAGGCTCAGGCCTGCAATCCCAACACTTTGGGAGGCCCAGGAGTTCAAGACCAGCCTGGGTAACGTAGAGAGACAAAAATAAAAATATTAGCCAGGAGTGGTGGTGCATGCCTGTGGTGCGAGCTACTTGGGAGGCTGAGAAAGGAGGTTGGGAGATCAAGGCTACAGTGAGTCATGATTGTGCCACTGCACTACAGCCTGGGCAAGGTAGCAAGACTCTGTCTCAAGAAAATAATTCTGTTTTTTTTTTTTTTTTTTTTTTTTTTTTGGAGACGGAGTCCTCCTCTGTCCCCCAGGCTGGAGTGTAGTCGCGTGATCTTGGCTCACTGCAACCTCCACCTCCCAGGTTCAAGCAATTCTCCTGCCTCAGCCTCCCAAGCAGCTGGGACTACAGGCGCCCACCACCATGCCTGGCTAATTTTTTTGTATTGTTTAGTAGAGACAGGGTTTCACCGTGTTGCCCAGGCTGGTTTTGAACTCCTGAGCTCAGGCAATCTGCCCACCTCGGCCTCCCAAAGTGTTAGGATTACAGGCGTGGGCCACCACACCCAGCCAAGAAAATAAAAATGAAAATAAGAGAATAGATAAATAAAGTAGAAAGAGCATTCAAAACAATCCTGTTAATCTCTTTATCAAGTGTCTCTAGTGCCAGTCTTCTTCCAAATCTTTTGAATTGCCTGTCCTCATCATAAGCCTATGAAGTATGTATTGTCCTGCATTTTACAGTTGAGAAAACCAGTTTATGGAAATGAAGTGACTCAGCTGCAAGACGGTAAGCCCAGGGTCCCCAGCTCTCAGTCGAGTGCTCTTTCCATTGCATCATTACTTCACATTGCTCATTATCAGTTCCTGGGTTAGCCTCCCTTCTACATCCAAGGAATATTTCCAGGGGACTCACATCACCTCAGTTTCTCCTTTATATTATGAAAGGATGAAACCAATAGATCAGTGTTTCTCAGTGTGGTCCACAGTCTATTTGCAACAGAATTATTCAGGTAAATGTGGATGTTCTTATGAAAAATTCAGATTCCAAGGTCCACCCAGATTCATTGAATCAGACTGTAAGAGGGTGGAAGACAGGCAAAGTCCAGGAAATCTGCATTTATAACAGGCTCTTGAGGTGATTCTTACACACATCCGAGTTGAGAACACTTCATTAGGTGATCTTCAAAGTTCCTTTCCGCTTTGACAGTCTTTGCTTCTAAGACATTAAGTTTGGGGGGCATGTCTTTGCATCTCTATCATCTTTTACAGAGCCTGGAACTCAATATATTTTTAGTAAACTAATACATTTGTATTCGAAAGACCCAGATTCAAGTCCCTGCTTAGGTAGGTACCAGCTGTGATTCCTTGGGAAAATTACTTAACGTTCTAGAAATATCATTTTTAAGATGGAAATAATAACAATCTCTATCCTGGCTGCCAACATCTGATGTGGAAGATAAATTAAATCATGTTTGTGAAAGCTGTTATGGTGGTTCCAAGTTGAAGAACCACTACAGGCATAAAGTGGGCACCAAGCAGGGGTTACTAAGTCCTTCAGACTCACGGGTGGCTCACATACAGCTCTCTCCAGTGGACTGAATGGGGAGCTTATTAAAACACAAAATAAAACCACTACCACCTTTGAAAAATCACATTTCCATTCGAAGTAGGTAGAGTCTTTCCATGGAAATAACGTGATTTTTTAAGACTCCGAGGCATTGCCACAGTGACCCCTAGTGGAGCTTATAGGCCAGCTCAAACCCACCATCCTAGTCCCACATTTGCTGTTGGCTTAGCGGAGAGATCAATTTATTAATTCAATACATCTGTTCTTCACATAGGCTAGGAAATTTTTGTGAAGCTTCTCTTTGTCCTCAGAGTCTAGCATTCATTCATCCATTCAATTATTACTGAGCATCCCGGGTGCCAGCTGCTGTGCTTGGCCCCAGAGGGACCCAGCAGACATTGGGATCCTCACCCTCAGAGCCAGGTGGGGACAAGTTAAGTAGTGGAGACAGAGAAGCAAACAGCCAACAACAAGAGTGACACATGCTCCAAAAGAGGAAGTGCACGGAACTACGGAAGCCACTTTCTTTGGCAAAATCTCAATGATCTGTTTTGAGAATAAGCATAGCACATTGAGGGATGAATGGCAAAAATGAGGCATGAAGTGTAAACAGGAGCCAGATGGCGAAGGGCCTACTCTATAAATAAATTTGGATTTTATTCGAAGGTCAATGGGAAATGACTGAATAGTTTTAAGTACAGGAATTATTCGATGTTTGTTTTTTAGTATCATGCTGGCTTCAGCAGGTAGAGCTGATGGGAGGAGGTAAGACAGGAAGGAACTGCATAGTCCAGGTAAGAAGTGAATATTAGGTTGGGAGGGGCATACAGGGAGTTTAAAATATATTGATAAAATTGCATTTCTTTCCCTGCGTGGTAAGTACAAAAGCATCCTATTCTTTATACCTTACATTTATACTGCACAAATTATGTAGTATGTATGAAATAGTTCATTTAAAAACATATAGAACTCACAGGGGAAAAAACTATATATTTTTGATATGTACATATGTCACATAAAGATAAAATTTGGAAGGGAAGGATGGCCTCCCACTTTGTGATGAGGGTGGCCTCTGAGGAGGTATGGCAAATTGTAAAAACAGCCATGATCCTTATTCCTCTCCATATCCACACCCTTTGCTATATGACTTTGTATCTCCTGCTTGAATCTGGGAAGTCCTTATTATTTTCTTTCACCAGTAAATTGCAACAGAAGGAACAGTGCATCAGTTCTGAGCCTAGGTGTCCAGAGGCCTTGCATGCTTTGGCTCTCTCTTTTGGGGCTCTGCCCAGGCACCCAGGGAACACCCTGGGCTAGCCTGCTGGAGTGTGAGAGATCATGTGCAGCAGTGCTCAGCCAACCCAGCCGAGGCCATCAGAAATTAGCCAGCACCCAGTCAACTTGGCAGCTGACCACCAACAGAGAAGTGGACTCACTCAAGACCAGAAGAAATATCCAGCTGACCTCAGTCAAAACTGCTAACCCACACAATAGTGAGATATATAAATAGCTGCCGTTTTAAGCCACTAAGTGTTGGGGTAATTTGTTTTGCAGCAAAAGTAGACTGATACAGAAATTGGTGTCCGAAAGTGAGATGTTAGGCCATTAACAATACCCTAAAATTTGTGACATTAGCTTTGAGATTGGGAGTGGTTGGAAACTGGGAAAATGGCAAGAGCAAACATATTGAAGTCTGGGGAAATGATGGGAAATTATTACTAGAGGCTGGAAAAACAGTAATCTGTGTTTCATAGTGGCACTTTGTAAAGACCTCTGCAAGAATTAAAGTGATGTCTAGTCGACCTCTAGACAAAAAAAAACCTTCTTGGAAACTTAAGAGTGAGATCCCACAGAAGCCCAATTCAAAAATACCAGTAATAAAATCTAGAGAGATGTCACAAAACAGTTGTGTCATTTGGAGTATGGAATAGACTGAAATTATTCAAACTACCAATTATTCAGCTACCAACATGGGCCACATCTTCAGAAGTAGCCAAGGAAGGTGACAGACAAGGAATATGTTCCAAAGGGTATAGTCAAGAGCCGCAGAGATCAGTGGAGCAGGAACCCCCTCCCAGGGAGTAAACTCTAGACCTGAGCAAGAAATACACCCTCTCCTGGGATAGTGAGACTTGTAAACCTTTGCCCAGCTGGAGTTCAGAATTGCTATGTGTCTCTCATTCTTCCCTTTTTAATTTTGTTTTGTTTTGTTTTTGTTTTTTGAGACAGAGTCTTGCTCTGTTGCCCAGGCTGGAGTGCAGTGGTGTGATCTCGGCTCACTGCAACCTCCCCCTCCCGGGCTCAAGTGATTCTCCTGCCTCAGCTGCCCAAGTAGCTGGGACTACAGGTGTGCTGCCCAATGCCTGGCTAATTTTTGTAATTTTAGTAGGTTGGTCTTGAACTCCTGTCCTCAAGTGATCTGCCTGCTTCAGCCTCCTAAAGTGCTGGGATTGTAGGCGTGAGCCACCGTGACCGGCGTTCTTCCCTTTTTTAAATGTAAGTGTCTATTGAGGATATCCTGCCTCCGTCTCAATGTACAGTAGGTATGCGGGAGGCAAATAACTTGTCTTTAATTCATCGGTGTCAGGATTAAGAAGAACAACATCCATAATGTCACATACAAACCTGATGTGAACCACAAGATCCTGGTCTTCAAGCCTGATGACATAATTGCAAGAGGTGTTTGGGGGTCTTGGAATGGTGGTAAGCATATTTTTCCTGTGGGAGCAATGTGAATAATTATGGTCAAAGAGTAAACTGTGGTAGATTACAAAATTTGCCACACTCTTTCCATCCTCCCTGAATTCATACTCTTTGAATTGTGACTTTGCAGCATCCCCCATCAAGAGGTGGAGGGAGACTATTTCTCCTCCCCTTAAACCTGAACTGACATCATGACATTTTTGGCCAATGGAATGCAGCAGAGAGATGGTACAAATTCTCTGTCTAAGCCTCAACATGCATCGCACATCTCAGCTCTTTTTTTTGAAGTCCTGTCCCACTACTCATATGAAATGACCTGAGCTAGCCTGCTGGAGGACAAGAGATCACATGGAATAGAGATGAGCCATCCCAGCGGAAGTTATTCTACATTATCCAGGAACCAGCCAATTTAGCAGCTGGCCTCAGACCCATGAATAAACTCAGCCAAGACCAGGTGAACAACTCACCTGGGCTTAGCACAAATGTTGACTTGCAGAATTATGAGCTATATAAATACTTGCTATTTTAAACCACTAAGTCTTTGGGGATAGTTTGTTATTTGGCAAAAGCTAACCAATTAAAATAAATTGAACCAATATAAGAGTCAAAGCACAAAATTGGATAGAGAAGTACTTAAAAGGAAAGGGAAATATGTGAGATAAATGAGAAAGAGTGCTGATCTTTGTTGTTCTAGGTGGTGGGTACCTGGGTGTTTGTTGTATCCTTCCCTCTAATTTTCTTTATTTAAAGTTTTTACCATTAATAAAACTAGATTAAATTATAACTTTAAAGTAAAAAGAATACAAGTTGGAGTTCCAAAAGGCTAAGATTCCATCTCCTGTCTGCACCCTAATTAGGTGATCATACTCATTTCCACAGCTTTTTTTTGTTTTTTTTGAGACGGAGTCTTGCTCTGTCACCCAGGCTGGAGTGCAGTGGCGTGATCTCGGCTCACTGCAAGCTCCACCTCCCAGGTTCACGTCATTCTCCTGCCTCAGCCTCCCGAGTAGCTGGGACTACAGGTGCCTGCCACCATGCCCGGCTAATTTTTTGTATTTTTTAGTAGAGACGGGGTTTCACCGTGTTAGCCAGGATGGTCTCGATCTCCTGATCTCGTGATCCGCCCGCCTCGGCCTCCCAAAATGGTGGGATTACAGGTGTGAGTCACCGTGTCCAGCCATTTCCACAGCTTTAAAGACTTTGGTATGTTGATAACTTCCAAATTTATATCTCTAGCTCAGACCTTTCTTCTGAGCTCCAGACTCATATTTCCAGTTGCCTACTTGATATTTACATTTGGATGTCTCTCAGGTGTCTCAACCATGACTTGTTTAAAATTGATCACTTAATCTTTCCCTCTGTTGTGGCCAGTCCCCAAGATAGCCCCCAGTGATCCCTGCCTCCGGGTACTCACACACTATGTCCCTTTCACACTGTAGGAGGATTGCAGGATTGCTATATGTTACCATAGACTTGTACAGAAATGACAGTGTGTGACTTCCAAGGCTAGGTCATAAAACACACTGTGGCCTGTGCCTTACTCTTTCTTT
This sequence comes from Homo sapiens, assembly GCF_000001405.40. NCBI lineage: Eukaryota > Metazoa > Chordata > Mammalia > Primates > Hominidae > Homo > Homo sapiens. The sequence continues at coordinate 74,325,761 of NC_000011.10, forward strand.
GGATCACTCACTCTGGAGGACGCCAGCTGCCTTGTCACGGAGACACTCAAGCAACCCTACAGAGAGGCCCATGTGGTAAGGAACTGAGGCCTCTTGCCAACAGCCATGTGAGTGGGCCATCTGCCCACTCTGGCTTTCCTTATTTAGCTCAGATTAGCCGAAGCCTGGATGGAAGCCATTCAGCAAGTCACAAGCAGCCTTCCCAGGCTTCCCAGGCTTCACTCAGATAGCCCCTCTGTCTGGAGTTGAATTTACATATATGCCATGTGCCCCTCCCCACGCCTTTGCTTATCACAGCCTACTTGCCTTTAAAAACCCAGTTCAAATTCCACTTTTTTTTCCCCTTTTTTATTTTGCCGAAGACTCATGATATTGCTTGGCTTGGTGCTAGGTGCTTGGTGCTGGGGGTACTGCACTGACTCAGCTGATTCCAGCTCTCAGGGGGCCCACAATTCACTGAGAGAGTCCAATCATTTCAGTCTGGTATGGGAAGTGCTGCAACAGAGGGGCAAATGGAGAAGGAGAGGTGGGGCCCTGCCAGCTTGGTTAGGGCCACAGTCAGGAAAGGCTTTTTGGAAGGGGTGGTGCTTGAGTGAGAGTAAAAGGAAGACCAATCTCTGGCAAAGTGAAGAGAAGTCCAGCAGTGTTGTCGGCTGAGGCCCCTCTGCCCCATCTGTTGTGCTGCCTGTCATCTCAGGTAGAAATCACACCTTTCTCTACTCCGGACTGATGCCAGCATTCCATGAGTATTAATTTCTGGACTTGGGTTTTTGAAAACAAAACCCAAGGAAGGGGAGGGGAACCCCAAACTGGTTATATAAGGAACAGCAGCTGAATTATGCATATTTAGACTGGGAGGTAGGGGGACTGAGTGAAAAGGAAATGGACTGTTTTTATAACACAGAGCTTCCAAGTGCAAAATGTAGGAGCTGCAGAAGGCAGAGGTCAGCTGAACACAAGAAAGAGCTCTCTACTGGCCTTTATTTAAAAGAGAATGAACTTGTTTTGGCCCGTTGTCCCTGGAGAGGTTCAAACATGTATCCCCACTGGAGGTCACATCATAGAAAATGGTGACAGTTAGGTAAGATGCCCTTTAAACTCCTTTCCAGTGGAAATTCTGTCGCACCACCATCATCCCTCGATGACTCCCGTCAGCTGCTGACTTTAGTCCAAGCTCCATGGAGCAGCACACAGAGCACTCCACCTCTCCACTCACATCCCTACCCACACCCACTCTCAAACTCCAAGAGCAACACCAAATCACTGGTGCTCTGCACACGTATGCCATGTTCAGTATTTAAAATACCCTCCCCTATCCCTTTGCCAGTGTTTATTCTCCAACACTCAGCACTAGCACTGTAGTGGATTTTTGTCACTTTTTTTTTGCACTATTATTTCCAATTTGGCAAATTAACTCCCCAACTGTGTCTCAATGGAAAGGTAACTAGTGTCCTGCCTCTTACTAGAAGTCAGGAGGAAGCTAAGGGAGTCATATCCTTCCTTTATCAGCCTCCAGTTGCAGCTAGGAGGCAGGCAAATGACAAAAATCCAGCCAACTGGGCCTTCTCTCAAGTTACTTTGAATCCAAAGTCATAAGGAATAGATAAAGGTGATTTTCTGGTGGTGTGGGGGCAGTAGCATGGTGTCCTTAACTGGTTGTTTAGGCAGTAACGTGGTTGTGTCTTTTTTCTTACTTTTTAGACTTCTGGAGTGCCCTTGTTTCTCATTTCCAGATTAATCAATATGTATTAAATGAATGAATGAAGCAGAGGGATAAAGGTCAAAGACTTAATCTAAAGCAAATTATGTGCAAGGTCGGACCACTTAATGATCAGAAATGGAGGTAAAGAGAGGGAAATAAAAATAAACAGGAGAATGGTCACAGCACTAACAGAAATGAGGGGAAGTGTTGGTTTAGGGAAGATAGAGAGGAAGGATAGCGAATACCAAATTTTTATTATAATCCCCCCTCCAAAACGTTTCCATTTATATACATACCAACTCTTCTCCTTTAGTGAGAACAAAAATAAAACCCTGCTCCCTCTCCCTCTCCCTCTCCCGTCTCCCACTTTCCACGGTCTCCCTCTGAGGCCCAGCCTAGGCTGGACTGTACTGCCGCCATCTCGGCTCACTGCAACCTCCCTGCCTGATTCTCCCGCCTCAGCCTGCCGAGTGCCTGGGATTGCAGGCGTGCGCCGCCACGCCTGACTGGTTTTTGTATTTTTTGGTGGAGACGGGGTTTCGCGGTGTTGGCCGGGCTGGTATCCAGCTCCTGACCGCGAGTGATCTGCCCGCCTGGGCCTCCCGAGGTGCCGGGATTGCAGACGGAGTCTCGCTTACTCAGTGCTCAATGTTGCCCAGGCTGGAGTGCAGTGGCGTGATCTCGGCTTGCTACAACATCCATCTCCCAGCCGCCTGCCTTGGCCTCCCAAAGTGCCGAGATTGCAGCCTCTGCCCTGCCGCCACCCAGTCTGGGAAGTGAGGAGCGTCTCTGCCTGGCTGCCCGTCTCTGGGATGTGAGGAGACCCTCTGCCTGGCCGCCCAGTCTGGGAAGTGAGGAGCGCCTCTTCCTGGCCGCCATCCCATCTAGGAAGTGAGGAGCGTCTCTGGCCGGCTGCCCATCGCCTGAGATGTGAGGAGTGCCTCGGCCAGGCCGTGAACCTGTCTGGGATCTGAGGAGTGTCTCTGCCTGACCGCCACCCCGTCTGGGAGGTGAGGAGCGTCTCTGCCCGGCCGCCCCATTGGGGAAGTGGGGGGCAGCCCCCGCCCGGCTGCCGCCCCGTCCGGGAGGTGGGGGGCGCCTCTGCCCAGCCGCCCCGTCTGGGAAGTGAGGAGCCCCTCTGCCCGGCCGCCACCCCGTCTGGGAGGTGTACCCAACAGCTCATCGAGAACGGGCCATGATGACGATGGCGGTTTTGTCGAGTAGAAAAGGGGGAAATGTGGGGAAAAGAAAGAGAGATCAGATTGTTACTGTGTCTGTGTAGAAAGAAGTAGACATGGGAGACTCCATTTTGCTCTGTACTAAGAAAAATTCTTCTGCCTTGGGTTGCTGTGAATCTATAAACTTACCCTCAACCCCGTGCTCTCTGAAACATGTGCTGTGTCCACTCAGGGTTAAATGGATTAAGGGCGGTGCAAGATGTGCTTTGTTAAACAGATGCTTGAAGGCAGCATGCTCCTTAAGAGTCATCACCACTCCCTAATCTCAAGTACCCAGGGACACAAACACTGCGGAAGGCTGCAGGGTCCTCTGCCTAGGAAAACCAGAGACCCTTGTTCACATGTTTATCTGCTGACCTTCCCTCCACTATTGTCCTATGACCCTGCCAAATCCCCCTCTCCGAGAAACACCCAAGAATGATCAATAAATACTAAAAAAAAAAAAAAAAAAAAAAAGTGTAATAGATATAATTTGGTGAACATTGTCAATTTTATAAAATTAAATCTTTTTCATTCAGTTATAATAAATAAATAAATAAATAAATAAATAAATAAATAAATAAAACCCTATTATTTTAGGTTGTGTTAGCTGCTTGGTCTCTTTACGTGGGTCTCAAGTCAATGGCCTTGCCCTTTACTTTCAGAGACTGTTACATTTAAAGAATGCATCAAATAGCACATACCCAGTGGCAGGAGAAATCGAAGATGATTTGGAGGTTTCAAACCAGGGAGATATACGGCCACTCAGGAAAAGCAGGAAGAAAATGTGGAGCTTGAGATTTCAGCAGGTATGTTGTGAGCAGAGATGACCCAACAGCAGCAACATGTCTCTAAAACAGGTGGTATCGCCACTGCATATTTCTCGTGCAACTCTGCGCATATGCAGAATCAAGGATTTGGTGTTTTTCTTCTTCAAGAAGAAACATGACATAGGTTCTTTCATCTGACAAACATTTATTGGGTACCTACTGAGGGCCATACACTGTTCCAGGCAGTGGTAAAGTAGTGAAAAAGCTATGCTCATGAAGACAGATAATACTACTACTTAAATTGATTTGTTCATTTGTTTATGTGCTATAAAGAACAATAAACTAGGGAAAGTGGTTAAGGACGGGGTCGGCATGGTTCTCAGAATATTCCATTTAGAAGCTGACAAAAGGACCTCGTAGAACATTCCTTTCAGTCATCTTCCCTTTGAGCCTGATCTGGGAAAGGCAGGCAACAGAGACCAGGACCACAGATTCATAAGAACCCTTGGAAACTCAGTCCTTCATCAGTATTGAAGCATAGATCTACGGTTATTACCGTGAGAGATTTCCAAACTTTAAACTTTTGTCTTATTATAGTAGCTGGCGCTAACATGGGCAAACAAATTAGATCAGCTTAAGGAGAGAAAAAGAAAAGAAAAATAAGAATGTTAATGTTAGTTCTCACATCTGGGACTTCTGATAAACCAATCAAGAAATATTTCCTGAGTACTAAGCCAGAATATTCATTTAGATGCAAAGTGGATTCTAGGGTATGTGATGTGTGTATTTCAAGAGTATTTCCTGTTTAGATAGCAAGCTTTATGAACTACACAGTATCTCAAATAAAAATTACACAGAAACTCATGCCTATGAAGAGACCTGTTTATTACTGATAACACTTCATTTGGCTAAAACCACAAGAAATCCACACACAAATACATAAAGTGCAAATTCTCACAGGCAGTACTTATAATACACCCTGGTGTTTTTGTAGGGAAAAATGAGAAGATGTTGACAGAAACTGTTAAAACAAGGGCACAATTTTGAACTACTGCTACACACTTTAGTCAGAAAAATAATTCATTCTTGACTGCATAAATTTTACCTGGCATATTCAATGAGGCATACAAAGAGTTTATTCTAGCCTAGAACAACAAGGCCTCACCATACATAGAAGCAGAGTCTTGCTTGAGTGGCTCTTGTAAGATACATGATGAATCATAACAGTGGACAAAAACATACCAAATAGGATCAAATTTGTTGTGACTCACTTGGAAGGTAGTGCTACTAGGCTCAAAATGACACTTAGACTAGTGATATTAAGTCTACATAGACACCATTTCTTTACCTTCCTGGCCAACACCTTGCTTTGAGTGTAAAATACCAGGCATTATATATAATTTCCACAGAGAGATATGCTTTGCTCTCTCCAAAGAAACTGAGTATTTAAGGGGATGTCTGCTTAATAAACATTACATTATAAAGTTCAGTGATGGGACTTCATTGAAAAAACTGAATTAGAAAATTCATTTTTTGATTGTTCCTTAAACTATTTGCTACTTTTAAAAAATCCCTTAATTCCTAGTATCAGCAATTAAACACTCTATAACAGGTACTGAACTAGGTGGTATGGATATGAAAAATAATAAACCACGATTCCTACTCTCGGGACTGAGCATCAGGTGGTCCTTTTTAGTCAAGGAATGCCAATAGTAACAAAACTGTTTCAGGTCAGTTTAGTTTGGCATTAATCCTTCTGAAGGTCAGATTCCAAGGGCAGGAAATAGTCTGGATATGTTCTATGTTTATATATCTTTTTTTTTTTTTTTTGAGATGGAGTTTCACTCTTGTTGCCCAGGCTGGAGTGCAACGGCGCGATCTTGGCTCACCACAACCTCCACCTCCTGGGTTCAAGTGATTCTCCTGCCTCAGCCTCCCGAGTAGCTGGGATTACAGGCATGTGCCACCACACCCGGCTAATTTTGTATTTTTAGTGGACACAGGGTTTCTCCATGTCGGTCAGGCTAGTCTCAATCTCCCGACCTCAGATGATCCACCTGCTTCGGCCTCCCAAAGTGCTAGGATTACAGGCATGAGCCACCGAGCCCGGCCTATGTTTATATATCTTGCACTACAGCCAGTGTGTGTAGCTCAAGGACTTGCCTCCACTGGGGGTGAGGGCACTGGGGGAGAAAACTGAGCAGCCACGTGATGAACATGGTGCTCCTTTGTGGTGGCATAAGTTTCAGTAAAGATTAAACATATCATTTTTATATTAAAAGTTTTATTATAAAGAATGCAAAATTCACTTACATTTTAAAGACAGAACACACTTCATGTCAGTGGTAGGCTGATTCTGATTTTGCTCTCAGAACCCCTTCCCCCTTCATCATGCCCCTCTGCTTTAGGGTTACGCTAGTGGAAAAATTTGAGCAGCAAACTCTAGGTATGTCACTTTGTCCCTATTTGGTCACTCTACACATTCTTATAGGTTCTCTTTTATAAGTACATAGTCTTGAATAAACAAAGAGGAAAGATGGTCTAATAAATATATAGTATGGTGAATACTTTAAGGTAACCAGTAGTCAACACTAACTTTGTTTCCAACTAGAATTAAATTCATGCTGTGCAAGGAGTCAGACAATGAGCAATTCTCATCTTACTATTTATACCTCTATGGCTTAGGGTAAGATGCTCTGAGGGACAAATGTGAATAAGATTTCCTTAGATCTTGTGCTTTGGCTCCCCAAGTACAAGGAAACCTGAAATAGAATGTTATGTCAATTGCCCATTCATTTTGGTTAGTACGACTCTTTCCTCATCAGTTTCTAGAACAATCTCAGATGACAAGTGAATTGTAAAAGGCCGTAATAAATTAACATATAGCAGTATGCAGACAGATCAAAACAGGTTATGAAATAGATTTAAAATTACTTCCTACAATAAGTCTTAAATATAATGACAACATTAACAAAATAACCAAAGGTCCATAGGCAAATGTAGTTTATGACTAAGCTTAAAGCATTCTGAATGAATACAGTTGAGATTTCTTATCAGTGAGGTAACAGGGCAATAGTCCTTCACAGTAACAAAATGTGCAAGGGTGCCTAGGAAAAGTGGGAGGTAGAGAGAAAAAGGCATAAAATTAAATGTATCCAAGTGAAGTTTGGATTTTTCAAGCATCACAAATATCAATGGAAAATGTGGAAAAAAGTACTGATAGCAGCAGCTCATAGAACAACTTATCCATTAAACTACAGCTAATATCCCTGTTGCATCAATTCCAGAAGCAACTTGCTTAAGAAATGGGAGGTCTATTTCCTATATAAAGACATTCCAAAGTATCCAATCTCTTAGAACCTCTCCATCTGCTAACGTATCTACATCAAAATAACAACATATATATTCAAAACGAAAACCTCAAATAACCTAAGCCACTATACATTCTTCAAGATGAACAAAATTTTGTTCAAGTCTCACTTAATTTGCCAGGTTAAATTAAAAATAACAGTGAAGCAGGAAAATTATTCATTGCACTTATGCATCAGTTACTCAAAACACACAAAAATTGTTTTGTGAGCTAAATTCTTCTAGATATGGAGTGAAACCCAAATGTTACTTTTAGTGCCCTTTATGACATTTTTGTTCTAACCTGAGTTTTTAAAAAAAATGTGCTGGAAAGAAGGACCCTTAAAAAGTCATCTGTATATCTCTTAATTTTTAAAATTTTTATTCCCTTAAAAATAAAAAAAAGATTTTGAATAGAAGATATTATGAAGATTTCTCAAGAAGTTCCTAAATCTTAAACTTTCCATGCTGTCTTTAAAAAAAAGATCCTTATTCCCTCTGGTTCTGTCTTCACTAGAGATGGAGAACACTATGGCATAGTATTTCTTACTTTGAACCCTTCAATAAAAGACTCAATAAAGCTTTATTAGCAAACTTAGCAAACTATCTCAACAGCTTTCTCCTCTCCAGAGTCAAACAATCTTTATTCCTTGAACTTTTTCTCAGAAGTCTTATTTTCTAATCTACATTTTCTTCCTTTTTATTTCTGCTCTACCTCTTCCTGAGTTCTCACATGATTCTGATACAACATCCTAGCAGGAACTGAATCCGTAAAAGGGATACTTTTTCTCACCTCCTAAACCTTGGCCTCATTTTAGTGATCACAATAAAGGAAAATGGTAGGTGCATACTCATCATAACAACAAATAAACACAAGTAAACAGGTGGGACACAGTTTATTCCCTACTGTTATGGTGTTACATTTGCCCTTCACGAGAAGCATTTCCCGTGTCTCTTTATATTGTTTGCTTATTTCTACTGTTTATTTCCAATGTATGCTTTGATCTTGCCCTACTAATTCTCTCCTTTTCTCCAAAGCTTTAGAAAATTCCAGTTTTGACTTTCATGCTCAATGAGAATGCAATCATTTTCACAATATTGTTCAAAAAGAAAAAGATAAACATTGTAGTGCCCGAGGCTGAGACCTCCTAGCCAGCACTTCTGTCTCTCCTGACCAGCTTGGGCTATCACTGAATTTATCCTGTTAGGCAAATGTGCACCTACTACATCAAGTTCATGTTAAGTATCATGCTCAGACAGACTCATGACAGGCTAGAATAAAATAATTCCCTCAATCGATACACTTCAGGAACATTTGTAAAATTTTGTTAACTTGAGAGAAGAACACTTCAATAACTTTTCACCTTAAGATGACTTAAATGTTGCATTATATTAAAGCACTCAAATAAAACTGTTTTCTTCATAATAGAATGACAGTCATGACATGGCTTTAGTAACTATGAATGAGCCGTTGATTCATTTTAGCTTCATTTTTGTTTATCAGTCACTGAAACACAGAACTAAACCAAATATACCTGTTTTTCATATATACAACATTATACCACTTTGCAGAATATATGCCATTTCCTAAATTACAATCTACATTCTTAAAAGCATATAAAACAAAAGATGTTTTACACATTTTAAAAATAAAACAAAAATTCTACACATATCTTCTCCAGTGCAAAGCCTTTGAAAACAAACTCATTGAGAAAAATGGTGCTCTACATTTAGCTAGCTGTCTATTATCTACAGTCATACAGTCATATAAGATCCAACAATAAGAAAGTAAGGAAGGAACAAATTAACAATAGTGGCAATACAATAGTTGGACAATTAGGTTTGGATTATATGAGCTCAACCAAATGTTAGCTGACAGCTGCAACAAACGAAACCATGATTTAAGGAACATTCTAATCAGTTCAAACTTTATATTATTATTTTATATGAAATAAATTCTCTAATTACAGTGCTATCTCCCATAAGCAATTTGTTTAGGTCTTGTTATTGTTATCTCCTAACTATACCCCATATGTATTCTGAGAACTATGTAGGACAAGATACATTTTAAGAAGATTAAACACAGCATTTCTTTTTCTCTCTCTCTCTCTTTTTTTTTTTTTTTTTGAGATAAGGTCTCACTCTGTCATCCAGGCTTCAGTGCGGCAGTGTGATCATAGTTCTGTAACTTAAACTCCTGGCCTCAAGCAATCCTCCTGCCTCAGCCTCCCAAAGCGCTGGTATTACAGATGTGAGCCACCAAGCCCAGCCTAAACAGCATTTCTCTATTAAACCTTTTCAGAAGACTGCATGATTAGCCAAAAGTGACTTTTTTTTTTTTTGAGATGGAGTCTCCCTCTGTTGCCCAGGCTGGAGTGTAGTGGCGTGATTTCGGCTCACTGCAATCTCAGCCTCCTAGGTTCAAGCAATTCTCCTGCCTCAGCCTCCCGAGTAGCTGGGACTACAGGTGCCCACCACCACACCCGGCTAATTTTTGTATTTTTAGTAGAGACAGGGTTTCACCATATTGGCCAGGCTAGTCTCAAACTCCTGACATTGTGATCCACCTGCCTCAGCCTCCCAAAGTGCTGGGATTACAGGCGTGAGCCACTGCGCCCAGCCCAAAAGTGACTTTTTGTAAAAAATTATTTTCTACACTAAAAGAAGATAAATAATAGTCATGCAATCAGAAATTCTACAGAAGTCAGCAAGATGTTAGAATAAACTGGACCTCTGTTTTAAAACATGTAGTTTTAGTATTTCATAATACTTAAAATTTGGATGTTTTATTCTTAGTAAAATTAACATTACTTCATAAAATAAAAGAATAAATCTACTTACAAAAATGTAATTCAAAAGTTAGACTGTCAAATAAATTCAGAGCTCCTTTCTCAGTTCAGATTTTTTTCTGTAATAAAAGGTTTGATAAATGACACAATTCTAATATGAAGATCCTTAACTACATTAAGCTTGCTTTTATTAAGATCTTTATTTATATTCCTAAGATTTTAAAATCAGCAAACTCACTTGATATAGAGGAAGCACCTACAGATTTTGGAAGATTTTCCTTAGCTATCTGCAAATTGACTGATTAAATTATGGTAAATGCAGGAACACTGTTTTTTCTGTTCACACCAGACCCTGAGAAGGCACTGAGAAATTTGATAAGAACAAAGCCAATAGGAGTGTTGCCACTATTGTTTTATGTTCAGTAAACATCAGAATTTTAAATACATACAGTAAATTTATACTGCACCAAGGGCACCTGAAACAGACATGCCAAAACCACACACTGTAACATCTGTTCTAAACTACAGAAATGCTAAATATCCTATTTCAAATACTCTAATTTGTAAATTAATACCTGTGATGTCACAATGACACTTTTTCATAACAATCAAGGAAAGTACCATTTTCTTGCCAATTTTATGGACTAATTTCCTTAACTAACCCTACAATTATATAACATTTACCTGTCTTTTTTTTTTTCTTTTACCATGCTATACACAATTACGAGATACAGAACTAGGCTTAATCACACTATAATAAGAAAACTCACTTTTGAATTGTGATGTTTCTGTTAACGGAAGGACAATACGTTACTATAATACTTTTAGTGTAATAACTTTTGTTTGAATTATGAAAAAATTTGAATCATTTCCCTCTAGACCATTTCATTTCAAACTTATACTTTGTTTAGTCTAGCCAGTTGACCAAAAAGAAAGAAAATAAAAGGAAAAAGATACTCGGCCAGATGAGATAGAGAGAGAATGCTAACACAAGGTTCAATGTATGCAGTTCTCGGTTGCTCTGTTCCATATGCCCACACAGTGTCATGACATATTGGTGTACCCCTAAACAGAACGCCAGATCAGTCCATTCTTACTAGGCTGAAGAAAATTCTCTATCAGAGCATCAATGAGTTTCTTCAGTTCTTCCTCCAGTAAAGCAGTGTCACTGAGGAAAAGATGAAGAGTTTTGGAATTATTTATTTTCATAGGCTTAAAATTTATTTAAATTAGTGTGATTTTTTAAGAGGTCCTGATGGAGTCATTAAACAATTGGTAAACAAAAGAGAAATTCACTTGGTTAAAACAAAACAAGACCAAAAAAAAAAATTACACACAAAGAAAACACTGCTATCACAAACTGAAGGTGAACTGCATTAATAGGAGTTCCTTGGCACATGATAAACAGAGGAGTGATGGTGTATCTAAAGAATTCTCCTGGGTCAGGAGAATGAGGTTCTAATGGCTTTGAACACAAATACCAGGTGTTAGGAGAAAATGGCTTCCTGAAATACTTTGAAAAATATTCAGTACAGATGTTATGGAATGATATATCTTTCAGGTAGCAGAAGGAGGTGTGACTAAAATAACGTGATGTTTAAAAAAATAAATGTGCACTTAAAAGAAGGCCCTTGAAAGTCATCACTGAGGTGCTGCCGTTGCCCAGAACATTTCGAGGCAAGCCTCTTTTAAACTGCCTTTACAGTCATTTTAAAAGCTACACAACAAATCAGTTCTTATTACTTTAATAATCTTCCTTCATTTTCAACCAGATGTAGCATTACCCAATTTGGTTTACTTTAGATTCTACTTTGAATGACTTCGGGGGCTCTTTATCCCCCCCAAAGGAAATGAAATCTATCCTTAAATGCAAAGATTTGGGGAAATACAAAATAGTATAGCTTGGTTGGACTCTGAAAGCAATTCTAAAAAATCTCCTTCCCAAATATATATTGAGCAATTACAATATTATAGGAGACAGTACTTTTAATACATTTAAGTAGCCTTTGAATATGTTTATGAAATTCACTTAGTCACAATTCATCCTCTTAAAAGGAAATGAACTGAACAGATTATGTCAAGTCATATTAGACATAGAAAATGGATATTTGGCAATAAACAAATTATTTGATGATAATTTCCTTATGTTAATCACATAATACTTAAAGCTCAGAGAATCTTTCCAAGAATAGAAATTCAATACAATTTTAAAATTCAATTCCCAAATGATGTAGCTGCTTTAAAAAATGGTCTGGCAGTTCCTCAAAAGGTTAAACACAGAGCTACCATATGACCCAGCAGTTCACTCCTAGGTATATACCTAAGAGAAATGAAAACATACATTCACACAAAAACCTGTATGTAAATGTTCATAACAGTATTCAAAACAGCCAAAGAGTGCAAATAATCTGAATGTCCATCAAATGATCAATGGATTAAAAAGCATGGCATAGCCATGCAATGGAATATTGTTGGGCCATAAAAAACAAAACTTTAAAAAAAGGAATAAATTCATGCTACAACTGAATCATGGTGGAACCTAGAAACCATTATACTAAGTAAAAGACGGCAGTCACAAAGGCCCACATATTGTATGATTCCATTTATATGAAATGCCCAGAAAAGAAGCAAATCTATAGAGAAAGACAGTAGATTGGGGTTGCTGAGGGCCGTAAAGGAGGGAAATGGGAAGTGATTTCTCATGGCTACGGGCTTTTGGGGGTGATGAAAATGTTCTAAAATTGATTACAGTGATGGATGCACAACTTTGAACATACTAAAAGCCACTGAATTGTACATTTTAAGTGCGTGAGCTGTATGGTATGTGAATTATATTTCAATAAAGCTTTTGTATGTATATCTTAAAAAAATCAATTCTTACCTCTGGTCAGGTGACGCACACATCTCTGCATAATACTTTATCTTTGGTTCTGTTCCACTTGTCCGAAGGGTAGCAACACAGCCATTTTGAAAAGTAAATGTAATCATTTGGCTGTTTTTACTCACAGGCAGCACCTATGCAAAATGGCAACAACAGCTTAATTATACTTGGCATCTTTTTCATTTTCTTTCATTTTCAAGAATTGTAAAATATAGTCCACTTATATGAGGTATCTAAAGTCGTCAAATTTACAGAAATAGAAATTAGAATGGCAGTTGCCAAGGCAGGGGGTATAGGGAGTTATTGCTTAAAGGATAGAGAGTTTCAGTTTAGCAAGATGAAAAAGTTCTAGAGCTCTGTCGCACAACAATATAAATATACTTAACACTACCGAACTATACACTTAAAAATGGTTAAGATAGTTAATTTTTGTTATGTGTTTTTTTAACCACAATTGAAAATTTAAAACATATTTTAAAAGAATTATAAAATACAAATGAAGATTACCTATATGTAATAATTCATAAACATACCATTTACTGAATAGTTAAGGCATGGGGTTATATACCTCAATGCATGATCTCTGGGCCTCAACAATAATCCTGCAAAGTAAGTGTTACCGCCATTTTACAGACGAGGCTCAAAGAGAGTAAACAACCCATTCAAGACAATCAACTAAGTGGTAGAACAAGAAGCGGAAGCCAAGTTCCAAAGTCCAAACTGCCTCTATATTTGCGAAGCATTTTTGCCGTTTATCAATCGTCTCCAAAGAGGAGTGCACACATCCTGCATGTACTGGGGTGCAGAAAGAACTCTATTTTTTATAAAAATTAAAAAAAGAAGTGATGTTTTACTGACACTAAATATATGGATTAACACTGGTACTCTTGCTAGTCCACACATCCGTCTGTTGAGGCATCTCGAGGGGACTGTGAGGGTTGTACTAGGCCAGAGGGGTTGACACTGGTACCTTTCCTCAGCTGTCCTGAGCCATGAGTCCTGTCCTTGAGACCCTTCTCTTGGTCAGTACATTACCATATACCAGTGACTTAACACAGAGATCTTCCCTTCTTTTTCACCCACAGCCCATAAAGTAGCAAGTCCTTTCTATACTTTATTTAACTCAACTTTATCCAGTTCTTTCCATCACTGCTCCTATATTGAATTCAGGTGACCATCACACCTCATCTAGACTGCTGACACAGTGTACTAACTGATCTTCCTGCCTGGAAGTTTGCCCCTCAAAACCCACTCATCATGCAGGCCATTCTTCTCACCTCATACTCCAGTTATAGACAACTACCTGTGGTTCTCTGAAAGAGAATATGCTTTTTCATCTCTGGACCTTGTACTTACTGTTCCCTTTGCCTGAAACACCCTCTGCTCCTCCTGCATCTGGCCAACTCCTAATCATACTTGGGAACTCAGTTCAGAACAGTTCTCTAGAAAGTCTTGCATAAGCCCCCAAAGTCTCTTCCATGACATCCTATGCATGCCTCCCCTGGTAGCACTTATCATTTTGTAAATTGCTATTTACTTGTCAATTTCCCCACTAGACTTTTTCTTGAGTGCAGTGTTTTTGTCATTGCTATATTCCTAGTGTACCTGTGCCTGCAGCACAGAAGGACTCTGATAAGTGAATATACACAGATGAACATCAATTAATCTGAAACATGGAAAAGAGAGAATTCAGGAAGGCTTTGACACTTACTATGCAACCTTGGGGATAACAACATCTATGCTACCTACCTTACAAACTTGTTGTAAGAACCAGAAGAGAATAGATGAAAAAGCACCCTGAATAATGAATATTATACACTTTAACGAGAATTAAGAGGGAGAAAAGCATTATACCATAGGCTACTTGAGCACAGCAAACTAGAGAAATAAAAAGAAGCAAAATGTGATTCTTCTCTTCCAGCAATTTACAAAGATAGAAAAGTAGACACATATATACTCATACACAGGATATCAACACCAGGAACTAATATTTGTTGATTGGATAAATATGCAAAAATGGAATATGGGTACTATTCTACACAATAAACTACAGATTTTCCAAAATACATTATGTCCCCAGAATCTTGAGACCACATCAGAACATTACAAATGGAAATTTGGGCTAATAATCATCACAACAACAATAACAAAATGAATATAATCAGCATCTATGGCATTTAAGTATTTGTTGAGCAGCCACAACATAGGCAGCAACTTGGTGAGGCAAAAAAGTACATCAGAAAGGAACATGCCATGTACAACACAATGATGACATAAAACAGTAATAGGAGGAAGGCACACTATGTAATGAAACCTGAAGAGGAAGGTGTCTAATTATGAGGCCTAGAGGTCGCGTGGAACAGGTGACATTTGCCTTAAGTCTTATAGTAGCTGAGGTATGGGCCTGTAGAAATTGGAAAAATGGGTAAACTAAGGAAACAACTGGACCAAAAATGCAGAAATTTAAAAAAAATGTATACATGTAGGTAAGTAAGTAAGCTGTTCTATTTGGCTGGAGGTATAGGGAATAAGGTTGGAAAAGGAAGTTAAAATTAGAAAGATGTATGGCTTTGAAATTATAGGCTTTTACAGTTATTTTCAACATTATCTAGCATCCTTGCCCATTTTCTCTTTTTCTTTCTCTCTCTCTGCCCCCACCTCCATTCCACACATCTTACCCTGAGGGTAGTATACATGATTATTTGGGAAGTGATAAGGATAGGATCAAAGTCAGAGAGATAAGTTAGCAGACTGAAAAATGCTCTGGAGCAAAACAATGGGTTCTAGTCTTAAGGAAACTCACAGGCCTGAAGTTTCACCATTTTATTATAGTATTGATGCAGGTGAACCCCCAAACTGGGGCTCAGCCCAGGAGGGTTCTTGACTTCACACAGGAAAGAATTCAAGAATGAATCAACAGAGTAAAGTAAAAGGAAAGCAACTGCTGGGCGTGGTGGCTCATGCCTGTAATCCTAGCATTTTGGGAGGCCGAGGTGGGCAGATCACTTGGGGTCAGGAGTTCAAGACCAGCCTGGCCAACATGGTGAAACTCTGTCTCTACTAAAAATACAAAAATTAGTCAGGCGTGGTGACATGCTTCTGTAGCCCCAGCTACTCAGGAGGCTGAGGCAGGAGAATCAGTTGAACCTGGGAGGCAGAGGTTGCAGTAAGCTGAGATCATGCCACTGCACTCCAGCCTGGTAGACAGAGCGAGACACTGTCTCAAGGAAAAAAAAAAAAAAAAAAAAAGGAAAGCAATTTTATCAGAGCCACAAAGTACAGGAAAATGGCTGCTTCATAGGCAGAGTAGTACCATGGATTGCTGGCTAGCTATATTATAGCTTCTCCTTAATTATATGCTAAATAAGGGCAAGTTATTCACAAATTTTCTAGAAAAAGTGTGAGGAGTTCGTGGAACCAAGGGTTCCTCCACGTTTAAACCACATAAGGTAACTTCTGGGTGTTGCCATGACATCTGTAAGCTGTCATGGTGTTGGTGGGAGTGTCTTTTAGCATGCTAATGTATTATAATTAGCATATAATGAGCAGTGAGGGGAACTAGAGGTTGCTTTTGTTGCCATCTTGGTTTTAGCTGATTTTGGCTGGTTTCTTTACTGCATCCTGTTTGGACCAGATCCTGTTTTGATCAGTGAGGTCATGACCAGTGCTTGGAAAACAAGTCCTGCTGATCTCCTATTTCAGTATGAATTATAATAAACTGTTAAAAACTTTTTTTTTAAGTATTTACAGGAGCTTCCAGCTTGGTAAACACGTGGACTTGCTGGGAGGCTCCAGGCCCCAACCCCACCCCTAGTACATTGCCCTATACATCTCTTCCATCTGGCTGTTCCAGAATTGTCACCTTTATAATAAACTGGTAAACATGAGGAAACTGGATTGAATCTCATGTGAAATCTGTCCTGCCTCTGGACTTTTTGGTGACATGAGCCATGAAATTTTCTAAATTGTTTGGAAAAAAAAAAAGGTACTTACTGATTTCTTATTAGGCTGGCTACTGTCATATCCAGTGGTAACGTCCCGTACATGCAATATAGCAAATGTTCCACAAAATTTTGGATATTCTTTTGGAGAATCAAAATTACGAAGCCTTTCAAATATACTTTTGATGGTAGGTGGTTCATAACACAAGAAATAGGAAGTTTTTGAAATATGATAACCATATCTGTGCAAAGATTCAAAGTGCTAAAATTAGATTTCAGATAACTCTTTAAAAAAGCATATATTAAGGAAGATCAGCCTACTATGGTATTTTATACAAAGTGGCAGTCCTTAATTCACATAATTTTAATACTTTTTAAAAAAGGATCAACTATTCTTCAGAAACAAATTTAGAAAACTAAGGGTAGGACAATAAAAGAAAAATCTAGCATGTGAAATTCATAATAGTAGAACTTACTTTTCATAAACCTTAACCAGTTGCTGTTTCAATGTTATATTCATGGTTTCCAGGTAAGATGCCATCTCAGCAACCACAACAGCTGCACTCACCCCATCTTTATCCAAAACTGAAGTTCCACAGAGAAAACCTGAGGATTGAAAACCATCACTAGAAAAGAGGAAAACTTAAGGCTATAATTTCAATAGTTTTACATTTCTTCAGAAGGACCAGGAAATTTAAAAGCCTAGTAATAGATGAAACTCATCAATACTGAGTGTATTTAGGGGACACTTTCGTTCTTTTTTTTTTCTGATAAGAAATGTATCTACATATTTCTCATTCTCTGTAGTTTTTACAACTCAAAATATGAAACCAGAACACAAAAAACTCCTCCTACAGAATTACATTTTAAAAATTATCAATCAAATTTTGAAGATTTTAATATTTACTACATACCAATAGACTCTTCAAATGCAAAAAGGACTTCTTTCCCATTTTCCAGGAGGTCTATTATCCTACTTCCAATCCATTTAAAACCTGGTAATGTTTCCTGAAATGCAGAGGAGGCCACTCTAGTTAAGTGACTGTCTCACAAATACCTATTAGAGAAAAATCTGCCACTACATGCACACAACGTTCATATAATGATCCTTACTATAGTCTTCAGTCCACAAAGATTTATACAGTAGCAGACATATAGTAATGAAGGGCCATAAATACACACACTGCTACTACTAATGACCTACTATTTACAGATTATAGTACTAGGTGATTTACACCAAATATAAACCAGCATTTATAAGTGGTGCTTCATGTAGTCACAAAGTAACATGAATAAGCACATACAGTATAATCAGTATAATCACCTACTATTAAGGACTGAACCAGGTGCTTTACATTATCTTTTTTTTTTTTTTTTTTTTTTTTTTTGAGACGGAGTCTCGCTCTGTCACCCAGGCTGGAGTGCAGTGGCGCAATTTCAGCTCACTGCAACCTCCGTCTCCCAGGTTCAAGCAATTCTCCTGTCTCAGCCTCCTAAGTAGCTAGGATTACAGGTGTGCCACCACGCCCAGCTAATTTTTGTATTTTTAGTAGAGACGGGGTTTCACCATGTTGGTCAGGCTGGTCTTGAACTCCTGACCTTGTGATCCACCTGCCTCAGCCTCCCAAAGTGCTGGGATTACAGGCGTGAGCCACCACGTCTGGCCCCATTATCTTTTTTTAATGCTCAAAAACGCTGTCGCTGAAACACAGCCTTGAAAGATAAGTCAATCTGCCCAAAATTATACTGCATATAAGAGATGGAGTCAAGATTCAATTTCAAGTTTCTGCTTCTCAGAAACTGTCCTTTAAGCTATATTACAACCACTAATATAAGAGTGCCTATGAAAGTTGGTGGATTTACTCTCCCTGAGTAATCAATGAAAGGTCATGAAGCTTTTTAGTGATGCACTTTTAATATTAGCATAACATAAGCTTGAACCAAGTGTACCTTCTCATAACACTGTGTCCTAACTATTAATAAAACCACCAAGACAGTTACTAACTACTTCTTTAAATAATTAGATTTGAGGACTTTTCATCTAATGAGCTACTGTTCACTTTAAAGACACAGAAAGAGTTTCAGAGTCAACAGAAAGAGTATGTGATACACCCTAATACTAAAGCTCACCATTACTAACTTGTTTCCTAATTCACCTTTCTACCTCCTTACTACAAAATAAAAATTAAAAAGTCAAAAACCTCCCTGCTACAACAAAAACAAGCAAATAAAATTATAATAGTGGTCTTTAGAATTGTTCTTCTTTCTCTTTTGTGCCCATTATACTTCTTCTTGCTATAGACATAAACTAGGAAAACATCAGAATCTTAGGTGTGAATCAACTTTCAGTATCTTCTATTTTGCTATTTGTGTTTTAGAAAGCATAAGGTTGAAAGCTCTATTTCATAAAGCCAGGTACAATTTTCTTTTACTCAGTAAATTAGTGTTAAGACCTGTAGCCTGACTATGGCTCAAGAAAAATGTCCAGGGACATTTTCACTGATATTTGGCAAAGATGGCAGAGAAAAAGCAATTTAGTTAACATGGCTGCAAAAATGGTCAGCTTAAGGGTCTTAAGGTCATAAGGTTAATGATCTGGGCTGAGAGAGAGCCACTGCTTGTTTTTTTGGATGTAGGATCATTGGGTTTACTATGCAATTTAGAAGACTACTTGAAGTTCCTTAAGACCATGCTTGAAGAGCCTGAACAAGGGGTTGATGACACCTACAACTTTTTGGAGAGAAGTCTGAGTTACTGATGGGGTCACCAGGAGCTATATTTTCCCTGTCTGAAAACCAGATATTTGTTGTACAGAATAATAAGTATTAATGTAATTTTTAAAGAATATCTCATCTTAGTCCCAGAAATTCATATACGGTACTGGATGAATTTTGGCTCAAGGTGTCTAAATTATCAAAAGAGACTGAACAAGTGTTAACAGAATTAGAAAAATAAGGGAATTACAAATGAAATCAATGAAAGTCAGTCTTGGTGGGGAGATGTCTTTAACATACAGAAATAGGTTTTAAAAAGTAGCACACAGATATTATTGATTCTTACTTCAAAATGAAATCCTTCTTTAAGTGCAATTGCCTTCAGAATTTTAGAAGAGACTGTGGTGGCTAACATATAAACGTTCTTCACATCAGCATTTCTTGATTTATTTTTCTTCCAGCAATCAAACATCCACCATCCAAACAAAGCTGCCAACTCATTCCCTGTGAAAACTTTCCAACAACCACTGTAGAGAGAAGGAAAATACAATGTCAAGACCTTTCTTCTCATTAAAACTTCTTGACTCCAAGGCCTAAAAATTACCATCCTTCAGTTAGGAAAAATCAAAAACTATCATATGGGATTTTTGAGAAAACATTTATTACTACTTCTTTTCTAACTGACCAGGGGTGATTTTACGGTAGGAATGGTACAACGTCTTTTGGAAAATTATTATATCATTACATTTATTCTTTTACTTAATGAGAGAAAAAATTATGATAAATAATTAAGCCTTTCTATTTAAGGACATTTGTCACATTATAATGGTAAAAATACATAGCAGCCCAGAGGACTAAGATTAGGAAATAGGTGGCTCATGCCTGTAATCGCAGCACTTTGGGGGGCCAAGGTGGGAGGATCACCTGAGGTCAGGAGTTCGAGACCAGCCTGACCAACATGGCAAAACCCTGTCTCTACTAAAAATACAAAATTAGCCAGGCATGGTGGCACATGCCTGTAGTCCCAGCTACTTAGGAGGCTGAGGCAGGAGAATAGCTTGAACCTGGGAGGCAGAGGCTGCAGTGAGCCAAGATAGCACCATTGCACTCCACTCCAGCCTAAGCAACAAGAGCGAAACTATGTCTCCAAAAAAAAAAAAAAAAAAAAAAAAAAGCAAACAAACAAAAAAAAAGGTTAGGAAATAACTACATCATAAAGCGATCTGTTGGGATATTATGTCTTTGTAAAAATTAATATTTTCAAAAAATGTATAAAGTCAGGGGAAAATGCTTACACTGTAAGCATTATACTTAACCATTACACTGTAAGCAGTTTTTGAAGCATTTTGTACAATTAATGTGGAAAATAATCAAGATATAAAACTATGATCATAATTTAATAAAAACAAATACATCTTTAAATATTTCAATTTAAAAGACAGGAAAGAATTATCAAAGTATCAACTTAGGTGGTTATTTTGGGATAATGGATTTACAGGAAATTTATGTTCTTTTCTTATCTTTTCATTATTTTCAATGAGCCTGTAAGACTTAAAATACATTGCTTTTCAAAGTTCAAGCTTTTAATCAAATAACAGATTCTACATACTTCTCCTGAAGTTCTGCTGCTGCCAGTCTGTCTGCATCAGGATCTGTGGCTAGCACTACCCGGGCATTTTCTTTCTCTGCCAGTCTCAAGGAAAGTTCCTGAAACAGTGACCCAAAAAGCTGGATTGTACTGAAGAACCTAAGTTCAATGTTAACGTTCCTGTATGTAGGCACAATGTTAGTGATAGGAATTTTAGAAGGCATAGAATTCAGCTACGTTTAAAACAAGAAGCCAAAAGTAGGGACACCCACCATAGACATTTCAAACAAAACACAGCCTATTATTACTCCAATACAATTAAAAGATGTAAACTACAGTCCTTTCTGCTTTTGTAAGTAATCTTTGAATTGTCAATGAGTTCTATCTATTCTGATGGTTTAATAAACTAATAATAATTTAAATATTTAAAAAAATACCAGCACAGATTCTCCTTCTTCAGGATTTGGACATTTAACGGTAGAAAAGTCTGGATCAGGATCTTTTTGTTCTGGTACTGGAATTGGAGGCTTAAAACCAAACACTTTAAAAGCCAACTGCACATAGTCATGTCCGACCCCATGAAAAGATGTGTGCACAAATTTCAAGGTGGTCTTCGAGTTTAACTCCCTGTAAAGGAAAATCAACATAAGATCATGATTACAAAACCTCTTACCTTTGATATAATTAAAAACAATCAAATTCTGATTTGAAAATGTGATTAAATGTGATTTAAGCCTTCAGCAGAGGTCTAAGATATTCAAACAAACAAATCAAGAGTACTAACTTAAAGATCAAGAGTTTTAATTCAACAGCATTCTCCCTTTGTGGCTCAACTTCCTGACCTGGACAGCTGCCTTCCATATGCTGTGCCAATACCCTGAACAAGCTAAGCTTGTATCATCTAAGTAAATATTATCTCTCACTAGACCATCACAAACACTTCCTAACTGGTCTTTCTCGCTTGCCAGTAGACCCCTCGTTTCTTCACTTCCAGTTTAGATTGCAAAGTACCTAATTACACTCACCTTCTTATATGTCAGTCTGGCTACTTTGACCCTCCAATACCCCAAATCTTGTTGAACCCAAATGTGTTCCTTTTCCAGGCTTGCACCAAAATAGTTGAATATTGCTAGAATAAATCTCACAAAAGGATTGAACAGCTTCACTCTGAATGGACACCCAATGCTGCCAGGCAATCCTACTTTGTTACCCAAAAAGCTTACTTTTTTACTCTCCAAGATGGTGACTTAATTAGTACCTTCTCTTCTCTCCTTATTCCTTTCCTCCCCCTTCATCTCATACATCACTCAGACACAGAGCCATTTGATGGGAACTTCCTAATCGTCCCACACCAAACCGACAACCCATATTTTTTCCTTCTTCCATCTGATAATAACGAGGAGGTGTTCTTTGTATCAAAGGTCAACCCCTCTACTTCTGCTCTGGTCCCCATCAATTCTCACTTGAGAACTTTAGTACATGGATAATTCTCTCTCGCCGGCATCATTTCCATTAGCATCTAGTCTCTGTTTCTTTGGTCTTTTCCACAGCAAAACTTTGTACATCCTAACCTACCATTTACTAACTATTCCCCATAAAAAATACAATTTATTATAAGATAAATAATAAAAATAAAGTTATGACAATTTTCAAACATATGCATAGGAAGACAGAATATCTAACACCATATACCCATTACCTCACTTCAATATGTTTCCATTGTCTGTCAATCTAGTCTCATTTATTCAAGATATATTACTTTACATGAAAATGCTTTAGTATTTAGAAACATAACCATATTACCATCATTACATCTAACAAAATCAACAATAATTTCTTTCCTCTAATACCGTATCTGTGTTCAAATTTTCCCCAAGTGTCTCAAAAATACTTTTAACAGTTGTTTTACTTGAAGCAGGACCTGAACGAGGTTCCATATAATTTGACTGCTATGCCTCTCAAGTCTCTTTTAATCTGTAAATGTTCCTCCCTTCCTTCCCCAACCCAAATGTCATTTATTGAAGAAACTGGCCCATTTGTCCTGTAGAATTTCCTGTATCTCCAGTATGTAGACTGCATCCTTTTGGTATTAACATGCTCTTCTATCCTATTTTTTCTGTAAATAGGCAACTGCATTTAGAGGTAACATTAGATTCAGTTTCAATTCTTTGGGCAAGAATAGGTGCTGTGTATTTTCTATTGACTCACAGGTGGAAGCACACAATTTCTACTCTACTTTTAATGCTGTCAAACTAAGATTCACCAGTGTCAGCCTAATCCTTCCATCAAAATATTTCCCATCAACATTTCACCTATGGGTCTTAGCAGCCCTTGATAAGAATTACTTAGATATATTATTTATTAGAGGTCACAACATAGTGATTTTGAAAATTCTGTTATTTCTTCTGCATTTATTGTATTTTTCTTTTAAAAATAATGATCCTTCATCAACCATTTGATTAGCCCTAAAATTCAGTTCATATAGAAAAGGCAGAACAAATTAAGAGAAAGTTTCAAACATTTATTGATTTTCAGAAGGAAAATTTAGAATTTATCAAATTTCAGCCTGTGTGATTTTCAGTCCAGCAACTCCCAAAGGTGACCAATAAACTGCTTTTTTAGTATTACTAACAGTCATGGGCTTTTTAGGTTTAATGTTTTAATTCATTGAGGTGATTATTCTTTTTGATGCCCAACTATCCAATATTTGGTCAGTGGGAGTCCCTTCAAGTTGGCTCCCAGATCTTTTTGATATGACCCCAGTATCTTTGAAAGCTAGCCTGCTTCATGGCAAGGAAAACAAAGTTATCTCAGCCTCATTTAGTACATTTTCTGCCCCACTCCTTGATAAGAATCAATTTCTCCAATGAGCCCTGGTTCCTTTTACTAGGAAATGGTATTTAGAAACCACAGTCTGGGCTTTAGGGGTAGGCATTGGCCTTTTTAGTAACAGAACTAGTATTTTGGTATTTTAGGTAAATAAAACATATTTCAAATTCAAATTTAAAATTATAATTTTAAAATTATTTTATTTGATTTTACATTCACTTCTCTTAAACTAAAATCTTAGATCCTAGTGACATTAACATAATTACCCATTTGTTTTATCATATATATGTGTATGTCTATATATTTATTTATATCTACATCTGTAAAATCATCAATATTACCACTAACAGTACAGCTATCAAATAAAATTTGAGGTTTCTTTGTAGTTCTTTATCCTTAGGACATATCCCACTAGAAATACATAGTCAATAACTGTAAAGTCACTTGAAATAATTCTTCTCTGTGTAATTATGCCTTCAGCTTGATAAATAGTTAGGTTCACTTGTTAATTTGCTTTTGCCCATATACTCTTTAAAAAACAAAAATGTAAATAAGAAAAGACAGAAAGGATAAAAAAGGAATCAAATTCTTTTTAGATTGATTAGAGCTGGTAGCATTTAGCTAGTATTACTGTCACTTATTTTAGACGGAGAAGCAAACAGTTGACAGCTTGATGGGTATACTTTTGAAATTAAAATAAAGTTGAGAAAAAGCTAAAATTATTTTGTAGGATAGGAAAAATACACTCAGCTAGCCAGGATTCTTCCTAGCAATAGTGTTAGCTATTTACAGAAGAGTTACAGAGATAATTATGGAAATATGGAAATGGTTAAGGAAAAATAAACTCTTAAGAGAAATGTACTGATCTAACATAGAGGAAATACATATATTTAAGTATAACTTGTTTAACAGCTTTTTTGAGATATAATTCACATACCATATAATTCACCCATTTAAAGTGTGCAATTCAATGGCTTTCGCTATATTCATAGAGTTGTTCAACCATGACTATGATCAATTTTAGAACATTCTCACTACTCCTGAAAGAAACTCTAGGCTGGGCATGGTGGCTCACACCTGTAATCCCAGCACCTTGGGAGGCTGAGGCAGGCGGATCACCAGAGGTCAGGAGTTCGAGACCAGCCTGGCCAACATCATGAAACCTTGTCTCTACTAAAAATACAAAAATTAGCCAGGCATGGTAGTGGTTGCTTGTAGTCCCAGCTACTTCGGAGGCTGAGGCAGGAGAATTGCTTGAACCCAGGAAGCGGAGGTTGCAGTAAGCCCAGATCGTGCCACTGCACTTCAGCCTGGGTGACAAGAGCGAGACTCTGTCTCAAAAAAAAGGAAAGAAAGAAAGAGAGAGAGAGAGAGAGAGAAAGAGAGAGAGAGAGAGAGAAAGAAACTAACTCTATAACCTATAGCTTCCAGCCCCCAACCCTTTCATTCCTTCCAGCCACAAGAAACCTCTAATCTATTTCTGTCTCTATAGATTTGCCTATTCTACATATGTCATATAAATGGAATCATACAATATGTGGTTCTTTGTGACTGGCTTCTTTCACTTAGCATGATGTTTTCAAGGTTTATCCATGTTGTGGTATGTGAGTAGTTCATTTATTTTTATTGCTGAATAATATTTCATTGTATGGATATACCACATTTTACTTATCCATTCATTAGTTAATGGTTACTTGGGTTATTTCCACTCTTTGACTCTTATGAGTACTATTTAGCTATAATTTTAATCTAATAAATAGACAACACTTTTTATCACTTTTTATTCTCCTCATTCTTTAACGTTATTCTGAAGTAGTATTATCTGATATTCTCACTTGGATACCTGTAAAAACAGATCTTTTTCAGATCTTCCATGTATCTCCTGCAAATGTCCTGCAGAGGGTCTCTCTTCAGCGGGCTGGTATCCACTAAATTATCATTCCAGGAACCATTCCAGGGTTCCACACATTCTTCTATACATTTTAGAATTTCTTTATCATGAGGAGATGTGATCTGAGCACCAGTTTCCCAGTAAACCTAGATGATAAGTAAATATAACCATAATTACTTAAAATGCTTGCCAGATCTTTTCTTGTCTATAGTTGAGATCTTCAGCTTTATTAAAAAGCATATCAAATTGAGGCCAGGCACGGTGGCTCACGCCTGTAATCTCAGCACTTTGGGAGGCTGAGGCGGGCAGATCACGAGGTCAGCAGATCGAGACCATCCTGGCTAACGTGGTGAAACCCTGTCTCTACTAAAAATACAAAAAATTAGCCGGGTGTGGTGGCAGGCGCCTGTAGTCCCAGCTACTCGGGAGGCTGAGGCAGGAGAATAGCATGAACCCCGGAGGCGGAGCTTGCAGTGAGCTGAGATAGCGCCACCACACTCCAGCCTGAGCTACAGAGCGAGACTCTGTCTCAAAAAAAAAAATAAATAAAAATAAAAATAAAAATAAAGCATATCAAATTGATCAAATAAAAAATGTCAACATAGGAGGACTAATTTAATAAATATTAAAAGATATAGATAGTAATGACTCTACAGGGACTCTTCAATCAAATGATTATATATGATTTTCTTTTAGAAGTATACCTTAATAACAATATGAGTAAAATACAAGCAGGGCTAATTATTATGATAACATTATAATATGCATATGCCATAGTATCCAATTATACTCTTAAACCTATAACTATCTACTAAAGATAATCCAAGAAACCACAGACTATTCCCTAAAACTTGATACTATTTAACTTAACATTATAAAGTAGTTATGTGATATAGAAAAAAGTCATATTTCTATTATAAAGTAGAATTTATATCATACCAAATATAGTTTATTAACAATTAATGTGTTAATTATCCATATAAATTTCAATGAGCTTTCAGTTTGTCAAGTAGCCTGATCAATAAGACATTAGGAACAGTTACCAAAAAAGCATGAAAATGTAATTCTATTAATTTATAGGATTTCAAATTTGGAAGGTTAGAGAATATCTATGGTGACTTCTACCATGCATATGACACAAATCCCCTCTATTGCATCCTGAATGAAGGAAAGAAGAATACATTTGAATCTGTGCTATGTACTAATCTCTATGCAAAGAATATGGTTAACCAGATGACCTAAAAACCTGTTCTCTATAAACACCTCAAAATGCTACATAAAACAGAAAAAACATTATCTTAAATGCACAGCATAATTCACAAGAGGAAAGGGACGACTCCAGGCAGTGGGAAAAAAATAATTAAAAAGCAGAATGATAAGCCTGTGGGACTGATATTGTGGTTACCTGGGGTTTGAGAACTGTCCATTTATCTGGTTCTTGGATTGTAATGCCCATGTGCAAGGTAGGGAGTTGGAACTGAGACCCCCAAATAAAAATGGCATCCTTGAAGCATTTCACTCTCAGTGAAAATGCAGAATAGAAAAAGTCCTGCCCACTATTACAGAGATCATGAGGAAGCATGTCTCTTCTTGAGTTCTGGGTAATTAAAAAAATTTTCAAATCCAAGGTCTGCACTTCAGTTATTTTAGGATGAGAAACAATAAATTAACACAGAAACTGCCCCCAGTCAGTGAAATCCTTGAGGTTCTAGCAGAATTTTTAAAACAAACAAAAAACCCAGAATGTTTTTTTGTGTGTGTGTGTGTTGTATTGAATATTTTAATATCCTAACAGAAAGCAGATTTACAATATCTTTGTAGTGTTTGGACAACTTAATTTAGTTAATTACAATTTGAATGTTAAAATTTCGACTGATCTTTTCTCTCAGATAATTTAAATGTAAATTTTTTTTTTTTAAGTATTTATTGATCATTCTTGGGTGTTTCTCGGAGAGGGGGATTTGGCAGGGTCATAGGACAATAGTGGAGGGAAGGTCAGCAGATAAACATGTGAACAAGGGTCTCTGGTTTTCCTAGGCAGAGGACCCTGCGGCCTTCCGCAGTGTTTGTGTCCCTGGGTACTTGAGATTAGGGAGTAGTGATGACTCTTAAGGAGCATGCTGCCTTCAAGCATCTGTTTAACAAAGCACATCTTGCACCGCCCTTAATCCATTTAACCCTGAGTGGACACAGCACATGTTTCAGAGAGCAAGGGGCTGGGGGTAAGGCCATAGATTCACAGCATCCCAAGGCAGAAGAATTTTTCTTAGTACAGAACAAAATGGAGTCTCCCACGTCTACTTCTTTCTACACAGACACAGCAACAATCTGATTTCTCTTTCCTTTCCCCACACTTCCCCCACTTCCACTAGACAAAACCGCCATCGCCATCATGGCCCGTTCTCAATGAGCTGCTGGGTACACCTCCCAGATGGGGTGGCTGCCGGGCGGGGGCTGAAAACCCAGAATGTTTAAAACAAACAAAACTGTTCTGGAGGGATGCTCCCACATTTCAAGCCACAAAAAAGATTCTCTCCATAAGTCCTGAAAGCTCACGTGAAAATTTATAAAACATAAGAAAAAAAATCCTATTCTTTCTCTCTGTCCCCTTCTCCTTGCCTTGTCTGTGGATGTGATGCCTGGAGGTACAGCAACCACCATGTGATGACCATGCTTGAGGGTAAGGCCAGAAAAACTGCAGAGACACAAAGCCTGACATCATGGAGTGACAGAACCATGCCTGTGGCCACCTACCTCTGGACATTTTGTTACGTGAGAAAAATGAACTCCTATCAGCTTAAGCCACTTTTGTTGGTTTTACTTAATCTGCACCAGAAAGCATTCCTATCTGATATAGTAACATAAAAATTCATGCAACAAAATATGTCCAGGAATAAATGTTAAAAAATGTGTGAAAAATCTAGTTTAAAAAAACGTTTAGGTCAGCTTACTGCTTTCTGCCCGTGGATGCTGCTGAGGAAGCATCATTAAAGTCTCCTTCCCCCTGCTGTCATGTCTAAGTCAGAGTCTCCTAAAGAGCCTGAACAGCTGAGGAAGCTCTTTATTGGAGGGTTGAGCTTTGAAACAACCGATGAGAGCCTGAGGAGCCATTTTGAGCAATGGGAATGCTCACGAACTGTGTGGTAATGAAAGACCCAAACACCAAGTGCTCCAGGGGCTTTGGGTTTGTCACATATGCCACTGTGGAGGAGGTGGATGCAGCCATGAATGCAGGGCCACACAAGGTGGATGGAAGAGTTGTGGAACCAAAGAGAGCTGTTTCAAGAGAAAATTCTCAAACACCAGGTGCCCACTTAACTGTGAAAAAGCTATTTGTTGGTAGCATTAAAGAAGACCCTGAAGAACATCACCTAAGAGATTATTTTGAACAGTATGGGAAAAAAATGAAGCGACTGTAATCATGACTGACCGAGGCAGTGGCAGGAAAAGGGGCTTTGTCTTTGTAACCTTTGATGACCATGACTCTGTGGATAAGACTGTCATTCAGAAATACCACACTGTGAATGGCCACAACTGTGAAGTCAGGAAAGCCCTGTCAAAGCAAGAAGAGATGGCTAGTGCTTCATCCAGCCAAAGAGGTCGAAGTGGCTCTGGAAACTTTGGTGGTGGTCGTGGAGGTGGTTTTGGTGGGAAGGACAACTTTGGTTGTGGAGGAAACTTCAGTGGTTGTGGTGGCTTTGGTGGCAGCCATGGTGGTGGTGGATATGGTGGCAGTGGGGATGGCTATAACAGATTTGGTAATGATGGAAGCAATTTTGGAGGTGGTGGAAGCTACAATGATTTTGGCAATTACAACAATCAGTCTTCAAATTTTGGACTCAGCCAGGCGTGGTGGCTCACACCTGTAATCCCAGCACTTTGGGAGGCTGAGGTGGGTGGATCACCTGAGGTCAGGAGTTCAACAGCAGCCTGGCCAATGTGACAAACCCCGTCTCTACTAAAAATACAAAAAATTAGCCGGGCGTGGTAGCGGTCGCCTGTAGTCCCAGCTACTCGGGAGGCTGAGGCAGGAGAATGGCGTGAACCCGGGAGGCGGAGCTTGCAGTGAGCCGAGATCGCGCCACTGCACTCCAGCCTGGGCGACAGAGCGAGACTCCGTCTCAAAAAAAAAAAAAAAAAAAAAAAAAATTTGGATCCATGAAGGGAAGAAACTTTGGAGGCAGAAGCTCTGGCCCCTATGGTGGTGGAGGCCAATACTTTACTAATTATGAAACCAAGGTGGCTATGGTGGTTCCAATAGCAGCAGTAGCTATGGCAGCAGCAGCAGATTTTAATTACTGCCAGGAAACAAAGCTTAGCATGAGAGGAGAGCCAGAGAAGTGACAGGGAAGCTATAGGTTACAACAGATCTGTGAACTCAGCCAAGCACAGTGGTGGCAGGGCCTAGCTGCGACAAGACATATTTTAGACAAATACTCATGTGTATGGGCAAAAAACTCGAGGACTGTATTTGTGACAAATTGTGTAACAAGTTATTTTAGTTCCTGTTCTGTGGAAAGTGCAAAGCATTCCAACAAAGAGTTTTAATATGGATTTTTTTTTTTGCACCCATGCTGTTGATTGCTAAATGTAATAGTCTGATCATGATGCTGAATAAATGTCTTTTTTTTTTTTAATGTGCTGTGTAAAGTTAGTCTATGCTGAAGCCATCTTGGTAAATTTCCCCAACAGTGTGAAGTTAGAATTCCTTCAGGGTGATGCCAGGTTCTATTTGGAGTTTATGCAGAACTTGCTTGGGTAGAGAAATCATTGTTTTCAGAAACCTCGGTGTAGCTGAACTGATAATTACTATTGTGACCTGAACTTCACCATTAAAAGGGATTACCCAAGCAAAATCATGGAATTATTGGTTATAAAAATGATTGTTGACACATACTATGCAATGTATCTAAATTGAATAATGTTACCAGATAAAATTATAAACAGGAATGAAGCTTGTGTGTCATCCATAATCAATAAATGATTTAATTATCTTGGAAAAAATATTTAAGATGCTACTAAAGAATCTAAAAGAAGTCTTGAAAGAATAGAAAGACACACCCTATTCTTGAATAGGGAGACTCAATTATTAAAATATCGAGCCTCTCTAAATTAATACATAAATAAAATATTGATACCAATACAAATGCCAAAATAACTTTGTTTTCAAATGGGAAAAATACCATAATATCATGCATGGAAAAATATCATAAATAAAGTCAAGAAGACTGGGAGGAAATGTCTGCAAAACAGATGGCCAAGAGCTACTTTTTACATATGAAGAGTTCCCATAAATCAATAAGAAACAGCAAAAGAATAATGAGCAAATAGTTTAACAGATGCAAAACTATAAAACTCCTAGAAGATATGATGAGAGGAAGTCTAGAGGATCTTGGGTTTGGCAATCACTTTTTTTTTTTCAGATGGAGTTTCGGTCTTGTTGCCCAGGCTGGAGTGCAATGGTGCAGTCTCGGCTCACTGCAACCTCCGCCTCCCAGGTTCAAGCGATTCTCCTGCCTCAGACTCCCGAGTAGCTAGGATTACAGGTGCCTGCCACCATGTCCAGCTGATTTATTTTATTTTATTTTTTGTATTTTTAGTAGAGATGGGGTTTCACCATGTTAACCAGGCTGGTCTCAAACTCCTGACCTCAGGCAATCCACCCGCCTTGGTCTCCCAAAGTGCTGGGATTACAGGTGTGAGCCACCGTGCCCAGCCGGCAATAACTTCTTAGGTACACCACCAAAGGCATGATCCATGAAAGAAAGAATTGATAAGCTGGATTTAAAATGAAAATAAAATTTTCTGCTCTGCAAAAGGCACTGCCAAGTGAAT
The DNA here is from genome assembly GCF_000001405.40 of Homo sapiens. Lineage (NCBI taxonomy): Eukaryota > Metazoa > Chordata > Mammalia > Primates > Hominidae > Homo > Homo sapiens. The sequence continues at coordinate 74,357,266 of NC_000011.10, forward strand.
AAAAAGACATGCCAGACTGGGAGAAATATTTGCGAAAGATGTATCTGAAAAAGGACTGTTATCCAAAATATATAAAGAATTCTTAAAACTCAACAATAAAAAAGCAAAACAGACACTTCACCGAAAGAATACACAGATGGTAAAGAAGTGTATGAAAAGATGCTTCACATCATATGTCATCAGAAAAATGGAAATTAAAACAACAATGAGATACTACTGCACACCTATTAGAATGGCCAAAATCCAGAACACTGACAACAGCAAATGCTGACAAGGATGTGGAGCAACAGGAGCTCTCATTTATTGCTGGTAGGGATTTAAAATGGTATAGCCACTTTAGAGACAGTTTGGCAGTTTCTTACAAAACTAAACATACTCTTGTTACATGATTCAGCACTCACACTCCTTGGTATTTACTGAAAGGAATGAAGACTTATGTCCATACTAAGATGTGCACACAAATATTTATAGCAGCTTTATTCATAATTGCCAAAACTTGGAAGAATCTATGATGTTCTTCAGTAGGTGAATGGAGAAATAAACTGTGGTACCTCCAGACGATGGAATATTCTTCTTCTGTGCTAAAAAAGAAATGAGCTATCCAGCCATGAAAAGACATGGAGGGAATTACTACGTGAAAGAAGCCAATCTAAAAAGGCTATATACTGTATATTCCAACAATATGATACTCTGGAAAAGGCAAAACTATGGAGACAGTAAAAAGATCAGTGTTTGCCAGGGGTTAAAGAGGAGGAATGGATGAATAGGCAGAACACAGAGAATTCCGGAGGCAGTAAAAATACTCTGTATGATACTATAATGGTGGATACGTGTCATTATTCATTTGTCAAAATGCAAAGAATGTACAAATGAAGAATGAACCCTAACATAAACTATGGGCTTTGGGTGATAATGACATGTCAATGTAGGCTCATCATATGTACCACTCTAATGGGGGATGTTGTTAACACATATGTGGGGACAAGTGGGTATATGGGAAATCTCTGAACCCTCCACTGAATTTTGCTGTGAATCTAAAACAGCTCTACAAAATAAAGTTTGTTAAAAAAAATCCTTTAACAGACTTCTCAGGGAAACGCAAATATCTTATAAATACATGAAAAGATGCTCAACCTCACTCATAAGACAGGTACAGATTAAAAATAACATTTCCACCCATCTGATTGGCAAAGATTAAAAGCTTTGATAATACAATCATGGAAGATACAGGATAAAGGCCGTCATATGTTGTTGATGAGGTTATTAAATGGTATGACCACCTTGAATAGGGAATGCAAACTTTCTTTGCATATTCCCTTTGATCCAGAAGTTTCACCTCTACGCCAGGTGCAGTGGCTGACACCTGTAATCCCAGCATTCTGGGAGGCCAAGGCAGGAGGATCACTTGAGGCCAGGGGTTCAAGACCAGCCTGGCCAACATGGCGAAATCCTGTCTCTACTAAAAATACAAAAATTAGCCAGGCGTGATGGTGCACGCCTGTAGTCCCAGCTACCCAGGAGGCTGAGGCAGGAGAATTGCTTGAACCTGGGAGGCGAAGGTTGCAGTGAGCTGAGATCGTGCCACTGCACTCCAGCTTGGGTGACAGAGTGAGGCTCCATCTCAAAAAACAAAAACAAAAACAAAAAAACCCAAAAGTTCCACCTCTAAAAATCTATCCTATAGATCAGCAGTGCCCAAAAGAAGTATGTGCACCACAAATGCAAGCCATATATAAAATTTTAAATTTTCTAGTAATCATATTAAAAAATACATAGATGAAATTAATTTTATGAATAAAGCATATATATTCATGCATATATTCATATCATTCATATGTGTATATATTCATGCCATTCATACATATGTATATCTGCTTCATTCATCTTTAAAAATCTATATAGATGAATCATAATTTATGTAATCAATCCTTTATTGATGAACATTTCCTTTGCTTCTGATCATCTGCTATGTATAAACAGTGCCACAATAAACATTCTTCTACATTCATTTTCTTTTTTTTTTCTTTTTTGAAACAGAGTTTCACTCTGTAGCCCAGGCTGGAGTGCAGTGGTGTGATCACGGCTCACTGCACTCTCTGACAGAGGAGCCCTCTCTACTTCTGAGCTTCTCCAAAAAATACAATGTCACAAATACAAATATATACACATACACACACACACACATACATATTTTTTTCTTAATATACAAGCACAAGGTTAAAATACACATATTGACTATATATACACATGTATGTGTATATATGTACATCTATATGTGTGTATATATACACGTACATACATATATATATATATATACACATACATACACATAGAATGAGAAGAAGGGAAGGGAGAGGGAGAAAGAAAAAGACAGTCTGTAAGACATATTGTTGTGTGAAATCAGCAAGGCACAGAACACTATTATATAGTACCCTACCATTTATGGAGAAAAAGATGGAGAAGTGACAAACACGTATATATTTATATATGTGTGGACTATCCCTGAACAGAAATGAAAACTGGAAACAGTATTTGCTTCTGAGAAACTGTACTAGGGGACAGAGATGGGACAGATACTTTCTACTGTTTCACTTTTTAACCTTGTGCTTACATATTAAGGAAAAAATATCTTTGAGGGTCCACTATGTGCCAAATATGTTCAACAGCAATGAATATCAAGGCAGACTAAGTCTCTCTACCTACGAACTTACATTTAGGGGATGGGGGTGAGAAGGGTCAAATAAATAAGATAACTCATCATAAAGAAACTAGACCTACAGCCTGGGCAACATAGCAAGACCCTGTCTCTACTAAATATAAAAAAATTAGCTGGGTATGATGGCTCATGCCTGTGGTTGGGAGACTGAGGCAGGAGGATTGCTTGAACCTGGAAGGTTGAAGCTGCAGTGAGCTGTGATTGTGCCACTGCACTCCAGCCTTGGTGACAGAGCAAGACCTTGTCTTAAAAAATAAAAATAAAATAAAATAAAAGAAAGAAAGAGAAAGAGAAGGAAGGAAGGGAGGGAGGTAGGGAGGGAGGTAGGGACGGAGGGAGGGAGGTAAGAAGGAAAAAAAAAAGGCAGGTAAGTGGTACATGCCTATAGCCCCAGCTACTCAAGAGGCTGAGGCTGGAGAATTCCTTGAGTTCAGGATAGCAGAGGCGGTTCCAAGATGGCCGAATAGGAACAGCTCCAGTCTACAGCTCCCAGCAGGACCGACGCAGAAGATGGGTGATTTCTGCATTTCCAACTGAGGTACCGGGTTCATCTCACTGGGGCTCGTTGGACAGTGGGGGCAGGACAGTGGGTGCAGCCCATCGAGTGTGAGTCGAAGCAGGGTGACACATCGCCTCACCCAGGAAGCGCAAGGGGTCATGGAATTCCCTTTCCTGGCAAAGGGAAGGGGTGGCACCTGGAAAATCGGGTAACTCCCACCCTAATATTGCGCTTTTCCAATGGTCTTAGCAAACCGCACACCAGGAGATTATATCCCGAGCCTGGCTCGGAGGGTCCCATGCCCACAGAGCCTCGCTCATTGTTAGCACAGCAGTCTGAGATAGAACTGCAAGGCCGCAGTGAGGCCGGGGGAGGGGCGCCCGCCATTGCTGAGGCTTGAGTAGATAAACAAAGGCCAGGAAGCTCGAACTGGGTGGAGCCCACCACTGCTCAGGGAGGCCTGCCTGCCTCTGTAGACTCCACCTCTGGGGTCAGGGCATAGCCAAACAAAAGGCGGCAGAAACCTCTGCAGACTTAAATGTCCCTGTCTGACAGCTTGGAAGACAGTAGTGGTTCTCCCAGCACGGAGTTTGAGATCTGAGAACGGAGAGACTGCCTCCTCAAGTGGGTTCCTGACCCCCGAGTAGTGCAACTGGGAGGCACCCCCCAGTAGGGGCAGACTGACACCTCACACGGCCGGGTACCCCTCTGAGACAAAGCTTCTAGAGGAACAATCAGGCAGGAACATTTGCTGTTCAGCAATATTCGCTGTTCTGCAGCCTCCACTGCTGATACCCAGGCAAACAGGGTCTGGAGTGGACCTCCAGCAAACTCCAACAGACCTGCAGCTGAGGGTCCTGACTATTATAAGGAAAACTAACAAACAGAAAGGACATTCACACCAAAACCCCATCTGTACGTCACCATCATCAAAGACCAAAGGTAGATAAAACCACAAAGATGGGGAAAAAACAGAGCAGAAAAGCTGAAAATTCTAAAAATCAGAACACCTCTCCCCCTGCAAAGGAACACGGCTCCTTGCCAGCAACAGAACAAAGCTGGACGGAGAATGACTTTGACGAGTTGAGAGAAGAGGGCTTCAGATGATCAAACTTCTCCAAGCTAAAGGAGGAAGTCCGAACCCAACAAAAAGAAGCTAAAAACCTTGAAAAAATATTAGACGACTGGCTAACTAGAATAACCAGGGTAGAGAAGTCCTTAAATGACCTGATGGAGCTGAAAACCATGTCATGAGAACTACGTGACGAATGCACAAGCTTCAGTAGCCCATTTGATCAACTGGAAGAAAGGGTATCAGTGATGGAAGATCAAATGAATGAAATGAAGCAAGAAGAGAAGTTTAGAGAAAAAAGGGTAAAAAGAAATGAACAAAGCCTCCAAGAAATATGGGACTATGTGACAAGACCAAATCTACATCTGATTGGTATACCTGAAAGTGACAGGGAGAATGGAACCAAATTGGAAAACACTCTGCAGGATATTATCCAGGAGAACTTCTCCAACCTAGCAAGGCAGGCCAACATTCAAATTCAGGAAATACACAGAACGCCACAAAGATACTCCTCAAGAAGAGCAACTCCAAGACACATAATTGTCAGATTCATCAAACTTGAAATGAAGGAAAAAATGTTAAGGGCAGCCAGAGAGAAAAGTTGGGTTACTCACAAAGGGAAACCCATCAGACTAACAGCTGATCTCTTGGCAGAAACTCTACAAGCCAGAAGAGAGTGGGGGCCAATATTCAACATTCTTTAAAAAAGAATTTTCAACCCAGAATTTCATATCCAGACAAACTGAGCTTCATAAGTAAAGAATAAAATCCTTTACAGACAAGCAAATGCTGAGAGGTTTTGTCACCACCAGGCCTGCCCTACAAGAGCTCCTGAAGGAAGCACTAAACATGGAAAGGAACAACCGGTACCAGCCACTGCAAAAACATGTCAAATTGTAAAGACTATTAATGCTAGGAAGAAACTGCATCAACTAACGAGCAAAATAACCAGCTAACATCATAATGACAGGATCAAATTCACACATAACAATATTAACCTTAAATGTAAATGGGCTAAATGCTCCAATTAAAAGACACAGACTGGCAAATTGGATAAAGAGTCAAGACCCATCAGTGTGCTGTATTCAGGAGACGCATCTCACGTGCAGATACACACATAGGCTCAAAATAAAGGGATGGAGGAAGATCTACCAAGCAAATGGAAAACAAAAAAAGGCAGGGGTTGCAATCCTTAGAGATCTACAAAGAGACTTAGATTCCCACACAATAATAATGGGAGACTTTAACACCCCACTGTCAACATTAGACAGATCAACGAGACAGAAAGTTAACAAGGATAGCCAGGAATTGAACTCAGCTCTGCACCAAGCAGACCTAATAGATATCTACAGAACTCTCCACCCCAAATCAACAGAATATACATTCTTCTCAGCACCACATTGCACTTGTTCCAAAATTGACCACATACTTGGAAGTAAAGCACTCCTCAGCAAATGTAAAAGAACAGAAATTATAACAAACTGTCTCTCAGACCACAGTGCAATCAAACTAGAACTCAGGATTAAGAAACTCACTCAAAACCACTCAACTACATGGAAACTGAACAACCTGCTCCTGAATGACTACTGGGTACATAATGAAATGAAGGCAGAAATAAAGATGTTCTTTGAAACCAAATGAGAACAAAGACACAACATACCAGAATCTCTGGGACACATTTAAAGCAGTGTGTAGAGGGAAATTTATAGCACTAAATGCCCACAAGAGAAAGCAGGAAAGATCTAAAATTGACACCCTAACATCACAATTAAAAGAACTAGAGAAGCAAGAGCAAACACATTCAAAAGCTAGCAGAAGGCAAGAAATAACTAAGATCAGAGAAGAACTGAAGGAGATAGAGACACAGAAAACCCTTCAAAAAATTAATGAATCCAGATCAACAAAACTGACAGACCGCTAGCAAGACTAATAAAGAAAAAAAGAGAGAAGAATCAAATGGACACAATAAAAAATGATAAAGGGGATATCACCACCAATCCCACAGAAATACAAACTACCATCAGAGAATACTATAAACACCTCTATGCAAATAAACTAGAAGAAATGGATAAATTCCTGGACACATACACCCTCCCAAGACTAAACCAAGAAGAAGCTGAATCCCTGAATAGACCAATAACAGGCTCTGAAATTGAGGCAATAATCAATAGCCTACCAACCAAAAAAAGTCCAGGACCAGACGGATTCACAGCCGAATTCTATTGGAGGTATAAGGAGGAGCTGGTACCATTCCTTCTGAAACTATTCCAATCAATAGAAAAAGAGGGAATCCTCCCTAACTCATTTGATGAGGCCAGCATCATCCTGATACCAAAGCCTGGCAGAGACACAACAAAAAAAAAGAGAATTTTAGACAAATATTCCTGATAAACATCAATGCAAAAATCCTCAATAAAATACTGGCAAACCGAATCCAGCAGCACATCAAAAAGCTTATCCACCATGATCAAGTGGGCTTCATCCCTGGGATGTAAGGCTGGTTCGACATATGCAAATCAATAAATGTAATCCAGCACATAAACAGAACCAAAGACAAAAACCACATGATTATCTCAATAGATGCAGAAAAGGCCTTTGACAAAATTCAACAGCCCTTCATGCTAAAAACTCTCAATAAATTAGGTATTAATGGGATGTATTTCGAAATAATAAGAGCTATTTATGACAAACCCACAGCCAATATCATACTGAATGGGCAAAACCTGGAAGCATTCCCTTTGAAAACTGGCACAAGACAGGGATGCTCTCTCTCACCACTCCTATTCAACATAGTGTTGGAAGTTCTGGCCAGGGCAATCAGGCAGGAGAAAGAAATAAAGGGTATTCAGTTAGGAAAAGAAGAAGTCAAATTGTCCCTGTTTGCACATGACATGATTGTATATTTAGAAAACCCCATCGTCTCAGCCAAAATCTCCTTAAGCTGATAAGCAACTTCAGCAAAGTCTCAGGATACAAAATCAATGTGGAAAAATCACAAGCATTCTTATACACCAATAACAGACAAACAGAGAGCCAAATCATGAGTGAACTCCCATTCACAATTGCTTCAAAGAGAATAAAATACCTAGGAATCCAACTTACAAGTGATGTGAAGGACCTCTTCAAGGAGAACTACAAACCACTACTCAACGAAATAAAAGAGGACACAAACAAATGGAAGAACATTCCATGCTCATGGATAGGAAGAATCAATATTGTGAAAATGGCCATACCACCCAAGGTAATTTATAGATTCAATGCCATCCCCATCAAGCTACCAATGACTTTCTTCACAGAATTGGAAAAAACTACTTTAAAGTTCATATGGAACCAAAAAAGAGCCTGCATTGCCAAGTCAATCCTAAGCCAAAAGAGCAAAGCTGGAGGCATCACACTACCTGACTTCAAACTATACTACAAGGCTACAGTAACCAAAACAGCATGGTACTGGTACCAAAACAGAAATATAGACCAATGGAACAGAACAGAGCTCTCAGAAATAATACCACACATCTACAACCATCTGATCTTTGACAAACCTGACAAAAACAAGAAATGGGGAAAGGATTCCCTATTTAATAAATGGTGCTGGGAAAACTGGCTAGCCATATGTAGAAAGCTGAAACTGGATCCCTTCCTTACACCTTATACAAAAATTAATTCAAGATGGATTAAAGACTTAAATGTTAGACCTAAAACCGTAAAAATCCCAGAAGAAAACCTAGGCAATACCATTCAGGACATAGGCATGGGCAAGGACTTCATGTCTAAAACACCAAAAGCAATGGCAACAAAAGCCAAAATTGACAAATGGGATCTAATTAAACTAAAGAGCTTCTGCACAGCAAAATAAACTACCATCAGAGTGAACAGGCAACCTACAGAATGGGAGAAACTTTTTGCAACCTACTCATCTGACAAAGGGCTAATATCCAGAATCTACAAATAACTCAAACAAATTTACAGGAAAAAAACAACCCCATCGAAAAGTGGGCAAAGGATATGAACAGACACTTCTCAAAAGAAGACATTTATGCAGCCAACAGACACATGAAAAAATGCTCATCATCACTGGCCATCAGAGAAATGCAAATCAAAACCACAATGAGATACCATCTCACACCAGTTAGAATGGCGATCATTAAAAAGTCAGGAAACAACAGGTACTGGAGAGCATGTGGAGAAATAGGAACACTTTTACACTGTTGGTGGGACTGTAAACTAGTTCAACCATTGTGGAAGACAGTGTGGCGATTCCTCAAGGATCTAGGACTAGAAATACCATTTGACCCAGCAATCCCATTACTGGGTATATACCCAAAGGATTATAAATCATGCTGCTATAAAGGCACATGCACACGTATGTTTATTGCGGCACTATTCACAATAGCAAAGACTTGGAACCAAGCCAAATGTCCAACAATGATAGACTGGATTAAGAAAATGTGGCACATATACACCATGGAATACTATGCAGCCATAAAAAAGGATGAGCTCATGTCCTTTGTAGGGACATGGATGAAGCTGGAAACCATCATTCTCAGCAAACTATCTCAAGGACAAGGAACCAAACACCACATGTTCTCATTCATAGGTGGGAATTGAACAATGAGAACACTTGGACACAGGAAGGGGAACATCACACACCGGGGCCTGTTGTGGGGTGGGGGGATGGGGGAGGGAAAGCATTTGGAGATATACCCAATGTAAATGATGAGTTAATGGGTGCAGCACACCAACATGGCACATGTATACATATGTAACAAACCTGCACGTTGTGCACATGTACCCTAGAACTTAAAGTATAAAAAAAAAAAAAAAAGAATCCCTTGAGTTCAGGAGTTTGAGGCTACAGTGATCATACCACTGTACTCCAGCCTGGGCAACAGAGTGAGACCCCATCTCTTAAAAAAAAAAAAAGGAAGAAGCAGCGATAAGTTCTGTGAAAGAAATAAGATGGCAAGAAAGAGTCACTGATGGAAGCCATTTTAGATAAGGTAGCCAGGGAAGATCCTTCAAGGAAGCACTATCTGAGTAGGAACCCAAAGGATAAAAATAAGCAAGTTGGCAAGATTTGGGGAAGAGCAATCCAAGCAGACGACAAAACAATTATAAAGTCTCAGAGGTGGGAAAGGGCTTGCTATGTTGGAGGAGCTGGAGAACAGAAGGGAGCAGTGGTATGACTGGAATGCAGTGAGCGCAGGAAGGGAAGGAATGAAGAAACAGGCATGAGGCAGATTATGCAGACTTATAAGCTCCAAGGCAAGGGGGTTGGGTTTTATCAAAAGAATAAGAAGCCACTGAAGAACTTTAAGCAGGAAAGTTCATATTCTAAGAGATCATCTGTCTGCTTTGTGGAGAATGGATTGCAGGGAGAACAATGGAAGCAGGGAAGAGACCAATTAGGATGCTTAGGTTCAGATAGAAGACAACAATGGTTTAGAATGATGATTGGTAGAGGATATGGGCAGAGGTAAGTGTATTCAACTTCTATTTTAGACATAGCATCTGTAGAACCCGTTAGTAGATAAAATGTTAGGGAAAGGAAGTAATAAAAAATGATCCTTGGTTTTTGTTTGGGTGGGTGGTAATGTTAATTTACAGAGATAACAGACTGAAGGAGGACCACTCTTAGGTGTATATGTTGTGGGGGAATCAAGAACTCTGTTCTAGAGACACTAATTTTGAGGTGTCTGTTAGACATCCCAATGTATCAAGTAGGCAGTTGGCTATGTAGTCAGATGATCAGAGAAGAGATGTGGGTTCTTGGCTTTCTTTGACAGTGGACCTATAATTCCTTGCACTCTTTTATCTCTTTGGTTTTTATGACACCAATCTCGTTTAGTCTTTCAAAAGAAGACAACAATGGTTTAGAATGGTGATGGTAGAGGATATGATATGGGCAGAGGTAAACATATTCAACCTCTATTTTAGACATAGAATTTGTAGAAGACTCTCCTAACTCCAGCTTCTCTTCTTCCCTTCCTTTAAAGTTGATATTCCCTAGGGATCCATTCTTGACCTTTTTCCTTTCTGCTCTATACTCTCTCTGGGCTACTCATGCAAGTAAAGGATGTCCAAATAATCTTATATGCTCTAACATGTGTGGTGACCCACAACTCTATAACTTAAGTCCACATTTCTCCCCTGAGCTACAAGTCTATATATCCAACTACCTATAGGACATTGCTACCTGGTTGACCCAAACACCTTGAACTTAATATGTCCCAAACTGAATTAATCACGCTTCTTCTCTGTCCCTATGAATGGTAACACTGTTCTTCACTTAGCTGACCAGGGCCAAAATCTTACATTAGCATTTAAATCTTTCTGCCAGTAAGACAGAGCTCGGTATGTCTGCAGTCCTCCAACATAAGAAGAAAAACAAATACAAGAACACAGGCTTATGACCCACCCAGAAGCCCCAAATCGTGGTTCAATACTGTGCTGCATTCTTCTATTTCCCCTCCAGAGCCACTTTTCACCCTTCTCCATTCTGCTTTCTGTCACAGAGGCTGACCCATCAAGTGGAATCCTGTGGCCAAGAAGCAGCTCCGGCAGAAAGTCAGAGAGAGAGGAGAGTGAGGATAAGGTACCATTCCTCTGGTTCTGTTGTTGAAAACTCCGATTCATTTTTCAAGTACTTGCTGCAATGTGACTTTATGAAACGGTAGAGAGGATGGATTTAGGAAGGGATAGAGAAATCAAGGACAATTAGGAATAAAAGAACTAAAGAAGACATTTTTGTAATTGTACACATTGAGAAGTAATAAATACCATTAGGGATACACATTCTTTGAGGACCAGCCTCAGTGTTTTTAACTTTCTGTTCCCAATGTCTAGCTCTGCTCTCCAGTATAGAAAACATACTCAACACATATTATTTGAATAAAAAAGATGAACTATAAGATAAGCAAAGGTCAGGAGTCCAAGGTTTACCTTGTATCCATTGTCTTCCTTGCGGTTGTGAGAGGCAGTAATCATCACACCTGCAACTGCTTTGAGCTTCTGAACTGCATATGGCTGAAAAATAAATAACACCATAATTCCATTTTGCTTCCTAGCTATTTACACATTTGACATGAGAATAATTTTGATTAAATAACAGGAAAAGCATTATAGTATGATATTGCTTTTGTTGATACCCTCTTTATTTTCTATTTACTTGATTTTTCCTCATACCTTTATTATAAGATTTCCTTCCTTTTACTTTTTTGGATTTCTTCTGTTTTAGCACAAACATGTTAAGTGAAAGCCAACTTATTATTTTAAAATCTTTTTTTTCCTTATATATTCATTAAGGCTATACATTTCCCTCTAAGTAGGGCTTTAGTTATATCCCATAATTTTTGCTATGTATTATTTTCATTATTGCTCACTTTTAAATACCTACAGGCAGTCCTTGCTTTGCTCAGTTCCTATACACAAAATTACTGATACTATGCTTTTGTTAAAATAGCTCCAGTCTCCCAACAACACGTTCAAATTTCAGTTACCACGGTAATATTAGCCATAACTGCATCAAGTACACACTTGGCTTCTAACTCTTCAGTCCACACATCCCTACATTTATAACACAGCCACATCATGATGAGTGATCAATCATATCACTCTTCAAAAGGGTGTCAGTGATTGGTCACTGAGCATCTGTTACTTAGCGCTCACACAAACTGCAAAACATGTGGCTCTATTGCCTCCTTTTCTCCCAATAATAGACCCACATGACAGTGTACAAAAATGGATAATGGAAAGTGGGAATTGGCCAACAAAGGTGAAAGTGCAGCAAAGAAACAAAAAGGAGTAATAATAGAGAGAAATTTGAATTAAACATAAATGGAGTTATAGAAAAAATAAGTGGGAATGCTGACACTGCTGCCATTCAAGAGACTTTAGACATACTACCAGGGAAGTGTAGTGAAGGGGAACACATGGATTAAACGAGGAACGAGGCTGTAATGAGAAGGATGAAGATGTCCCAGAGGAAGTGACACCAACAAAAAAAACCTTCATATTAAAGGAACTCCCAGAGATATTTCACGACATTGAAATTAACAAAGGATAAGATGCTGGAAGTGAATCCAAACTCAGAAAGGTATATTAACAATTTGCCAAGGCACAGAAAAGATGCTTGCTTGTAATATAAATAAATTATAACCACAAGAAGCAAGCTCTGTTTATCTCCTGATAAGTTTTATTAATTTATTTATTTATTGACATGGAGTCTTGCTCTGCTGTCCAGGCTGGAGTTCAGCGGCACAATCTCAGCTCACTGCAATCTCTGCCTCTCAGGTTCAAGCAACTCTCGTGCCCCAGCCTCCTGAGTAGCTGGGATTACAGGCGTGCACCACCACACCTGGCTAATTTTTGTATTTTTAGTAGAGATGGGGTTTCGTTGTGTTGGTCAGGCTGGTCTCAAACTCCTGACCTCAGGTGATCCACACACCTTGGCCTCCCAAAGTGCTGGGATTACAGGCATGAGACATTGCCCCTGGCCTCCTGATAAGTTCTTTTTACAAAGAAATAAAGTACTTTAGTTATCAATGTTTCTTAACGTTTTAAATTACAATGTACTAAATAAACATTCATTTTATCATTGTTTTTTCTTTTCCCTATACATTTTTAACCAAGAGTAAGAGTGTTTTTAATGTTTTGGCAAAAAAAAATGTTAAAGGTCATGGAACAGTCATAATTTTTCTCATTTATGATTAAGATCATTTGGCATGGTTTTGGCTTGTACAGCTGTCTTTATAGCCCCCACGCTCCGTGCAAAGCAAGGACTGTCTGTCATTGCTAATCTGCATTATGTTATCTTCCTTAATCCATGAATAGTTTATGAATGTGTTTTAAAAATTCCAAACAGGGGAAGATTTATGGGCTTTTTTATTTCTGATTTTATTGCATGGGATCCAGGTATATGGCTTGATAAGCAGTTCTTTGGCATTTGCTGAGACTGTGATTCTGCTTAATAATAATGTAAATCCTATTGTCACTCAATAGAGAATTTTTACACACATACACACACACACACCCAGATCAAGCCTGTTAACAATGTGTTCAAATCTATCCTTCATCATTTTTGTCTGCCCAATGAATCAATTTCTGAAAGAAGATGTTAACATATTTCACTATAACTGTAGACTTGTCAACTTTTATAGATCAAGTTCTTAGCTAAGTTTAACAAATGTCTGTTGAATGAAAATAAACTCAAAGCAAAATTTGTTTTCCTTCCATTGGTCCCTTATATTACTCAATACAGAACTACATGCACAAAAAATATTTGAATCCTAGTTGATTTAAGAAATGTTTTCAAGAGCAGCAAGCTATATGATCACCAACACAACACACTTACTACAAAAGGTGTAGGAACATATCTTGAAAAAAGGTACACAGGAACATCTTTGGCCAGCAAGACTGCAGCAGTGAGTTTAGCAAGCCTAAAAAAAGAGAGATTTAACTTAGTCCTTTGCCTACCATACTTTTTAAAAACCAACCTTCCACATAAATGTTTCATATTATAATTAGTCTGAATAAATAGTATCCTAATATAGCCCTTTCTTATAATCACTGATTATTTAAACTTCATGCCCTAATTGGAAAATTTTAAATAAATAAGTTTTTTTAAAAGAAGAGTTTAACAACTAACATAATTGATATTTCAATTTCCTCTTTTTCCCTCATTCATCTTTTGATGGCTCTTTTACTAAGAAATAAAATCTGCAAAAGGCAAAAAGAATGGAAAAAGTGATATAAGAGACTTTGATAAACTCAATATGCATTATTACCCCTGAAGAAAGATATCACTACATGATTATCTATTTATAAAAACACCCTAAAACTAATCTAATAGGCATATAATGAGAATATAAGCTACATAATTACTACTACCCGGTGCCTTTGCCAAAATATTAAAGTTATAAGCTATGATGTCATTCTAAATATGAACTCTAAATATTTTAAATTTTTACTTCTTTCTGTAAAATCTAAAGCTTTTCTTTGAGATACTTTTTCTTCTATTTCAGCTTTAAAGTAAATATTAGCATGTGATCACATTTCTATCTGACAGTCTACTGTTTCAGAAATCCTACTACTAGACAAAAAAATGTTTTAAATATGTTTTATTCTATTTCAACTTAATCTTTGAAACAATTAACTTTGTACCTCTGGCTGCTGCAGCTGCTAGTTACTTGACCCCGAGTGTCATACCCAACCACAAAGCCTCTCTGCTTGAAGTCTGAGAAACATCTCTCAAGGTATTTGTACATCCCCTGAAGCAAATAAACACAAAAGATTAGTTCTAATGGATGCTTGCATTTCATATGACTCAGAATCTCTTATTTTTATGTTTGCTGTGCAGCTGACTGGCTGCTAGGGAAGTGGCTTCTGCCTTTATGCCCATGTTTACCAGTGTGGGAGCAATACTGTTCAATCCAGAAATGTAAGATGACAAACATGTCCTGGAGTTTCAGACACATTTAATACCATGGAAATACCGATTTAGTAACCACTACTAAACCACTAAATCCAATACAATAAGTAAAACATTAGGAAAAGCAGAAGAAACATGAGCGTCAATAAGCTAAAAAAAAAAAAAAGATTAGAAGAGCCAACATAAAATTGTTTCTTGTCTGAAGGCTCTAGAAAACAGAATTTTAATTGTCTTAAGTCCTTGCTAGATCATATGATTGAAGTTAACCAAAAGATTTGACCTATTTATGATGTAAACATTTTTAATCAGCAACACAGTTCTTCACTAGAACATTTCTTATGATGGATGATCCCATTTGTAATTCTTTGGTTTTAAAATCTCACAGAAAAATAACACCATAGACTAGGAAAATTTGCAGTCATGGATGACAAAATAATGAAAAAGTATTTCATATTGAAAACATCACAATGACAAACTAAAACCATTTAACTATCTCATGAATTATTTAACTTTAATAAATACTTTAATATCTAAAAATAACATTTTAACATTTTATATTATTACAGTCCTTTAAAATTAGTTCTACATAAAAGATGGGACATGTAATCCTAACACCCTGAAAAGAAAGAAACGCAGACACCATTTCTAATTTGGTCTCTTTCAATATTTCTTTTAAGAATAGGAGACAATAAGATTAAAGCTCCATGTAATGTCATGCCTAAGGCCATTCATTCAACTAAAACTAAGTTATACTGATTTATTGAAGACCTATTATATGGCAGGCACTGCTAAATAAGTATGTGGTAGCACCAAACAAAGTCCCAGTGACTTCTGGTGCCTGAGTCTCTCAAGTACAATTAATTTCCCCAACCTATAAGCTATGAGTGAGTGCATGCTTAGTATATCAGCTGGATTCAACAACTTATTTCTCATGGTGATACTATCCTAAAACCTCATAGACCCTCATATTAATCTCTGCTATCAGAATGCATCTTATTTCTCTATATGCATTAGGTTGGTGGAAAAGTAATTGTAGTTTTTGCCATTAAAAAAAATGACCAAAACCTCAATTACTTTTGCACCAACCTAATAGAGTGAAAAGGGCTAGGGCTTAAGAATCAGATTCCATCCAGCTTTTCCACTTCACACCATGGAATCCCAAATCCAGTGAAAATGTGCACTTCTGTAGAAATTGCTTTTCAAACACCTCCCCCACCCCTTTTTGTAAAGTCAAGAAATCTTTACTTCGAATCAAAGCATATGAAGAGACTAAATGTATAAGAAAAGAATGAACTAAAGCATCTCTGGTTGAGGAATAGGGGGAGGTGTGGGTGAGGAAGGAGGGCAGGTATTCTACCTATGTAACCATCCTGTCATTCCTTCTCTCCTACCCCTGCATTAGGCCTTGGCTTTAGAGAATTCTCTCAGAATAAGGTTAAAGATGATTTACTGTTTGGGAGTATCAATTAGAATTATGTCTACTGAACAATTCTCTAGCCCAGAACTATTTTTAGTATAAGCTAAATACATTATTGGCCTCAAAAGTATAGTTATTTGAAACAGGATGATTCACTGCAAAGAGAAGCAATTTGTTTCTAGAGTGAGCTGCATAACAATGGAGAGAAGTAACACAAATTATATCATATTACACAACTAATATTAACTCTCATGTGGATATAGAAAACCACATAAAGGATATGTGATAGAGGAAAATATTTTCAACTAAATTTTCCAAATACTCTGGTTAACCTTTATAAATGGCCATATGCCAAAATGAGTAATTATTTTCTTCTATCTAAGTTTGTTTCTTTGTATTAATTGGATATGCTAATATACATTTCTTGGTTTCAAATGCAAAGCAACATTGTTAAGAAGTTGACAATGGCAACCAAAATAACGCTTAATCAGAAAGTCAGTCTGTGACCATGAAGATACATAAATGACTTCTAAAATCTTGAGCAAGACTAAAGGTCAGAATTGAGTCTACAGTTTTTACTTACATAACAGTAACTTCTGGGAAATAAAGTTTTGTGTGTGTGTGCGTTTAGAATGGCACTACCTAATTTATAAAGCCAAAAAAAAAAAAAAAAAAAACCAGACTGAGAAAAAGTACACTTTTTTTTTGAGACAGAGTCTCGCTCTGTTGCCAGGCTGGAATGCAGTGGCGCGATCTCGGCTCACTGCAACCTCCGACTCCCAGGTTCAAGCGATTCTCCTGCCTCAGCCTCCCGGGTAGCTGGGACTACAGGCACACGCCATCATGCCCACCTAATTTTTGTATTTTTAGTAGAGACGGGGTTTCACCATGTTGGCCAGGATGATCTCGATCTCTGGACCTCGTGATCTGCCCGCCTCAGCCTCCCAAACTGCTGGGATTACAGGCATGAGCCACCATGTCCAGTCAAAAGTACACTCTTAATACTTTATAATACTTACCTGTGTTGACTGTATTACTGTAAGGTCATTAATATAGCAAAACCCTGCCCCCATGGCAGAACGAAGTCCTGCAGTCCCAAAAGTCATTCGGCAACAAAGACGATCTCGCAGCTCCTTGTTCATCCCATTCCGTAACAGGTTTTCAATCTGCTCTTTTGTTTTGGGATTCTATAAAAAAGAAGTATTAAAACTTAACCAGGAATCCAAGCAGAGTCCTAATATTAAGCCCTTCTGAGGGGTCAATATGTACATATCACAAGGTTCAACATTCAATATAAATTCCACAGTGCTACTTCTTTGTATGTATAATAAAATAATACCTGCCATTCACTGAGTCCCCAAAGGAGAAAGGGCCTGTTGAGGGTGATTTATATATCTTTTAATTTTATAGTATTTGTATAGCATATCAAAGAATGTTCTTTTAAAATAATTGATATTTAAGAGCTTTGAATCCAAAATAAACCTCTTAGTAAAAAACGACATCAATTAAGTTAGAGTCTATGTTAGGTTTCAATCATAGTTCACTGTAACCTCAAACTCCTGGGCTCAAGTGATCTAGCCTCAGCCTCTTGAGTAGCTGGGACTACAGGTATGTGCCACTACACCTGGCTAATACATTAAGTTTTAAGAGAAATAGAGACACTACTGGATAAATACCATCAAAACATGCCTACCAGTTACCTGCCTAGACCTCTGCAATTCAAAATGAATTCTACTCCTTAAAAATCACAGAAAACGATTCAATTTATCTATGGCACAAGTTGACCATAAAAACGTTTTATGTGTTAAGTGTGAATTTAATTAAGAATGAGAATACAAATTCATTCCAAACACGGTTTGTGAGGCAGTGCATGCCAACATCTATATTTGGGATTCTGTATTTCATTGTCGTGTACTTTAACTTATTTTCATAAATCTCAAGAATACCTGTCACTGAAAATGGTGCTTCACAAAAGAATATCAAATTTCAAATAGAAATGCATTTATAATAACAGTAAGACTTACATGGAATTTTCCAATATTTTCTTTTTGGAAAAGTCAAATATTAAGGAAATAAGATGAAACATAACTTCTCTCTTCAAGATTAATATGAATTCAGTCCATTCTATTTGCTTCTTCAACATCCATAGTATATACAATGATAATGAATATTCAGAATAATAAACCAGTGCACATAAAAGGTGCTAAATATTACAGTATATTTGTCCTTAGAAATACATAAAAACATATTAATATACAATTTAAACAAAATGGTTTTCTGGTTATAGTAGAAATTAAAGTAACCAGAGTACATGGCCAAACTAATGAGAAGTTGAATGAGATTAACTGAAATTTTAATCTGCTTAAAACTAATGGATGATATATAAAATCCAGACTCAAGCAGTTTCTGTTTCATAAATGGCACACACTAACAAATAACCTACATAAAAATATGAATAGCTATTATGGAAAAATATGAATAACAATATCTGGGATATTATCATGTCTAAGATACCATGATATTTCATAGAGAGGCCAAAGAGAGTTGAAGAGGGCTAACATTTAAAGATGGGCATAAGAATGGCAAAAATTGAATAGACTCTTCACGTTTAGAGGGTACATAGCACTGTAATACCCTGCTAGTAGGAATGTAAACTGGGATAGTCTTTTTACAGTGCTTTTACAGCAAGTATCAAATTTTAAATTGCACATGCCTTTTGGCCCATAGATTTCTGTCCACAAAAATACCTTCACATGAACAATAACATTTATTCATATAAGAATGTTCACTGCAGCATCTGTATGGATAGTATTATTATTAATATTACTATTGTGTAGACGAAGAAACTAAGATTTAGAGAGGGAGCCTAGTATCACTGAGGTGGCATTGGAAATTTAGACAGGATGGGAACCTAGGCTGGGCTGGCTCTAAAGCCTACACCATCTCACTACAGACAAACAAAATAATTGTGTTGGGGTGTTAATAATGCTTCTGATAACAATTTAACTCCAGTTACAAAGCAAAACGATATTCCTTTTTATAACAAGTATAGTGTGTGTGTATATATATATAGTATGTATATATAGTATAATGTGTATATAGTATATATGTGTGTATATATACAGTATGTATATATGTATATATGTAGTATGTATATATATCTAATGAGTATATATGTGTATATACACATTATGCATATATGTATGTATATATACGTATGTATACACACACACATATATAAATGATCCAGCAGACATAAATGCTGTTGGTTACTGAGTATACTTCCTAATGTTTAACTGCACAGCTACTAGAGTAGGGCCTAAAAATTCCATTCCCAGTTACAGACTTCACAACCAGTACTAACCTAATTCCTGGTTGTTGAAAAACTGGTAAGTTAGAGAAAAATAAAAATGAATAAAAAATCATGATATACTAGACATAATAAATACATTTGTATGGCAAAAAAAGCTAAATAATTATGACAACTGGCATTTGAAATCTACTTTACACTCAGATTTCTCCCCTATTTAACAGTGAGACATTAATTTAGATGTTGATGTTATAAACTTTTAAAAATATAACCTAAAAAACTATCTATGCAGCCATAATTATCACATATTCTCCATTCAGATGAACTTACATTTGTATTTTTTTGCTAAAGTCAATATATCACTACGATTTTATAAACTATAATATATGAAGATTCTAAAGAATTATAAACTAATTATCATTATTATTATTTCTTTTTTTTTTTTTTGAGACGGAGTCTCGCTCTGTCACCCAGGCTGGAGAGCAGTGGCGCGATCTCGGCTCACTGCAAGCTCCGCCTCCCGGGTTCACACCATTCTCCTGCCTCAGCCTCCCGAGTAGCTGGACTACAGGCGCCCGCCACCACGCCCAGCTAATTTTTTGTACTTTTAGTAGAGACGAGGTTTCACCGTGTTAGCCAGGATGGTCTCGATCTCCTGACCTCATGATACGCCCACCTTGGCCTCCCAAAGTGCTGGGATTACAGCCGTGAGCCACCGCGCCGGCCAACTAATTATTTTTAAATGAAATTTTTATGTAGAACTCAGGTATAGTAAATGAAAAGGAGAGCAGAAGAGTATATACAGTGTTTTCATTTCTATAAAAAGAGGTATGTGTATATTTATATATCATCTAGAAGTATTCCATGCAAATATAAGAGACTAAAAATAGTGATTACCTCTGAAGGGGATATTAGGCATGGGGTTTCAAGTAGAAAAGTGACTTATTTTTATTGGATAGCCATGATGCTGTTTGGATATTTTATGTATATATCACTTTTTTATGGTTAAAAACTAGTTAGGTATTCATGATGGCTGAGAAAAACCACTACTTGTGTGTCTATGTGAATAATTTTTTACCTCACAAATTGCTCTCCTTTTCCCATTCACAGAAAGCTACTGATAAGATCTGAATCTATAAAACATATATTGGCTTTCTCTCAAATGCAAATTATTGTTTGCTTTCTGAATGTGCTCTCTTATTTACAATTCACTGATTACTTGGGGGTAGAAGCCTAGTCAGGAAAAAAAAAAAAGAGGAGGAAGACAGTAGGAAAACTATTTGACTGACCTGCTTTGAAGAAACATACATACCAGGCTGGGCACATTGGCTCATGCCTGTAATCCCAGCACTTTGGGAGGTCGAGGCGGGCGGATCACCTGAGGTCAGGAGTTCAAGACCAGTCTGGCCAACATGGCGAAACCTTGTCTCTACTAAAAATACAAAAATTAGCTGGGCATGGTAGCATGTGCCTGTAGTCCCAGCTACTTGGGAGGCTGAGGCAGGAGAATCACTTGAACTAGGGAGGCAGAGGTTTTAGTGAGCCGAGATTGCGCCACTGCACTCCAGCCTGGGCAACAGAGTAAGACTCCGTCTCAATTAAAAAAAAAAGAAAAAGAAAAAGAAATATACACACTGACCTATTATATAAAATGAAAATTAATTATTTAGAAAGTAAATGCATTCAATCTGAAATAAATTTGCTTTTAACTAGCATATCTTAGAATCCTAACAATTTTAGTACTCCAAAAAAGTAATCCTGCAGAAAATCCAAAAGATCTTAGTGACTACTAGCATTTCTCTGTACTTCATCAGTAATAAAGCTAATTGTTTAGTATGAAATCAGTAAGGTGCAGAATACAGAAAAAAGCCATACATTATTTTCAAATTTTACCTGTATACCAAAAATTTTCCTTTAGGTTCTAATCCTATGGTTTGCTTCAACTTTACATGGCTGAAATGAAGAAAAGAAAGTGTCTTCTTACATAGTACTTGTGGAGTTTTCTTTTTTCTATATTGTAGAACCATAAGGCCCAAATTCAAAGAAAACATGAAAGAATTGATTTTTCCAAAACCACTTAAAAAAATTAACTTCTTACAAACTTTCACAGATGTGCAGAAGGTTACACACCAGACCAAAATTCACATCAACTCTGCCTGCTGACCAATGAAAGTATTAACATTCACTTATGAAGGATCATTTTGAACTTGCCCAAGTTTTCTGAACCTATTCTGTTCATAACTAGGGACTTCTATATTATTTATGTATAATAAATATAAATGTCTATAAAAGAGTGTAAAAAAAGTAATCAAGTTTGCCAATGAGAAGTGCGTTAGTTTGTCTGCATTGGTATAAAGGAATACTTGAGGCTGGGTAATTTATAAAGAAATAAGTTTTATTTGGCTCATGGTTCTGCAGGCTGTACAAGCACAGCACCAGCATCTGCTCCACTTCTGGTGAGGCCCAGGAAGCTTTTAGTCATCGCAGAAGGGAAGGATAGCCAGCCTATCACATGGTGAAGGAGGGAACAAAAGAGAGCTGCCAGGCTCTTCAACAATCAGCCCTCATGTGAACTAACAGAGTGACAACTCCTTATTATCACCAGCAGAGAACCAAGCTATTCATGAGGGAACCACCTCCATGACCCAAACGCCTCCCACCAGGACCCACCTCCAATATTGGAGGTCACATTTCAACATGAGATTTACAGGGGACAAAACAGCCAAACCATATTAAAGAGTTTGCCTGTAAATCTTTTTTCCTACTTATCTTATAAACCTACTATTTTAATAATTCTAACACAATTTGAATCTACTCTATTAGTATTCTAGTACAAAACCTAACAGCTTAAATACACTCAAAAACATGAATCGTATTGTTTAGAAGATTGGAACAGATCTAAAAGAACATAATATATATTAAAAATCCCAAATTCAGGCTGGGCGCGGTGGCTTATGCTTGTAATCCCAGCACTTTGGGAGGCTGAGGTGGATGGCTCACCTGAGGTCAGGAGTTTGAGACCAGCCTGGACAACATGGTAAAACCCCGCCTCTACTAAAAATACAAAAAATTAGCCAGGTATGGTGGTGGGCACCTGTAATCCCAGCTATTCGGGAGGCTGAAGCAGGAAAATTGCTTGAATGTGGGAGGCGGAGGTTAGAGTGAGCCGAGATCATGACATTTGCACTCCAGCCTGGACAACAAGAGTGAAATTCTGTCTAAAAAAAAATCCCAAATTCTAATATTGTTACACATCTAAAGGGGAGCCAATATACAAAATTGACTCTTAAGAACTCAAATACTTCTAAAGTTGCAAAATTGTACATAACATTTTTAAATGTTACTGACAGAGACTTGTGTCTAAATAATAAATACCAGTTTTATATAACTACAGAGAAAAACATTTTTATTTTGTTTATCTATTTATTATTTTGCCCCTCATCTTGAATGAAAGACAAACAAATTTTAAAGTTTATTTCTAACCAGAAGTTAAAACAGGAAAGTGCAATCTGAAAATCTGAAAGGTAAACACAGCTGACATTTACTTCTGAGGGTAAGCCGATTTGAAGATCCAAGTCTAGAGTCTTGGAGCAGAACAGCTTTTCTAAATCAGATGTTTCTTTATTAAGTCCAAAATATATTCATGCTAAACCAATCATTCTTTCCTATTTAAATAATTTTTGTGTAATTCTAAATTTAATTTCCTTATCTTTAAAAAATTGGTAGAAATTAACATAAATTTGGCTTAGATAAAAAACTTGAATATAAAATATACTCATCATATAAAATGAGATTTATTTGAATAATTGCTTAATAAACACAAAAATCATATCCATGAAATGAAGTACTAATTACCCCCAAAGTAGAAAATAATCCTTGAAATATTATCATTTAAGAATATTAGATATACCAAATTAGTGTGAAAAATTTAAAAAAGTTAATTATTTTGTTTCAAAAAAACCTATCTTTTTTTAAAAAAACTATAATTTTAACAAAGCACATACATTGAGCTCAATTTTACTGTTCAATGACATAGTCTAACTTGTCTCTGTTAAGTTTTAAGTAAAAAATATTTCTCATATAAGGTAGTCAACATAAAATATTTCAAATGTTTATTGTCTTTCTACAACTATTCTGACACATCATACTTTTCTTGACCAACAAAGAATCCAATTATTGGCTAATGTGCTCAGTAGACCACTGCAGGAGAGAAAGATCACTGAACTATAATTCTAGAAGGTTTGGCCCTGATCTTGAGTCAGCAATTGCTTAGCTAGATCATCCTGAACAAGTCACTTCACCTTTCCTTAGACTTTAGATTCCAAGCAGATGTGATGATTTTTGAGATTAACTTTTCAAACTCTACAGGTTTTGTCAGTAAGTGATCATGTGAGGCACTAAGTATACTAAGTTCAAGGGTTCCAGTAGCATCTATTACTAGCTTTATGACCTTGAACAGGTAATTTCACTCCAGTATCCTCACCTGTAAAAAACAGGAATCATGTTCTACTCTTCTTCCTGGGCACCATGCCAGCCTCCCTTGGAGCTAAATGAGACCATGTGACAGAGTTGTGGTCACTGGATATGAAAGAGATGTGCACCACTTCCATGCCTAGCCCCAGACCTACTCCCCCACCACTCCTCTTTCCCCATTTACCCATTAAACAGAGAGGACTCTAAGGACCTAGAGGAGTATGTAGCAACAAGATGGAATAAATGATTTCACGGAGCAAAATCCCCCTCTTTTACCTCCTACCTCATGGACCAGCCCTGGGCTGTAACGTGAGCAAGAAATAAATTTTCACTGTGTAAGCCACTGAAACTTTGGCGTATTTGTAGGGTTTTTTGTTTGTTTGTGTTTTTGTCTTTTTTTTTTTTTTTTTTTTTTTTTGAGACAGAGTCTCGTTCTGTTGCTCAGGCTGGAGTACAGTGGGGATATATCAGCTCACTGCAGCCCGGACCTCCTGGGCTCAAGTGATCCTCCTGCCTTGGCCTCCCCAAAGTGCTAGAATTACAGGTGTGAAGCCACTGCACCCAGTGTAAGTAATATTTGAACTGAAAAGTGAAAGATCAGTAGGAGTTGGATTGTGGAGCAAGGAGGGTGAGGAACAAGTTGGGAGTAGAGAGATAATGAGTTCAGTATTAGACTTACTGAATTTGAAATAATATCTATACCCAGCACGCTAACCATTGCTTCCCCCCCACCCCCACCAATGGTAACCTAGGAAATGAAAATTAAAACAAGATACCATTTTTCACCTAAAAATTTATTAAGAATTTTTAAAATGAGTAAGCCCAGTGCTGGGGAATGAAAATTAACTCTAGTAACCAAGGAAATGAAAATCAAAACAAGATACCATTTTTTCACCCAAAACTTGATTAAGAGTTTTTAAAATGAATAAGCCTAGTGCTGGAGAATGAGAGTGTATTTATTGTTATGGCTTAGTAAAAAACCACTCTAAACTTAATGGTTTCAATCAATAATCATTAATTATCTTTCACAGTTTCTATGGGTTAGGAATTCAGAAAGGGCACAGCCAGGATGGCTTGTCTGTGTCCTGCTGTAGGCTTGTCTATCTGGCAGTGATGCTGACTGTAGGCTGGGGCCTAGTGGAGGCCATCAAATGGAACACCTACAGAGGCCACTCCTTGTGGCCTCGGTTTCCTTGCAATGTTGGGTTCCAAAGGCAAGTGTCCCATGAGCAAGCAAGCCAAGTGGAAGTCATATTACCTTTTATGGCCTAGCCCTGAAAGGCAGGTTAGCTTCCACTGCACTGTATTTACTATTTTTATTTTTATTTTTATTTTTTTGAGGCAGAGTATCACTCTGTCACCTAGGCTGGAGTACAGTGGTGCAAACACAGCTCACTGCAGCCTCTGCCTCCCAGGCTCAAGCAATCTTCCTACCTCAGCCTCCCAAGTAACTGGGACTACAGGCATACACCACTGTGCCTGGCTAACTTTTTAATTTTTTGTAGAGATTGGGTCTTGCCATGTTGCCTAGGCTGGGCTTGAACTCCTAGCTTCAGGCAATACTCCCGCCTCAACCTCCCAAAGTGCTGAGATTACAGGCATGAGCCACCGCACCTGCTTTGTACTATATTTCTTTAGACAGTTACAAAAGTCCACCCAGGTTCCAGCAGAGGGAACACAGATCCCACCTTTCAATTGAGGAGTACCAAAGTCACACAATAAGAAGAGCATGTGGAATGGGACATATAGGTGCAGCCGTCTTTAAAAACACAATCTGCTACAGAGGGACTATAAATCAATACAACATCTCAGATGACAATTTGCCAATGTTTTAAGTAGCTTAAATATTAAATAGTCTTTGTTTTAGCAATTCTACTTCTAGAAATTTATCCCAAGGAAATAATCACGGATTCATGTTATGATTTAGTCATAAGGATATTCACTAAAGTAATGTTAATAATAAAAAAGTAAGCAAGCCACATGTTAATAGAAAACTGGTTAAATAAAAAGGCTGATGTAATAATACATTAAAATAATGTATTAAAAAATCACAATAGAATTTTAATATGCAAAAACACTTAGATATATTAAGGGAGTAAGTATATAAACCATACATGCAATACAATTCCAAATTTGTAAAATACACATAAATGCACAGAAAAATAAAACTAAAAAAAAATGTGATTGTTCCTTATATCTTTATAGGGAAGGATTACTTATGTAATCAAGGAGAAAAGTTTACAGAATACAAATTAACCCCAAACTCTTATTTATTTAAAATTTTACTTTATTTTATATTCCAGATACATGTGCCAGTTACATAGGTAAATGTGTGCCATGGTGGTCTGCTGCACCTATCAACCCATCACCTAGGTATTAAGTCCCACATGCATTAGCTATTTATCCTGATGCTCTCCCTCCCCACGCCTCCCAGACAGGCCCCAGTGTGTGTTGTTCCCCTCCCGGTGTCCATGTGTTCTCATTGTTCAGCTCCCACTTGTAAGTGAGAACATGCGGTGTTCGGTTTTCTGTTCCTGTGTTAGTTTGCTGAGGATAATGGCTTCCAGCTCCATCCATGTCCTTACAAAGAACATGATCTCAATCCTTTTTATGTATACATAGTATTCTATGGAGATATATAAATAAATATATATATATATATATAACATTTTCTTTATCCAGTCTATCACCGATGGGTATTTGGGTTGATTCCATGTCTTTGTTATTGTGAATAGTGCTGCAATGAACATACGTGTGCATATATCTTTATAATAGAATGATTTATATTCCTTTGTAACCCCAAACTCTTAACCTGTGGATTAATGTCATTCATCAGTTTAGGAAATTTCATAGTAACTATCTCTTTCCTCTCCTTAAGAGATTCCAATGAATAGCATGTTAGACCTTTTCCTGTATCATCTTATGTCTCGTAGCCTCTCTTTTACTCCCCCACTCCCCCCGCATCCTTTTGTCATTCCATGCTTTGTTCTGACTATTTTTCACTGACCTATCTTGTAGTTTGTTAATTCTCTCTCTGATTCCTCTCTAAAGTGTTGTTAAATTTGTTCATTGAATTCTTAATTTTGGTTATTGTATTTCTTCAGCTTCAGAATTTCTATTTTTAAAAATTTACTTTTTGTATTATTTTCATTTCTCCACCAATTTTTTTAACTTATGAGATTACTCTTACTTCTGCTCTCTGCTCAATTTTAATCTTTTTTAATCTTCTTGATCTTGACAATCTTAGTTATTTTAAAGTCTACATTTGATAAATATAGGAGCCCTTGCCGGTCAGTTTGCATTATCTGTTGTTTCTGCAGGTTCTTGTTTATGTTGACTTGCTTCCTTATATGTTTGGTTATCTTTGACTCTGTACTATTATATTTATATTATTTTTGTAATATTAGGTATTATATTTAAAATATTATTAGTAGGAATAATTTGGAAACTAAGATGAAGCTACCTCCCTCCAGGAAACTTGTTGTTGTTGTTGTTTGTTTGTTTGTTGTTTTGCTTTTCTTAGGCATCTGAAAGCACTAGCAATCTAGGTTCACTTTAATCCAATTTCCAAGCCATCCAAATGACTCAAAACTGGAATATAGTCTGTATGCGGAGTGTTTACTTTGAGTTCACCAGTATTCACAGGGCAGCCCTTTGGACTTCTAACCTAAAGTAAGAGTGTTTTCAGGGTCTCCACCCGCAATAGGGCCTAGATTCCAACTTTTGTCCCGCTATACTAGCAAGGCTAACAAAAAGACTGACAATCTTCTTAGCTGCCTATCCTGATCAATAAATGTGCCCTGGGCAAAAGTGGCCCCCTAAATACTAAACTCAGCTCTCTGAATTTCTGTCTTCTTCTAGATCATGGCCTGGAATTTCCTTCTTCTTCCAAATCTTAAACTGGAAACTCTTGACTAACATTAAATAACACCTTCAAACAGATTTTTAAATCTATATTTTGTCTGTTTTTTCCAGTTGTTGGAGGAAGATTGTCCAAATTACCTCATCTGTCATTTCTAGAAGCAGAAATCTTTCTATCCTACAACACTGCACTATATAGTATGGCTTTACTACACTTAACTTACATGTACTCCACTATATGTATTTAGCCCTGCCTCCTAAATATTAAAATTGTATTTTGTGTATGTGCTCTATTATATATGGCACATTACTACATATGTTACATATTCTCATATATTACTGTGTAAGGATAGATATTTGAAATCATGTATCTTGTAGTTCTTGGACAATTTAAGGGTTTACAAGGGTGATTTTAAAATTTTATACCATTATCATTATTTATTGACTTTGGAATCTAACTCCTAAGTAAGACAAGACTCCATTATACCAGAAATGTTCTCATACGGAAGTTGCCTATTTGGGATACTACAGAACATGTTTTTATTCTGAGTAGGAGCTTAAATAAGATAATATCTATATTTCTGTCAACTGAGATTCCATAGTTTTATGCTTAATTTAACGTATACTCAGACAAAAGATTCATGGCTTGATGTTTAATGCATATTTTGAAATGGCGAAAATACTACCAACAGGAGAACCCTGCCCATCAGCATAAAAACCACCAAGAAAGGAAACAATAATATGCTTTTTCTTTTTCAATAAAGCCCAAATTCCATATTCTTCTGAAATTAGGCTACAATTATGGTCTGACAGCATTTCCCAGAAGTTAAATATCTCTGTATCATGTATATGTCATCTTTACATGTTATAGAAATAATCTAAGGGAAAAAATTATATGCAAAATGATGCTGTCAGCATTATTCAAAATAGTTTTTAAAAATCAGAATACTTTAAGACATCCAGCAAAAAGGAAATGGTTAAATATGATATATTTACCAAGTGAAATACTATGCTGTCAATAAAATTATAATTATGTTCTACGTGATAAAAATTACATATATAAATTCAAAAGACAAACTGAGAAAAAAACATTTGTAATACATGATACATCAAAGACTTATTTCTTTGGCATTAAAACAGGAGAAAAGATTAATAACTCAATAGAAAAGCTAGCAAAAGATATGAATAGTTCATAGAAAAGGAAATACAGCTATCTTTTAAGTATATGAAAATATACAACCTCACTTATAAGAAAAATGGAAATTAAAGCTAAAATAAAATATAGTTTTTATTTTTCACAATGGCAAAGAAAAATATTTGATACTGCATGGTAGAGTCAAGAATTTGAGAAAGCAGGCACTTTTATATATTATTGGTAGAATAATACATTGGTGCACACTCTCTGTAAGGCAATTTGGCAATATCTGTCAAAAAAAAAAACTTTTTTTTTTTTTGAGGTAGGGTCCCACTCTGTCACCCAGGCTGGAGTGCAGTGGTGCCATCACAGCTCACTGCAGCCTCAACCTCCCAGGCTCAAGCAATCTTCCCACCTAAGCCTCCCAAGTAGCTGAGACTATAGGCACATGCCACCATGCCCACCTAATTTTATTTACTTTTTGTAGAGATGAGGTCTCCCTATTTTGCCCAGGCTGGTCTCAAACTCTGGGGCTCAAGCAATCCTCCTGCCCTGGCCTCCCAAAATGCTGGGATTACAGGCATGAGCCACCACACCCAGCCTCCCACAGTTATCTTCATTTAAGTGAAAAACAAAATGATATTTTAACTGAAAAAGAAAATCAAACAAAACCCTAGTATTCCTAGATATGCCTTGGTTACTTTGAGGAAAGGAAGAAGGGAGGAAAATGGAATCAGAGAGGTGGGCATGTGAATTTAAATTATAATTTCTTTCTTTTAAAAGATGTGATTCAAAGTTAGCAAAATATATGATTTAACGAAATGGGAACTATCATTTTCTGTCTTTTTAAAAAGAAGACAGAGATCAATTTGCTAGTGAGTCTTATGGCTTCTTTTCCTGATTTTCTCACAAAGCAAACATCCTTATGTAAAACTTTTATATCTACATTTCTATGAGAGTTTCCAGGATCCCCTCCACAACTCCATTCCATCTCATCCTAATTACATGCTGCAGCCAGATTAATCAGCCAAGAATCAGCAATAGAGTTCAATTCTCATTACATCAAATGTAAAAATTAGAAAGGTTGGGGTCAGATCCCAAAGGGCAAAGGAGTTTGAAACCTTCTTGGATTCAAATAGTCCCCTCTCTCTACACTTCTCTGAGCCTGGGTTTGTGCATAGGCTTAAAAAAATGGAAATAACTACCTCAAACAATCCTTGGGAGAATTAAGAGACTTTCTACATGAAAGCATCTAGTAAGTACCATGTCTGGTACATGATCACTCATAAACACTAGTTTTCCTTCACCTATACTTACTCACCATAGTAGCACAATACATACGCTATACTTAAGAAATCTGTTCATGGTTTCTGCATGCCTCCTGCTCAGTTTCATTTCCCTGATCAGTGTCATTTTCCATTTTATGATTCTACTGTGCCCATTTTAAATTTTTGCCCCATATCCATTATCTATTTGTATCCTACTTACCCTTCAAGTCCCAGCTCAAATTCTACCTCTTACAAAAAATCTTCCTGACTTTGAACTCCTATTGCCCTTAAAAGCCAATGTCAGACAGTTAACCACTTAATTTTTATTTATATTTTAAATTTTACTTTATTATGAATTACAGTAACACATTTCTCTTATTTTAAAAATACTAATAATACAGATAAAGCTGCAGACATCATTGACCATTACTTTCATTCCCAGACCCCACCTTTAGAGGTGCCGCTTACAGCTTGTAATACATTCTTCCAGACCTTTACTACACATCTACATACTTGTAAAATGCAGTTTTGCTTTAACTCTTTTTTTACATATATGGCATCAAATTGTACATGTTGTTCTATAACTTGCTTATTTCATGTATATCTTGCACAGAGGGCCAAATACTGCATGATTTCACTTATATGAGGTATCTAAAATAGTCAAATTCATAGAATTAAAGAGTGGAATGATGGTTGCCAGATGCTGGAAGGGAAGGAGGAATGGAGAGTTGCTAAGCAAGAGGCATAAAGTTGCAGTTAAGCCAGATGAATTCATTATAGAGATATGCTGTGCAGCACTGTACCTACAGTTAACCATACTATATTGAATACTGGAAAATCTGTTAAGAGGGTAAATCTCATGCTAAGTGTTCTTAATATGATAAAATAAAATTAAAAAAAATATAAACCTATACACCTATGTATCTATATCTCTCTTTATATCTATATATCTTGGAGGTCCTTTTAATACATATAGAGCCATGCTATTCTTTTCACTCCAGAGTGTTCCAGTTTATGTCACCATTTATTTATTCATGGACACTTAGGCTTTTCCCTCATTTTTACCTATATAAATAATGAAATATTTCAGAGAGAAAATGACGTGAAAAAATTCTGAAGCAGAAACACAACATAAAACCATTACTTACGTTAAAGAGGTTTTCTAACAAGGTAGACATTAAAATGTCTTTGAATCAGAGAGATATGGTATTTTTCATTTACCATATTATAGTCTTCATACTCTTTAAGGCATTAAATATGACCATTTCCATTGTTTTGTTTGGTAAGATACACTCCTCATTAAATGACTTGGTGTAAAAGATCTCATGAGGATTGGTGACACTATCTCACTGCCTTCCTGTCTATTCTTCACCAGCATAGAACATTTTCTCCATTAACTCCCGATACTAGAGGGCAGCAGCCTCAGTACTAATTAGTAGTAATGCAGACCACAGTTGACTAATGAAAACAATACTCCTTCAGTAAAATCTGCACTAAATTACTAATCAACCTTTTATTTTGAGGGAAAATATTTCTAAAAAGCCAAACAGACATAAATTAGGTAAAAACAGGTTTCTCCATGAGACA